>NC_000011.10:122930000-123233030 GCF_000001405.40 Homo sapiens | reverse complement strand
ATTTTGAGTGAATGAAAACTTTCAGTCTATAGCAGATGGAAAATAGAGTAACAAAAAATCCTGATTCAAGTTTGACTGCTAAAGAAATGGGATTATTTAGCCTTGAAGTTATTTTCAAGCAGCACTTTTAAGCACAGAAGATATCAGTGGTACAGGCAGAAAACAGGAAAAGGCAGAGTAGTAGAAAGATGTAAGGAAGAACTCATGAGAATGAGTTTTGTTTTTTTACCAGACATGTAACTAGGGGAACGCCTTGCAATATCGTCTCTGTTGTTCTTTTGTCCATTGTGTGATCTCATCTTTATGACATAGGGGGTCCTATTAGGAGTCCATGCTGGGTGCAGTAGCTCACGCCTGTCATCCCAACACTTTGGGAGGCCAAGGTGGATGGATCACTTGAGCTCGTGAGTTCAAGACCAACCTGGGCAACATGGCAAAACCCTGTTTCTATAAAAAAAAAATACAAAACTTAGCTGGGTGTGGTGGTCCACACCTGTCGTCCCAGCTACTCAGGAGGCTGAGGTGGGAGAATGGCTTGAACCCAGGAGGAAGAGGTTACAGTGACCCAAGGTCATGCCACTGCACTCCAGCCTGGGCAACAGAGCCAGACCCTGTCTCAAAAAAACAAAAAAAAAAACACAAAAACAAACAAACAAAAAAAAAGCAAAAGCAAAAAAAGAAGCCCAACAATAGCTTGTACAGTGTCTGGTGTCTACCAAGCCCTTGTGACGTAGTAGTTAAACAAATTCAATTATTCAATGGATCTAACGATCTTATAATAACACTTAGACTTTATGAAAAAGGGAGAAACTGATGCTAACACCCAGTTTTTTCTCTCTATGTCCTAGTTTCTTACATTTAAATGTGTTAAATATTCTTCCTGGCTAGACATTTGGGAAAAAAATAAAAAGCTGAGATGTCCAGATGGATCTGACATGGGTGACAATCCCCAGAAGTGAAAAAACTCAAAGATTGATGAGTAAATCTCCTCCATCCAGACTGAGCCACTGGGGTCTCATCCAACATTTTTCCATTTGAATTGTTTATAGTCAGAAAGATGAAATTGACTATAGTCTTCTGGCATCCTGGACCTCCTCTCGGCCAGCTGAAGTGACTGATGGAGGCAGGGCAGGCGCCTTGGGCAGCACAGTGCATGGCAGGCAACTGTGAGCAGAACGCATCCCTGGCTATGACCTGCCTTACTTTTTCCTTTCCTATTTTCTCTCTCCAGTACATTCCTCTTTTTTCTTCCTTTCATCCCTTTTTTTTTAATTCTTTCATTTTCCTTTTCTTTTTCATCTTTCTTTGCCAGTGCTAAGGGGTTGTTATTTGACATCAATGTTACTCAGAGCTGAAGAACTTGCTGCTTTTCGGCTAAAATAAAGTTGCCTTGTCACCCCGGGTCCCTGAAGACTCCAGCCGTAGGTCCACATTCAAGATCTTACATGACTAATCCATTTAAATGCCACTGTAGTGAGAGCCATAAATCCCTACACGAGTTTCCCTACTCTCAAAAACCTATCCTACATTATCTTGTCCTACCCCCACCCTTACCCAAGATGACTCCAATCTCTCTCCCAAGACCTTTGTCAGAGGCTTCACATTCCAGAACGCATGAGCTGCTTGCACCATAGCGTCTGTTTAGAATGAGCTCAGTAAAGTCTGCTTCAAAGTCCATCTCTGTAATGTGTACCCATCTTTGCACTGAGCTGCTGTTGCCGTGACTTTTTCCACAACTAGCCCCAAAGAAATATAGTTTCTTAAACCTGTCACTCACCTGGGCATGGTGGCTCACACTTGTAATCCTCCCAGCACTTTAGGAGGCTGAAGTGGGTGGATTGCTTGAGTTCAGGAGTTCAAGACCAGCCTGGGCAACATGGCAAAACCCCGCTTCTACTAAAAAGACAAAAATTAGCAGGTGTCGTGGCTCACATCTGTAGTCGCAGCTACTTGGGAGGCCAAAGCATGAGAATCACTTGAACCCGGGAGGCGGAGGTTGCAGTGAGCTGAGATTGCGCTGCTGCACTCCAGCCTGGATGACAGTGAGACTCCAACTCAAAAAACCAAAACCAAAAACACACACAAAATCTGTCACTCATCTGCTCAAAACCTCCAATGGCCGCTCATTTTTCATAGGATAAAGTCCAAATGCTCTGCCTGCCACTCATACCCTCTAAAACCTGGCCCCAATTTATCTTTCCAGCTACATCTTCCTGCAAGTAAACCACCCTACCTTCTACAGCCTTGTCATTCCTTCCGCTTTTCTGCCTCCTCACCCTGGCTCTCCCTCACTTGGATTGCTGTTCCCTTTCCCATCTCTACCTACCACACTTGGGGGCCCTCTTTCTGGGCCCCATCTAAATACTCCTCCCCCAGAAATCCTGCCCTGGTTACCCTAATATGAAATAATTGCATTTTTATGTGCTATCCTGCAGCTCCGATATGGTGTAACCTCATGCAGCCTCATGCATGTGACAGAGAGCAGCTACCACGCATTGAGCAACCACCAGAGCTCAGGTCTACTCTAGGGAACTCACGCAAATCATCTTGATTCCTCTCCATAATCCCCTTTTACAGATGGAGTAATGGTGATCCTGCCCCAAGCTTCACAGGTGATTAAAGATGAAGCTGGGAATACACCAGGTGTGTTGGGTGCCAAATTTCTTTCCATTGCATTAGACTCTCTCAGAAGAGATAAGACCTGTGCACACTTCTCACTCACATTCATTCATTCAAAAACAGTTATGTGTATAGAAGAGGCAGTAGGCAGGATACTGAAAGGCAAGTGGGGGAGATGAACAAGGGACCCAGGGCTTAGGTAAGAACAAAGGTAGCAAGTATGGATTACTTTTTTCAACATCTACATATTTCATCTGTGAGACTGTAAACTTTTTGAGTATATATAGATGTGCAGATGTGTGTGTGTGTATCCTACAATTTATTTTGCTACATGAGTAAAAATTTTTCCTCTTTATTATTCTTATTGGTTTTTTGAGACAAGGTCTCACTCTGTCACCCAGGCTGGAGTGCAGTGGCTCAATCACAGCTCACTGCAGCCTCAACCTTCCGGGCTCAAGCAATCCTCCCACCTCAGCCTCCCAAGCAGCTGTGACTACAGACATGCACTACCATGCCTGGCTAATTTTAAAATTTTTTTGTAGAGATGAAGTCTCGGTATGTTGCCCAGGCTGGTCTTGAACTCCTAGGCTCAAGCAACCCTCTGACTTTGGCTCCCCAAAGTGCTGAGATCACAGGCATGAGCCACCATGCCCATCCTACTTTTTTTAATGGACTTAAGTTTATGTAGCTGCTCCTTGTGCTTTCAGATGTCATCTTCTTTGTGAAACCATCTAGTTCTCATCTTTTTTTGTTTGTTTGTTTGTTTGAGACGGAGTCTTGCTCCGTCGTCCAGGCTGGAGTGCAGTGGCACGATTTTGGCTCACTGCAACATCACCTCCTGGGTTCAAGCAATTCTCCTGCCTCAGCCTCCCGAGTAGCTGGGATTACAGGCACCTGCCACCACACCTGGCTAATTTTTGTGCTTTTAGTAGAGACAGGGTTTCATTATGTTGGCCAGGCTGGTCTCGAGCTCTTGACGTCAGGTGATCCACCCACCTCGGCCTCCCAAAGTCCTGGGATTAGAGGCATGAGCCACTGGTCCCAGCCCTTAATTTCTTTTTAAAAGTTAAAGAAAAACTTAGTTCTGGGGAGGGGAAACCATCTGCTCAGAGTCACACAACACAGTGGCGGGTGTCTTAGTTCATTTGTGCTGCTACAACAAGATACCTGAGCCTGGATAACTTATAAAGAACAGAAATTTATTTCTTACAGTTCCAGAGGCTGGGAACTACAAGATCTAGGCACCAGCTAGATGGTCTGGTGGGCATCTTCCATGCCGTCTTCACATGGCTGGAGGCAGAAGGGCAAGCTAACCTAAAGCTGCAGTGAAGCCTCTTTACAAGCGCCTTAATCCCATTAATGAGAGAGAAGACTTCATGGCCTAATCACCTCTTACGGGCCCCATCTTCTGATGCAATCACATTTGCAATGCCTGAATTTTGAAGGGGGCACATTCCAATCATTGCACAGGGTCAGGATGAGAAGGCAGGTCTTGAATCCTGCATGGATTATTTTCTACTTGCCCACAACTGCAGGTAAAGACCCAAAGCCCTTTGCTGCTGCCATGCCCAGGCATTTTATATTCTCCCTCTCTCTCCCTGAGTTAGTTGTCAACATTTAGTCCTGGATTGTTTCCAGGTTGGAGCCTTCATGTCTTAGGTCAGTAGATGCTTGTGAGCTGCAGTGCAAAATTTCAAATTTGACACTTGCCAGTTTCTGTTGAGCTCTGGGTGGAAAACGTCCCCGGCCTCATCCATTTTTAATGTCACAGTCAGTCTTGTGGAAGACGTCACCTCGAGGTAAAGTCATTCAGAACAAGGGCTTGATCATTTTACTGCCATTCAACTGAGGTGGATCACAATGTCACCCTTGCGGCTCTCTGGTCCTGGACTTCCCAGAGGGCAGGGCTTGGGACAAAGGATGAAGGCCAGTTGTCTCTGCACTCCATCCCTCCGCTGCCTAAGGGCGGTCGGGCAAATCCCCATGATGGCAAAGCCCTGGACAGAGTTTCCTGGGGCTCAACCCTCAAGAACACTGGGCTTGCAATTCTAGTCCTGGTTCTGCTGCTGACTAGTCGTGTGACCTTGAACCACTCACTTACCCTCACATGTCCCCCATTTCCTCTTTTTAAAAAGGGGAATAATAGCACTATATCACAGCTTGATTTTGGAAAACTAAATGAGACCATCGTAAAAGCAGCCTGTAAACTATAAATCACTATGTAAAGTATAATGCACCACCTTTTTCAGGTTATATCAGGCAAATACCCAATTTTGTTTAGGGTACAAAATACCAGGAGTGGGGATGGGGCAGTGTTCATGTCTTGAAATAGAGAAAAGATCCTTCTTTGCAGCTATCTGTTTAGGTATGCTTCACAGCACCCAGGAAACCTGTCATTCTTAGAGTGATCTGCTTTTCTTCATCCTGACAAAGAAAAGAATAAGAGGAAATCGTTGTCAGTCAATAAATGCCACATATTCAATTATTCATTCCTTTGAAGAATATCTATTAATCACTGAGTCGTGCCATGCATTACACTGAGCTAAGTGCTTGGCACACAGAGATGAATGAATATTGACCTATATATATAAACATTTAGAAAAAAGTCTAAAAGGGTATCTACCAAAAGGTCCTACCTTTTTTCCTTTCTTCCTTCCCTTGTTCCTTTCTTCCTTCTTCCCTTAAGTAAAGTTAATTTCACAGAACTTTAAGTCCTGACTCAAGGTAACTCGAGGCGGTCAGCCCTGTGGCTCAATGGCATCTGCTCAGCCATCCTCAGGCAGCCTCCCTTTCAAAGCCAAGATGCACACGAAAACATGACACTGACGAGCAGAAGCAGCATGCTCTGTCTTCCTATGGGGCCCTTTTTATGTTTGAGGAAACATTTTCAAGTAGGTTGAAAAATCCCATTATATCTCCTTCATCTGAACTCAGTCACATGTCATTCCTAAGTCACTGATAAAGGAAATGGTATCAGTGGCCTGGACCAGTGGCCCTCAAAGTGTGCTATGGGGATTCCTGGGGGATCTCAAGGCCCCATCTGGGGGCCTATGAGGTCACAACTATTTTCATAATAATACGATTTTTTTTTGCCTTTTTTATTTTCATTCTCTCACAAGTGTAGAGAAAGTACAAAAAGTTCATAGATATAAAACTACCACTTCTTGAGTTTTGATGTTATACCAAATCAGAATATCAAGTTACTCTAAAATGTTATTAAAATTATTAAAATACTCCTCCTTTTTAAAGCATTTGTCTGTGAGATCATATTTTTTTCATATATTTAACATACCATAGCAATTTGAATGCAGAAGGCATTAAAGTCCAGCTATTAGTTAGACATTTAAAAATTTGTAAAAATGTAAAACATGCCATTTCTCTCACCAAATATTTTTTTTTCTGAAAAGTATACTTATTATTTTGTCATTAAAATATTACTTATGGTAGCCTGTAACAAACGTATTATTGTTATTCTTAACGAATTAGTAAATAAAATATTTTAAACTCTTTTAACATTGAATATGATAAATCTCAATAGATGTAACGTGCACAAACTAAAGCTCCTGGAGGTCTTTACTAACTTTAAGAGCATAAAAGGGTCTTCCGGATATGTCTGTAACTGTGACACATGTGAGTTGAGGTCAATACCTAAAGTTTGCCACAAAGGAAGATGGAAGAACACGGTTATTGGTGCAGGGCCCACAGTGCTATGGCGATAGTCTCTGAATTCTGGGGTTATTGATTACTACTACTTTTGATTTTCTTTGTGTGTTGTCTAAGCTTTTGAATGAGAATGTACTACTTTTATAAGCAAAAAAAAAAAATAAATAGGACAATGTTTGCTTTGAAATAAACAAGTTAAAATAAGGATGAATTTTATATATAAAAAATAAGGATGAAATAAATAAGTTAAGGATATTCTTTTGTTACAAGAACAGATAACAATTAACTTTGAGCGTGGTTTCCTTTTTCTAAGAGCTTTGATATGAATAGAAGAGAAAGGAGGTTTGGGTCAAGGAAGGATGGATTTCTTTTAAATAAGAGAAACAAGCAAATGCACACATGCACGTGCCAAGAGAAGGATCCAGTGGAGAAGGACAGGTGGAAGGAGAGTTGGAGACAATGGATGGAACAAGGTCCCTGGGGAACAGAAGGAACTGCCCCAGAGCAGAGGTGGAGGCATTCGTGTTCAACAAGAAAAAGGAGCCCACCTCCTGAGATGGGGAAAAGGGAATGGATGAGCACCAGCCGGAAAATTTAGAGGTGGAGGGGAGAAGAGGAGGGAGTTCTGATCATGTTTCTTCTTTGTAAGGACAACCATACCAGAAACTGACGTGTTAAGAGGCACAAAAGATAGAGCCCTGTAAGCCTTCTAGGAGCATGCAGGCTGAAGAGAGATCGACAAATAAAAATTCAATAGGAATATGCAGGTTGATCAAAAGTAAGCTAATTACAGCTTAACAGAACTTTTACTAATCTCTATCGACATCTAGGAGCCTTCCATGAGAAAGTGTTCTTCATGTTTGGAGAAGATGGGGCCATCGTTTGGCAGGAAATAGGGAGGTCAAACCAAGACAAAACTATCCACCGAATGTCCCTCTGCACCAGCATGTGGGGTGTTACAGCAGGCAGAGTCCCTGACCACTTCCACCTCCAGCCACCACCATCCACACAGGAGCCTTTATCAGAGGTGCCATCTCCTGTGTTTGCCCACCTTCTGGGTGTGTGTGCGGAGTGGTGCAAACAGATGGAAGCACTGCTGAGGGAGTGCGAGAGGAAGGTAGGGCCTTGGACCTTGTCTGCACAATACAGCCATCTACCCAGGGAGATTTATTTACTGCAAAAAAAAATTAGAGAAAACCCCCAGGCGACATTGTTTGGTACACTTATATACGCAAAGGGATCTGTAGTTATAAAGAGTGCCTGAAATAAATAAAGGTTCAAATGCCCTCCCAGAATGGTTTTCCAAATGAATGAGGGAAACTTTTGAATGGAGATTTTATTTGTTTGGACCTGCTTAACATTGTTCAGATGTCACAGCCACCCCTAGGCTCAACTCTAATTACCAAACATTGTTTTTCCTTCTGTGCTTTTAAACTTTTATTTGTATGTTGTTATTGTTGTTTAACATAGAGATGGGGGGCTCGCTGTTTTGCCCAGGCTGGTCTTGAATTCCTGGGCTCAAGTGATCCGCCCACCTCAGCCACCCAAAATGTTGGGATTATAGGTGTGAGCCACCACATCCAGCCTGTCTTTTTTTAAATTGATGCATAATAGATGTACTAGTTTCATGGTACATATGATAATTAAATACATTCATATAATTTGTAAAGATAAAATTAACATACTTGAAATATTCATCACCTTAAATATGTGTCTTTTCTCTATGCTAGAAACCTTTGAATTATTCTCTTCTAACTATTCTGGAATGTACAATAGATTATTGTCAACTATAGTCACCCCACTAATCTATCAACACTAGGTCTTATTTCTTCTATCAAACCATATATCCTTCTTCTGTATTTACCTCCTTTCTCTACCCACTTCTCCCTTCCAATCTTTCTCCACTTGCTGCCCTCTTTCCCAACTTCCTCCTCACTCAATCGATTCTTTCTGTTCATTTCTCTCTCCAGTCCTGCTGTTTTGTTTCTATTATTTTATCTTAGCAATGAAATACAAAATGTTCATTTGTAACAGGAGATTATGACTAAATGAAAATACAACTCCACCCCCAAAAATATAACTTTAATAATCTCTAAATCTCTAACTGCTTTTAACCCTACTATTTATATAGGCACAATTTATATAATTGGTACCATAAAGTTTATATGAAAGCAATTTTTGCTGAAGACGGAAATTGGAAACATAGGTGCATTCTCCCTAGTTTTAAAGGCACTGCTCATATGTGCTATAATAAACAGTCAGATACTTCCATTGCAATAGGATGCCAGTGAAAAAAATACCAGGGAAAGAAAGATCTACTCTCCAATAATCAATGGCACAGGGTACAAACTCTCTTAGGAGCCCCTCATCCTCCTCACACAGAACTAACCTGCCAAATTTAGAGTCCCCGCAGCTGGATAAAGAGTCCTCTGTCTCCTCTTCCCCATCCAATAACATGCTAGAAAATAAGCCTATTCATTGCCAGCCTTGGGCTGTCTTATATTTCTATAAGTTATCATTGTATGTAAGTGCTAATCTGGGGATCTGGATCCACAACCTTTAAAAAATCCTTTAGCTCAACTTTAATACTCTTTAGAGAAAAGTTATCTGCTTAACCAGCCCATCCTTCCATCACTTTTGGTGAAACAAAAAATGAACAAAGTCAACTTCTGAGTGAATCAAGAGGCACTTTCACTTGAATCCTTTTTTTTTTTTTTTTTTTTTTTGAGATGGAGTCTTGCTTTGTCGCCCTGGCTGGAGTGCAGTGGCACAATCTCGGCTCACTACAACCTCCCCCTCCTGGGTTCAAGCGATTCTCCTGCCTCAGCCTCCTGAGTAGCTGGAATTACAGGCACATGCCACCATGCCCGACTAATTTTTTGTATTTTTAGTAGAGACAGAGTTACACCATGTTAGCCAGGATGGTCTCGATCTCCTGACCTCGTAATCTGCCCGCCTTGGCCTCCCAATTCACTTGAATCTTGAAAGAAGAGTCAGTCTTGGGTGGGATGAGGCAGTCCTACCTAGAGGCTGGGGATTTTCTCATTTAATCTTCATAACTCTGTGTATAGGTAATATAACTATCACATTTTACAGAGAAAGAGACTGAGCCTTGCTTACATGTCAGAATTATGTTAATAGTTGTCTTAGTTCATTTTCTGTTGCTTATAACAGAATACATGAAACTGGGTAATATATAAAGAAACTTATTTCTTACTTTTATGGAGGCTGAGAAGTCCAAGGTCAAGGGGCCACATCTAGTGATGGCCCTCTTGCTGATGGGGACCCTGCAGTGTCTCCAGATAGTGCTGGACATTATGTGGTGAAGGGGCTGAGTGTACTAGCTCAGGTCTCTCTTTCTCCTCTTATAACGCCACCAGTCCCACTCCCATGACAACCCATTCACCCATTAATCCATAAATGGATTACTCTACTCATGTGGGCAGAACCCTCATGACCCAATCAACTTTTGAAGGCCCCAACTCTCAATACTGCTACATTGGGATTAAGTTTCAACATGAGTTTAGGAGGAAACAAACATTCAAACCATAGGAATTGTTAATGGCAGGATTAGATCCCGTCCAAGCAGTCTGCCTCTGTATTAGTCTGTTCTCACATTGCTATAAAGAACTACCTGAGACTGGGTAATTTATAAAGAAAAGAAGTTTAATTGGCTCACAGTTCTGCAGGCTGTACAGGAATCATGGCTGGGAAGGCCTCAGGAAACTTACAATCATGGCGGAAGGTGAAGAGGAAGGAGGCATGTCTTACATGGCTGGAGCAGGAGGAAGAGAGAGACAGGGGAGGTGCTACACACTTTTAAACAACCAGATTTCATGAGAACTCACTATCTCGAGAACAGGAAAGGGGAAATCTGCCCCCATGATCCAATGACCTCCCACCAGGCCCCTCCTTCAACATTGGGAATGACAATTCAACATGAGATTTGGGTGGGAACACAAATCCAAACCATATCAGCCTCCTGTCTGACTCTAGAGTCTATACTCTGAAACTTCACACCACACTGCTTCCTCAGGCCTTGGTTGAGGGTCATCACCTCTGTGAGACCTCCCTGCACACTAAGAGTTCTCCCTCTCTCCTCCCAGAGCATTCCGAAACAAACTTCTGCAGAATGCAAGGGCGGGAAGTGGGCCATTTTGACCTTTGTAACCCCAACCTCTAGTTCAAGGTGCTTTCTCAGTAGATGTTTATAGGTTGAGTAGATGTCCTATAAAACATAGAGGGTCTTAGAAAACAAGTGTATGTTTTGTATAGTGTCATCTGGTAGCTTCTCAATCCATGTTCAAACACCATTTTTCTCTCAGTCATTTAATCTTCCCTCCTTGTCTTAGTCTGTTTGGACCGCTATAGCAAAGTACCACAAACTAGGTGGTTTAAGAACAACAGAAATTTATTTCTCACAGTTCTGGAAGCTGGAAGTTCGAGATCAGGGTGCCACTATGGTCAGGGCCCTCTTCCAGGTTGTTCACTGCTGTCTTCTCCTTGTCTCCTCACATGGTGGAAAGAAGGCTAAAGGGTTCTCTGGGTTATCTTTTATAAGGGCACTAATCCCATTCATAGGGGCTCCATCCTCATGACCTTCTCACCTCCCAAAAGTCCCACCTCTTAATACCATCACATTGGGGGTTAGGATTTCACCAGGTAAATTTGGGGGAGACATAAACATTCAGTCCATGGCACTCCCCTTTGTCAGACCTTGGAACTCTTTTTCCTAATTGCAGTCTCTTTCACAATTACCCTTCCCTTCATCATCACATAAAACACATTTTTTAAAATTTGGTTTAATGTATTTCTCTTGGTGTGTGCTCTTTTCTTTGTTATTCATATTTGTTTATTAGAGACCGTAAATGCTAAGACAAAAAAAATTGTGTAATAAATATTGGCAGAGGATCTTAAACCCAGTATGTGCTTAATAAATAAACAAGTACAATTCTCCTGGCACATCTTTAACACCACACACAATTCAGAACTCCCTCAAGATTTATATACTCATTTACTGACTGATTTATTCGTTGAGTAAATGAACACATGGCTATTACATATAAAGACATGTATTACAGACTGGAAGTTCAAATATGAACTGGACATGAACTTAACCTTCAGAAAGCATACGTTTACAAGGAGAAATAAGGAATGTTCCACTAAAAGGAAATAAAGAATGTCCTATAACCATTTCCAGCTAAACAGATTAGGAAAGGCTTCATGAAGAAAAAGGACCTTACAGAAGACCATAAGGATAAGTAATATTTAGAAATTTGGCAAAGAAGGAGACAGAAGGGCATTCCAGATGGAGCAATGGAGCAAAGAATTTGAGCAAAAGCAGAAACGTGGGAAAGCCTGGGGCATGGACTTGAAACAGAGCAAAGTTCATCGTGCTGAGGCATAGAGTGGGGAAAGAGGAGGGTAAGGAGCTGAGATGGAAATGTTCATGAACGCTGGACGATGAACCAAACCCAAATGAGCCCCAGGCTGGGGATGTCAAGCCACTGGCAGAATTCCCCTAAATTGCATAGCTCTTCTATGGAACACAGTGTGAGAAGCCCACAACAGATTAAAGATGTCTAGGAGCTTGACGGCCTATGTTGCAATCAAAAACAATCTTCCAGATATGGGAAGAAGGAGCCATACGAAAGAAGATTCAATGGAGAAGCATCATGATTGCCTTTGAAGTCATCATTACCGAGGACCTATTGCTGCATGACACAGTGTTGGCTACTATCCAAAAGAAACTTTCTCTAGGCCGGGTGCAGTGGCTCACACCTGTAATCCCAGCACTTTGGGAGGCCAAGGTGGGTGGATCACCTGAGGTTGGGAGTTCGAGACCAGCCTGTCCAACATGGAGAAACCCTGTCTCTACTAAAAATACAAAATTAGCTGGGCGTGGTGGCACATGCCTGTAATCCCAGCTACTCAGGAGGCTGAGGCAGGAGAATTGCTTGAACGCGGGAGGCGGAGGTTGCAGTGAGCTGAGATCGCGCCATTGCACTCCAGCCTGGACAACAAGAGTGAAACTCTGTCTCAAAAAAAAAGAGATTAAAAAAAAAAAGAAACTTTCTCTGTGAGCTTGAGTAAACTTCCTTGCCTCTCTAAGCCTCAGTTTCCTCATCTATAATATAGTGTGTGGTGGAGGCAGTGGAGCGAGGAGAGGTTGCTATCACCTGTCTTGCAAGAATATTGTGAGTAACTACAAGCTAACATATGTAAAAGACTTAACACAATGCCTAATAACTAAGGGCTGCTCAATAAATGATAACTATTTATTGTGAAAATTTTAAATTTATGTGTATGTGTATATTTTATTGTGTGTATTGCGTATATTTTATTCCATCTATGTAAATTCACACTCATATATAGATACATAGTGATTTTTCACAATATCCTGATGAAGTAGGGAAGGCAATTTCCCAAATAAACTAATCCCATAGAAAAGTTAAGGCATTTGCCCAAGGTCACACAATGGTTTGGATTAGATCCCAAAGCTGCCTCCTCCTAGTCCCAGGCTCTTTCCAGAATAGCATGATACCCAAGTACACTTCAAGACCGCCCAGGTATGATTATAAGTGAGAATCAGGAAATGGGCTGAAAGGATTCTCTCACCAGAGAAGGCAGGGGAAGGAAGCTGTCTTTTCTCCTGCAGGTGGCTATTTTTTGCCTAAGTATGTCTAGTTCTTCTTCACCTTCTCAGAAGAACCAGAGGCCACCTTATAAGTTATCGATCATATTTCTCTTCTGGGCTTGCTTTATTTTATTTTATTTTATTTTATTTTATTTTATTTTATTTTATTTTATTTTATTATTTTATTTTTAGTAGAGACAGGGTTTCACCATGTTGGCCAGGCTGGTCTTGAACTCCTGGCCTCAAGCGATCCTCCCACCTCGGCCTCCCAAAGTGCTGGGATTACAGGCATGAGCCACCTCGCCTGGCCTCTTCTAGGCTTTCTTTAAATTCTTGGTAAGATTTCCTCAAAGGTGGGAGCCCCAGTTAAGTTCACTCTTTCAAATAAAGGAGCTGAGGGCAAACCTCTGAGAGTTCCTCAAGGCCAGGGTGCCTGTCTTTTAAATATTTGTCTCCCCAGCACCCAGAGCCTTGTGGGCTCTCAGGGCACCCTGCAGAGCTGTGGTGAGTCAGGTTGTAAGGGTCAGGGTCCACACACCCAGTCGTCCTGGTGTTGGCTGGAGGACAGAGCCGGGCCTCAAGCACAGAGGATGGAGCAGCAGGCAGACAGAAGGAAATGGGTCACACCAGGCATGATTCAGGGAATAGTGTCTTTTGGGACCATGGCCCAAACCTGCTGAACTGACAGCTTCTCCAGCTGGCTTTCTTTCGTCTTACTTCATATTCTAAGGTTTCGGTCAAGAAGAGTATAAACAGAAAGACATAACATGGATGTCTCAGAGCACCGAGGCAAATAAACCCAGGAAAAATAAGCAGACCAGGAATCTCTGGTTAGCCGATCAGATTGCAATTATGCTGCTACTATAGTAGAGAGTGACCCAGACCCAGTTAGTTGGCAAGTTTTTCTTTGCAGCAATCAGCTGATGAAAACATACCCACCTCGTCATGCTCTCATCTGACACAGCACTGTGTCTCCAGAAACTGTTACCGGAAAGGGGTCCCGATCCAGACCCCAAGAGAGGGTTCTTGGATCTTGTGCAAGAAAGAATTCGGGGCAAGTCCACAGTGCAAAGCAAAAGCAAGTTTATTAAGAAAATAAAGGAATAAAACAGTGGCTACTCCATAAGCAGAGCAGCAGCTTAAGCTTAAGCTATAAGGATACTTATAGTTATTTCTTGATTATATGCTAAACAAGGAGTGGATTATTCACGAGTTTTCTGGGAAAGGGGTGAGCAATTCCTGAAGCTGAGGGTTCCTCCCCTTTTTAGACCACATAGGGTAACTTCCGGATGTTACCATGGCATCTATAAACTGTCATGGCGTTGGTGGGAGTGTCTTTTAGCATGCTAATGCATTATAATTAGCGTATAATGAGCAGTGAAGATGGCCAGAGGTCTCTCTCATGGCCATCTTGGTTTTGGGTCTTGGCTGGCTTTCATTACTGCAACCCACTTTATCATCAAGGTCTTTATGACCTGTATCTTGTGCTGACCTCCTATCTCATCCTGTGACTAAGAATGCCTAACCTCCTAGGAATGCAGCCCAGGAAGTCTCAGCCTCATTTTACCCAGCCGCTATCCACAATGAAGTTGCTCTGGTTCAAATGCCTGTAACAAAATCATAAAGAAGAACTAAAAACTCCATATCCAGGACCTAACACGATTCAAGCTGAAGAAAATCAGGTCACAGACTTAAGGGAGTTTATCTGAACTTTTGAACTTAGATTTTTTTTTAATTAGCAAGACTTTTAATAAAGAATAAGGATGAGAGAAAGTGATGGACAAAGGCTTTGAGACCCTGGCATATAATTTTACTCCCTGATGCTGCAATTTGAGCCCCAGATTCTCAGGCAACATTGGAAAAATATAGGAAGTCAAACTACTCTTGTGTTTTCTCATGCTAATACCCACCAAAGAAGCAGGCAGAATGGAGGCCCCAGAGCCCCAACGAGTAACCCCATCTCCCCTCCAGGGTGAGAAAAAAATCAGGCTCAAATTAAAGTGCTATCTTGCTGGCAAAAGAAGTGTGAAAAACTGCCGTGCCCTTTTCTAGCAATTCCAATGAGCTCATGTATTTTCATTCTGAGGTGTTAAACATTGCCAGAGAGAGAGAGAGAGAGAGCCTTCTAAGAGTATTTAGGTCAAATGCTAGGATTTCTTTTAACCCTTTAGAATTCCAGTCGAATTCCAATGATACTAAATTGAAAACCCAAAATGGATGTAACAAACTTTTTCTGGAACCTTTACAGAGTAATGACTAATATTGGAGGGTGAGGGTGGGGGGGGGGGTTGTTTGTTTTGTTTTTTGTTTTTGTTTTTGAGACGGTGTCTTCCTCTGTCGCCCAAGCTGGAGTGCAGTAGTGTGATCTTGGCTCACTGCAACCTCCACCTCCTGGGTTCAAGCGATTCTCCTGCCTTAGCTTCGTGAGTAGCTGGGATTACAGGCACCCACTACTACGCCTGGCTAATTTTTTGTATTTTTAGTAGAGACAGAATTACACCAAGTTGCCGGGCATGGTGGCTCACGCCTGTAATCCCAGCACTTTGGGAGGCCGAGGGGGGCGGATCACAAGGTCAGGAGTTCGAGACCATCCTGGCTAATACGGTGAAACCCCATCTCTACTAAAAATACAAAAAAAATTAGCCGGGCGTAGGTGGTGCACGCCTGTAGTCCCAGCTACTTGGGAGGCTAAGGCAGGAGAATGGCGTAAAACCCGGGAGGCAGAGCTTGCAGTGAACCGAGATCGCGCCACTGCACTCCAGCCTGGGAGACAGAGCGAGACTCTGTCTCAAAAAAAACAAACAAAAAAAAAGAATTTCACCAAGTCGGCCAGGCTGGTTTCAAACTCCTAACCTCAGGTGATCTTCCTGCCTCGGCCTCCCAAAATGTGTGTGTGGATTTGTTTTCGTTTTTCTTTTTGAGACAAAGTATCCCTGTGTCACCCAGGCTGGAGTGCAGTGGGGCAATCTCAGCTTACTGCAACCTCCGCCTTCCGGGTTCAAGGTATTCTCCAGCCTCAGTCTCCTGAGTAGCTACGATTACAGGCGTGTGCCACCACAATGGGCTAATTTTTGTATTTTTAGTAGAGACGTGGTTTCACCATGTTGGCCAGGCTGGTCTCAAGCTTCTGACCTCAAATGGTCCACCTGCCTCGGCCTCCCAAAGCGCTGGGGATTACAGGCGTGAGCCACCGCACCCGGCCTTAATATTGTTTTTTTAATGGGTCCATCTGATCTCAGACAGACAGCATGATCTCTATCTGACCCCATAAAAGGATCCCTGTTGTGAAACTTCCGTGGAGCTTCAATAATGTTGCACAGCGGCTCTTTCCCATACCCAATTCTTCTGTCCCCACGGTGTGCATAAATTCAGGCTGGATCTCTGGTTAGATGAGGATAACCTCCCTTACCTAGTCACTCCCAAAGTAATTTTTTTAGGTTTTTAAGTTAAAAAAAAAAAAAAAGTCATTCCTGAGACCACAGAGCAGATCTCAGCAAGCCATTCAGAAGCCCTAACACTGGCACTAAAAGCCAACTTTCAAAGAAATCCCTAAGAATGAGCGAAGAAATTGCTAATGATCTACTCTTTATCCTGGAACAATAGATGAAATCAGTGTTTCCTGTTTCTCCCTCAGCATTAACTGTCTTGAAACCTTAAGAAGCCCCAACCCCCGGCTGGGCGTGGTGGCTCACGCCTGTAATCCTAACACTTCGGGAGGCTGAGGTCGGTGGATTGCCTGAGCTCAGGAGTTCAAGACCGGCTTTGGCAACACGGTGAAACCCTGTCTCTACTAAAATACAAACACAAATTAGCTGGGCGTGGCGGTGTGCGCCTGTAGTCCCAGCTGCTCGGGAGGCTGGGGCAGGAGAATTGCTAGAACCCGGGAGGCGGAAGTTGCAGTGAGCCGAGATCGCGCCACTGCACTCCAGCCTGGGCGACAGAGCAAGACTCCGTCTCAAAAAAAAAAAAAAAAAAAAGAAAAAGAAAAAAAAAAAGAAACAGCAGCAGCCCCAACTCCCAAGACGGCAGATAAAGGGTCACTCAGTCAACAATTAGTTATGTTAGGAACTTGGTGTGGGACTTTGTGTGGGGTGTTAGAGTTAACAGGACAAGGAAACTCAATAAGCTGGCTCATACACAATTACACGCAGAATTCAGTAACTTTCATATATGAAAACAACAAAAAGATAAAAGGAAACATCTATTTTATACAAACAATACCTGGTAATAAACTTAAGAGTTATGCAAGATGATCAAAATATTAAAATGCTGCCACTAAACTAGATGGGAAACTTGATTAAATGGAAAGGCTTATCATGATTTCTGGTAGCCAAGTGTAGCATTATTAGGAAGCCAATTCTCCCCAACATATCCATAAATGCAATGCACTCTCAATGAAATATCAATTTGTTTTTTGTTTTGTTTTGTTTTAACTAGTCAAGCTGATTCTAGAGTTGACATGGAAAAAGAAACATTAAGTTTTGTCCTGGAAATGTTTTAAAAGAAATATAATAGGGGCGGGACGTGGTGGCTCACACCTGTAATCCCAACACTCTGGGAGGCCGAGGTGGGCAGATCACCTGAGGTCAGGAGTTCAAGACCAGCCTGGCCAACATGGCAAAACCCTATCTCTACTAAAAATACAAAAATTAGCCAGGTGTGTTGGTGTGCGCCTGTAATCCCAGCTACTTAGGAGGCTAACGCAGGAAAATTCCTTGAACTCAGGAGGCGGAGGTTGCAGTGAGCTGAGATCAGCGCCATTGTACTCCAGCCTGGGTGACACAGCGAGACTCCATCTCAAAAAGAAAAAAAAAAAAGGAAAAGAAATATAATAAGGAGAGCACTTGCCTTACCAGATACTAAATATATTCTAAAGTTACATTAACATAAATCATACAGTACTCATGCAATAAACAGACAGATCATGGCATGGGGAGAAAACTTAAAAAACAAACACAAGTACATATGGCAAATTAGTGAATAATCAAGCTGAGATCTCCAATCTGTGGAAAAAGATTATTTTATAGACAGCTTAGGGACAATATGGGAACCATTTGGGAAAAAATAAAGTTGAAATCATATTTTGTATCTAACACCAGAATAAACTCCAAATGAATCAAAGATTTATATGTGAAACATGGGACCATAAACTTACCAAAAGAAACCTGGGAGGGTTCTTTCTCATCATCCCAGTTGGGGAAAACCTTTCTAACTCTGACAGAAAACTAGAAGCCATAGAAAGAAATATTGACAAATTCGACAGCATCAAACAAAAGTCCACATAGTAAAACCACCATAAACAAAGTTTTTTATTTTTTAAAAAAGACAATCTAGGGGAAGATGATATTTACCACTTATATCACAGACTAGTGAGCGAATAGAAAAATTGGCAGTGGATATGAAAAGGCAGTTCCCAGAAAAAGAAATTATTCTCAAATATATTTTAAAAGCTTCATCTCATTATTAACTAAAGAAATGCAAGTAAAAACTATGAGATACCATCTCCCATCTCGAAGTTGAAAAATGTCAAAATACACTCTGTTGTGGTGTTGGCAAGGGCTCTGGAACATTCCCGGCAGAAGTGGAAATAAATTGATACAACCTTGCTGGAGAGTAATTTCTCAAAAACGTCAGAAATTATAAATGTATATGTTCTTTGACCAACCAATTTCATTTCTGGGCATTTATCTCATGTATATATGTATATATCTATATGTGTGTGTATATATATATGTATATATATACATATACACACATGCAAAACTATATATGTACACAGTTATTCAATGCATCATTGCTCATTATATCAAACAATAGTGAACAACTAAATATCTATTAATAAGATCCACTTTGAGGCATTTAGATCATACACACACATAAATAAAATAATGGTTAAATTATGGTAAACCTATCCAGTGGAATAGTATATAGCCATAAAACAATGAGGGAGGTTTTTTTCAGTTTTTTGTTCCTTATGCACTAAAATTCAATAACCTCCAGAATATATTGTTAAGTGAAAGGAGGAAGTTGCAGGACAATGATATGAATATTCGTTCTACTATTTGTAGAAAAAAACAAACAAAAAGAATATATACACATATTTGAAGGTATATGTAAAATTAAATGGTAGAAGTCATACATGTTGTCTTGGAGAAGAAAACTGGGTGCCTGGGATAGTGATGGGAGCGAAATTTTCACTATATACCCTTTGAACTTTTGAATTTGAACCATGCGGATGTATTATCCACTTTTTAAAAATCAGTAAATACAATTTTAAAAGAATTTACAGGATACCAAGAGTGAGAAGACAAGCAAAAATAATAGTTGTGCCTAAAATGCGTAAACATCAGTGCGCAAACAGACTCGGCGTGGGCTCCCGATCAGCAGATGGAAGAGAAAAGTGCGACTTCAGTAGCATAATATGATGGAAGGAGCTTGGAATGCAAAGCTTTCAAAGCATAATTTCCCGAAAAGACTTAAAAACATAATTCTCTTCCAGAATAAAATGAGCACTTGTCAAAGATGTCATTTAATTTATTAATCCATAAAGGGAATCAGTAAGATGGGAAAGCTGACGCCAAGAGCAATTGAGGAAGCAGGGTTTTTATAGCCCGTAGGGAAAGGCGCACCGCAGGAAGTTTTTTAAAGTCAGGGACAAATCTAGTTAATGTTCCACAGGGCAATAAAAGTATAGATTACACTTGCTAATGGACAGAAATCATTTGCTTCCCTACCGGATCCATATCTACAGGTTAACAGGCAACTTCACAGAGCTGAGCCCTTAATTGCAAATAACAAGGTCAGTTGGGATATTTATTATCCTGGAGACAGAATCAACTACACAATTTGCTGGACCCAGTGCAAAAAAAATTCAGAGGCCTTTGTTCAAAAATTTTGAAGAATTTAGGTCGGGCATGGTGGCTCATGCCTGTAATTCTAGCACTTTGGGAGGCTCTGGCAGAGAGATCACTTGAGGTCAGGAGTTCAAGACTAGCCTGGCAAACATTGGTGAAACCCCGTCTCTACTAAAAATACAAAAATTAGCCGGGTGTGGTAGCAGACGCCTGTAACCCCAGCTACTTGGGAGGCTGAGGCAGGAGAATCACTTGAATCTGGGAGGCCGAGGTTGCAGTGAGCCGAAATGGTGCTACTGAACTCCAGCCTGGAAGACAGGAGTGAAACTCTGTCTCAAAAAAAAAAAAAAAAAAAAAGAGAATTTCAAGACAGCAACAGCTGAGCATTAAACAAATGAGGGGCCCCCCTAAACTCAGGGTTCTGAGTTTAGGATAATGATGGCACAGGTTGCATGCCCAGGAAGCTGACTTTGCCTACAGAACTAAATAATCTTTAGAAGAGTTTTTAAACAGTGCCCCAGTGTGACACTGAGAGAACACGCAGTCACTCTCCCCCTTTATTTCCAAGTTTTGGATAATTTTTCTTTAGAGAGTCAAAAGAACCACTTCCTAGTTGTGTGGTTTTGGGCAAGTTACTTAACCTCTGCCATGCTCCATCACTTGGCTGGTAGATGAGAATTATAAATAATCCTTGCCCTGTATAATTCATGGGGTTTTAATGATTACTAAATAAGACAGGCATTTGACAGTTTTGTGCAATAAGTTTTATACAAACCTTTGCAAATGCTTTGTATCAGCATGTAGTTTTGGCATCCCAGCCTGGTATTCTTATAGATTCTCTTTGGAGAGTCAGTTCTCCTAGCTTAGTCGGAGAAATCTTCCTGGGAAAAAAATGACCTTCAATTTCATTGTAAAGAGAAGAAGAGACATGATGTGGTTGTCAGAAGGTGATAGCTTGTCTCAAACATAAGTGACTGTTTGGACAAAAGCTTGGAGAAAGGAAAGGGTGAGCCCATCCCAGGAGACCATGAAATAGCCAGCCTCACGGGCTGACAGGAAATAAGAGATGACCAGTCAGGTGGGCGGAGATCCCAGAACCCTAACAGCTCATCGATCCCCGGGAACATCGGGCAGCTCCCGTCACATTCTCCCCAAATACTCCTAAGGACGGGAGAAAGAAAATACCTCTTTAAATAGGCCACTAGAATTGGGACACGTCTTTAAATTCTTGTGTTTATCTTCATAAATTCATTAAAATTTTACATTCTATTTCATCATATACTCACAATTATTTTAATACTAAAAATAGCAATCCCCCCTGAAAAAAAAGTCTTTGGTAAAATTGAATCCCATCAAGGTGTTCCATAAATCTTCTGTAGTTCCCCTAATCCAAGAGGCTGAAGTAACCCAGTCTGAAAAGCACTGTGCTATTAGCACCTTTCTGTGGCGTTGCTTATGACACCTCGATGACAAAGGCACAAAAGAGTCCACGCTTGGCTGAGGCCCTCTTGGCACTTTAGGGACTGGGAATCCTTGGATGGGGATCAAAAGAAGACATGCCTTGAGCAGAGACTCCACTCCCCAGCCACGGTCATGCCCAGACTTCTCGACAGCCGTTTCCCTTTGCGTACACTCCCACCCAAGTGCCGTCGGCCTCACCTCTTCTTGACTGGCTTAAGGATATGTATGACTACTTGAGTTTTTCCAAATTTCCTTCACCCTCCTTCCTTTGCCCCTCTAGTTTTTCTGCTCCATAATTGGGCATGGAAGTGGAGCAGAATAAAGGGAGCAGAGCAAGGGGAAGGGGAGCTGCAGACTCAGAACAGAGGGATTTCCATGAGAAGGGGGGTTGGGGAACCAGAGCAGTCTCCATCCACAATCTGTGACTTGCAGACCACCCAGACTCCAAGCCTCCCAGCTCCTGCCTACTGCACTAAGCCTCTTGAACCGTGCACATATTTCTGCTCTCCAGAGCTTTACCCGCCCCCCAGAGTAGAATATTATTTGTTTATCATTAGGATCAGGCTGCTGGATGCAGAACACACTCTAGGAAGCACAGACTGCAGCCCTTTTATTTTTAACTGATCCAGGGATGAGCTTCTTTTGCATTGCCCTTTGTTAGAGTCTGCATATGTTGCACGGAGACTTGGTGACAATTTTAAGGGGCAAAATAAGTGACTGCTTCTTTGTGTTTAAAAGAGGAATTGGTCGGGCGCGGTGACTCACGCCTGTAATCCCAACACTTTGGGAGGCCGAGGCAGGCGGATCACGACGTCAGGAGATCGAGACCACAGTGAAACCCCGTCTCTACTAAAAATACAAAAAAAATTAGCCAGGCGTGGTGGCGGGCGCCTGTAGTCCCAGCTACTCAGGAGGCTGAGGCAGGAGAATGGCGTGAACCTGGGAGGCGGAGCTTGCAGTGAGCCGAGATCACGCCACTGCGCTCCAGCCTGGGCGACAGAATGAGACTCCGTCTCAAAGAAAAAAAAAATAAAAAAATAAAAAATAGAAAAAAAGACAGGAATTAAGCTGGGCATTGTAGCTCATGCCTGAAATCCCAAAATTTTCTATTGCTGAGGAGGGAGGATTACTTGAGTCCAGGAGTTTAAGGCCAATCTGGGCAACATAGAGAAATCCCCATCTTTAAATTTAAAAAAAATAATAATAAATACATAAAATTGGAATTAAAGGTAAACTGATGAGTCTTCCTTGATCCCTTCTTCCCATCCTCAGAGCTTATTTTTATTGCCAGCATAGGGGCTGCTGGACTGTAAAACAGGAGCTCAGAATGGCCAGTCTGATATTTTTTCCTCATTTGCTTCAGAACGATGGAGGTTGACGAGGGGGTTCCGGATAAAGATGGAGCAGATGAAACTGATCAGCCTGGTGTAGATAATTGTCAAAGTGAGGAGTTGAAACACAGAGGTTTCACTATTCTTTCTATTTCCTTTTAGGTTTAAAATTTTTCCATGAGAGATTGTTTTTAAATCCCTGCTCTCGTGGAATCCCTGCTCTCATGGAATCCCTGCTCTCACGTTCTCTCTGAAAACAGAGGCAGTGTGAGAGAATCGCGACACAGCGGGATGCATGGGGCTCATGTCCAACTTTCTTTTGCTCTGCTCTGTCCTTTGCCCATGACCAGAGCTTCACCATCACCTCTCTGCAGAAGGCTCCATGCCAGAGACTCTTGCCTTTACCTCTCTGCCCAACTCCTGCCAGACTGGGGCCCAGCCTCCCACATAGTTCTTTCTTCCCCAACTCCAAAAAAAGTAAAGGAAGAAAACCAGGAGCACTAGGTTCTTGCCTATAGTATCAGCCTTACAGTCAGTAGCCAGGACCAATTCTGAACAGACAAAAGCTCCTCTTCCCTGATAGACGAATGGCTAAGACCAGAAGGAGAAGAGAAACTTTAAAAACAGATGTCCAGGACCTACCGCAGATATGATGAAGCTGACTTGGGGTGGGGAGAAAGAGTCATTTTGAGACTCCCCTTGTGACTTCTGCATTGCCAGGTCTGGGAACCCCTGCAGCAGGCCAGTGCTGTCTCAGGTTGCTAAGGCAGCCAGTCTGACCTCGAAGAATATCTCCACTCTAAAAGTTTGGTTCAAACTGCTGTTCTGCCTCAGACACCCACTATGGCCAGGCTGGTCTCGAACTCCTGACCTCAAGTCATCCGCCTGCTTCAGCCTCCCAAAGTGCTGGGGTTACAGGTGTGAGCCACCGCACCCAGCTGAGATTGCCTTTTGAGAAGAGAATTGGATGGTTGGGGATGGAGAGGAGGGAGAGCTCTGTTTACTGTGCCTGGCCAGAACCATAATTCTTCTTGTCATCCTGGCTTAAAATCAAAGTCATGATTGACTTCTCTCTATCCTCCACCATCTCCTATGCCCCTCTCTAATAAATAAAAAAAAAAAATCTTTTCCTCTATTCAAAAATTTACATTTGTCATCTCTTTCTTCTAGGCACGTGGCCTCTTTACCTCTCACCTAGAATACTGAAAGCCTTACGGATAAACTTTCCATCTCCAGTTCCTCCCCAGCCTTTCTCCCCACCCTCCCCCAACCCTTCTCCCACTTCCAATCCCATTCCTTTCCTTTAGGTGTTTACAGGTAAATCCAATCAATCTTCCTTTGACTGTGTTGCTCCCCATGTCAAAAACCCTTAATAGCTTCTTTGTCTACTGGGCTTCCATCTGCTTATCACTTTTGAGCAGAAATTGTACCTATCATTCCATGCCCCAATTTCAATTTCACCTTCTCCGTGAAGACTTCCATGGTCACTCCTGACAGATGTGACCTCATGCTCCTGGACCCCAAGATGAGTGTACTTCTCTAATGACAGTTCTCCCACACTGTTCTTACTGAAGTTATTGATTATATTCATAGCTCCTTTACCAGACCATGTTAGGGTATGTTTCTTTATTCTTTTTTTTTTTTTTCGAGACACAGTCTCACTCTGTCACCGAGGCTGGAGTGCAGTGGCATGATCTTGACTCACTGCAACCTCTGTCTCCTGGGTTCAAGCAATTCTCGTGCCTCAGCCTCCCGAGTAGCTGAGATTACAGGCATGTACCACCACACCTGGCTAATTTTTGTATTTTTTGTAGAGAAGGAGTTTTTCCATGTTGGCCAGGTTGGTCTCAAACTCCTGGCCTTAAGTGATCCACTCACATGGCTCCCAAAATGCTAGGATTACAGGCGTGAGCCACCGCGCCTCAGTAGAAAGGCAGAAAGCAGAGAGAGAGAGAGAGAGAGATTGAGAAATTAGGGGAGGATAGGAAAGAGAAAGAAGGAAAGAAGAAAGAAAGGAAGAGAGGAAGGAAGGGAGGGAGGGAAAAGAGGGGAGGGAGAAAAAAACAAACTTATAAGCAACAAGCATGGACATTTTGAGGACTTCACAGGATACTCTACTCACCTGTGCACAAAAAGAACTAGAAAAATAGATACAGTTCCTGCACATCTGAGAACAGGGACATTCCAGTGGCTAGAGGACATATGAATGTCTGTGTGTGATTACTACTGAAATGTGGGTTGCTATCATTATTAGTAGTAATAATAACAAGAATAACCAGCATTTACTACTGTAATTTTCACAAGAACTCTTGGAAGCAACTGTTATCACCTCATTTTACAAGTGAAGAAGGAACCTGAGGACCAGAGAGTTCATACTGTACCCAAGTTCCCACAGGAAGAACACAGCCATCTGAGTCCACAGGGTTTCTTGTCTATTTCATACTGCTTCCGTCCCAGACAGCAGTGACACTGTGCACCTCAGTAGGAAGGCGGAAAGCAGACAGAGAGAGAGAGAGATTGAGAAATTAGGGGAGGGTAGGAAAGAGAAAGAAGGAAAGAAGAAAGAAAGGAAACGAGGAAGGAAGGGAGGGAGGGAGGGAAAAGAGGGGAGGGAGGAAAAAAACAAACTTATAAGCAACAAGCATGGACACTTTGAGGACTTCATGGGCCTTTGAGCCTCCACACATCATATTAAGCATATTAAAATACACCCAATCCCTTTTTTTTAACTATAAAAATACTGCAGTATTTTTTATAATTTTACTTTTGAAATTTGGCCCAACAATGATTTCTCGGCAATCACTGTGCATAATCAGGAATTCTTGCAATGAGAAAAAAACTCGCCTGTAAATTGTTGTCAAATGTGTAAAAATCTTGTAACAATCAATGTAACGATTAATGAACATGACATCACATGTCTTTGTAGACCTACTTCTTAGCAAGTGAGGTGCCTATTCATTTCAGTTTAGGTCTTTCACATTTTTAGATCTTGAACTCAATCCCTAGAGATAAACAGCCCTGGTTGCCAGGGTTTGAATAGGTCAGAAGAGCACAATGATGACTTCACAGGGATGCTTGAGGTTACCATGGAAATGCTGTCGGCTCCCCCTCCCCAAGTCATCTTCACACATCTTCATGTGGGCGGCAGGCATTTGCTTCCACTGTGGAGTTGACTCCATCTCCCAATAGGCCTCTTCTGGAAATTCCCTCCCCATGTTAGATCTGGCAGAGCCACTGGGAGACAGAGCAGCAGAGGGGAGCTGAGTGACACTAGGTGAGAAGCTGTGCGGCCAGATGACTTGAGCCTGGTGAGCTCCCTGCCTCACCCATCCCTGGGCCCAGAGGGAGAGACACAGAGTGGTTACCGGTGAACACTGTTTACTGGGCCAACCTGAGCGCATTCCGAGCCCAGGCTGCAGTCAAAGACGACACTAAACAGTCTTCCTTTGCTTTTCAGGTTGCTATGACAGCCAGGAATTTGCGAACCAAACCAGACCTGGAGAAGAAGTCTCTCCTTGGCCCAAAGAGTTTGCAGTTCCAAGTGGTTCTGCTCATGGTTCCTGTTGTCTTCTTTGACACCTGCCAGATGGAAGAACCTCTAAACCTGGGATTTGGAAATGTCCCAACAGAAAGGCTATTTCCAAGCTGGCTGAAGCTTGGAAATAAATTCGACGGAATTTAGGTGTGATAGAAGGAACTTCTTGGCAAGAAAAGCTGGAAAATATTACAATAGGTCCCAGAGAGAACCTCATTATCTTCTCGAAAAAATTTCTATATTTGTTTAGTGTTCTGTGGTTTGCTAAGCACATTCACATAAATTATCTAATTGGATCTTCACATCCGCCTGGTGAAGGAGTAAAAATAGGTTTCATAATATTTGACCAAAGACAAGGAAAATGAAGTTCAATAAGAACAAGATCAAACAGCCAACAGGCAACAGAACTGAGATTTGAAACTGGGTTTTCTGACTGTAAATCTAGCTCTTTTAATTCTATTATGATAATCCCCCAAAATATAAAAGAGATCACATCTGAGCTGGACAGTTTAGAAACAGTTTTTTTTCTAAAATAAAGTGATGTTGTAGATAATTTTTTGTGGTAAAATACACATGATGTAAAATTTACCACTTTAATCATTTCTTTAATAATTTTTTTCGAGATGGAGTCACACTCTGTCGCCCAGGCTGGAGTGCAGTGACGCAATCTCAGCTCACTGCAACATCTGCCTCCCAGGTTCAAGCAATTCTCTGCCTCAGCCTCCCCAGTAGCTGGAAATCCAGGCACACACTACATCCTGCTAATTTCTGTGTTTTTAGTAAGACGGGTTTCACCATGTTGGCCAGGCTGGTCTCCAACTCCTGACCTCATAATCTGCCCGCCTCGACCTCCCAAAGCGCTGGGATTACAGGTGTGAGCCACCTTCCCCAGCCACAGTTTAATCATTTTTAAATGTATAGTTGACAGGCATGAAGTACATTCATTACTGTGCAACTGTCACCGCCATCTCTCTAGAACTTCTTCATCTTCTCAAACTGAAATGCTGTACTCTTTCAATAATAACTCCCCAAGCCCCTCCACTCAGCCCCTGGAAACCATCATTCTACTCTATGAATTTGACTACTCTGGGTAACTCATATAAGTGGAATTATACAGTATTTGTCCTTTTGTGACTGGGTAATGTCACTTAGTATAACGTCTTCAAAGTTCAGCCATGCTGTAGCATATATCAGAATTTTCTTCCTTTTTAAGGCTGAGAATATCCAATTGTAAAGACATACCACATGTTGGCTATTCATTTATCAGTATACGGTCACTTGGATTGCCTCCACCTTTTGGCTATTGCGAATAGTGCTGCAATATACACGGATGTACACATGTTTCTTTGGGACCCTGATTTCAATTCTTTTGGGTATATACCAAAATATAGAATTGTTGACTCATACAGTAATTCTATTTTTAATATTTTAAGGAATGCAGGCCGGGCACGGTGGCTCACGCCTGTAATCCCAGCACTTTGGGAGGCCAAGGCAGGCGGATCACCTGAGGTCGGGAGTTCGAGACCAGCCTGACCAACATGGAGAAACCCCCGTCTGTACTAAAAATACAAAATTAGCCGGGCGTGGTGGCATATGCCTATAATCCCAGCTACTAGGGAGGCTGAGGCACGAGAATCGCTGGAACCTGGGAGGCAGAGGTTGCGGTGAGCTGAGATCGTGCCATTGCACTCCAGCCTGGGCAACAAGAGTGAAACTCCATCTCAAAAAAAAAATATTTTAAGGAATCCCTGTACTACTGTTTTTCACAGTGCCTACACATTCTACATTTCCACCAAAGGTACACAAAGGTCCTAGATTTTCCACAGCCTTGCTAACATTTGTTACTCTCTCTCTCTCTCTATATATAGATATATATATATACAATCCTGGTGGGTATATAAATGAATGTTTTTTAAACATGAGGTTATCCAAGTTGGTTCATTCAGATCAGTTAGAAAATAGTCCTAGTGGGCCGGGCATGGTGGCTCACACCTGTAATCCCAGTATTTTGGGAGGCCAAGGCCGGTGGATTACTGAAGTCAGGAGTTCAAGACCAGCCTAACCAATATGGTAAACCCCGTCTTTACTAAAAATAAAAAAAAAATTATCCAGGTGTGGTGGCGTGCACCTGTAGTACCAGCTACTTTGGAGGCTGAGACAGGAGAATTGCTTGAACCCAGGAGGCGGAGGTTGCAGTGTGCCAAAATCGTGCCACTGCACTCCAGCCTGGGTGACAGAGTGAGACTCTGTCTCGAAAAAAAAAAAAAAAGAAAAGAAAAAAAATAAAGAAAGAAAAAGAAACTAGTCCTAGTGAAACCAGGTTAGCTTCTACTCTACATGCCAGCCCCAACCCCAGCCACAAATCTCACCGAAGCATTCCACTGGTCTTCCAGGGAAAGCACTCAGATAACTTAAGCATATCCATGACTTGCTTTTAGGGATAATGAACTCAAAGTACATGTCCTATTCATAGGAATTTCATGTCTTCAATATGAGCAAGAATTCATCATACAGATTCATGTTACATAAAGGCGTCTCCCACCACATCTGGAGGGTAGGTGTGCAAGTCTACGTGGGTGAAGATGAGGGAGTGTTCCAAGAAGGATTACATGGCTGAGAGGATCGGCAGGTTCTCTTCTCAAACAATTCTGGAACTTTGAGAAGTTCCTTTGTGTCTATGAGGTGGCTTCTTTATCCATCTCTGCTCACTTCAGAGGCATGAGCTAGACTGTATCTTTAAAGGGCTTCAGAAGATGGTGCTCTGTCATTAAGAGGCGGGATGATATCTGATCATCACCAGAGCTATTACATCACCTGGCAAGAATCATCAGATTCCCCATAATGTGGTTTGGAAGAGTGAAGGAGCTCAGGGCATCTGAGATTGGGACTGGGAATCATGTCCGAATCTCTCAGCCTTGGGTATTCAAGTCGTATCAACCTCGAATGCCCCCTCCTCCATGAAGCAGTCCCTGATCGCTACATAGGAAGAAATAGTCACCCTTGAAATTCAATAGCTCTTCACCTGTGCCTTTATCAGGGCAATGGCTGTGTTTTGTCTTAGATTTATGGTTATTTAAGAGTGCATTATATATCCTAAGAAAATTATCCTTTACGGACTAAACCCAGTTCTGGTTTGCACAAAGTATAAAGCAAATATTTCCCCAAAGCTCCCTAGCTGACTTCTCCTATCCATTGATAAGACTCGTTGGCTAGAATCCTGTCACATGTCCTTCCCTGGGAGCAAAGGAGGCCTGGAAAGCAGATGTTTGACCTTTTAGCTTCTATGGTGGAGGTAGGCAAGAGAGGGTATTAGGAACAGGGCTGAGTGAGCCAGTGAACAGTGTCTTTCGGATCTGTCTTTGTGCTGGGCTCATCCTCCAGGAAGTCAGGGGAGAGGCCCCACCACGAGTCTTGGGCCCAGCTCCTGTTCCCTCTGTGTCTGCTGTGTCTGTCATGGGGCTCCACACCAGTTTGAAATGGATTGATTCTCTACAACACGGGGTACAGAGAAGCATGTCCGACTCAAGTCAGGTCCTGCCAGTTCCTGCAATCTACACTCCTTTATCATGCTTACCTCACATTCATAAAGAACCTTAGTTGACAAAGCACTAGCTTACCTATTTTCTCCAGATACATAACTGAGACACAGAGAGGTTCATCATTTATTCAAGCTGACTCAGTAGGTGACAGTAAGGGAGAGGTTCCATCCTGGTCTCCTGATGTCGAACCTCATGCTCTATCCAGCATCCTCCACTGCCTCTTGGACACTGGTTTCAGGCCATGGCTGGCATATCCCCCACTCCACTTCCTGGGACAGTGTCATCCGGAAAGGTGCACATCAATGCAAGAGGCTGCAAGACTGTTCTGAGTGTATGTCACGCATCTGTGTGTGTGCCTGTGGTAGGTGGGAAGACGGGGGATGCTTCTCCTCCCCTCCCATCTCCTCAGCCTGGCCATGGCTGCCATCAGTCTTTTCACTGAGCAGCTGCAAGCAGCTGCTGACAGCTCCCAGCATCTCAGCCACAAAATAAATGAGTTCCCCGCAGGCAGGACACCAGTGGCATAATGAGGCCTCGCATAGATTCTTCTTAGTTTTATTTTATGGCTTTTACTGAGTCTCATCCAATACTAAAACAACAACAACAACAATAAAAACCAGCTCTTCCCTGGGCCCTGTCCCACCTGTTTCTGCCAGCGGACACCATGAGTTTTTTTATTCTCATTCCTGACCTTTTAGGAAGAGGCAGGGTCACTCTGTGTGGTAATCTTCCACACTCTAGAAGGAGAATGGAGCTGGTCGCTAGGCAACCTGGTTTCCAGCTTGACTCTGTCTCTAACTTGAGTTTGACCCAGAGATAGCACATCTCCTGGCTGGGATTCAGTCTACAAAGTGAGGAAGTTACACCAAAAGGAACTCTAAGGTCCTGCCCAGCTTGATAGTGGACACAGCAGCTGCACAGAGGTGGAACAAATGCAGGCTTACAGGCTGGAGACACATTTTTGAGGCTGAATGAATGAAAAGTACATGAGTGCTTATGCTAGCCGAGGACAGCTAGCTGCCCTTGTCCAGCTGGGAGGAAGATAGGAAGATTCCTGTCTGTGGTTTGGTGGTCTGTGTTTTCTACCACGTGCTTACATGTCAACAAAGGGAAACATGCTGCTGGGTTTTCAGAAAAATCACAAGGTGTCTGGCTAGAGAATGAAGCCAGGCATACATCTGGTCACCAGCCTGATGGCTTCTTCCTTCGGGGAGAGGTTGCTCAGGATCACAGCAGGTCAGCACAAGACAGTGGCAAGAGCGCTGAACGAAGAGTCAGGCTGGGGTTCTTATACCTTTTGTGCTACCAACTAGCTAGGTGGCCCTAGACACGTTGCCATTCCTCTCTGCACTTGTGTCCTTTTCTGTAAAATATGGAGGTTAGATCGGATGTCTCTGATATCCCCTTCAATCTAACAATCTGAAATGTATTTCCTGTTCTTATTCCTGTCTCATTTGGCTCCCTTATGAAGACAGCTTGTCTAGTGGGTAATTCTGAGCATCATTAGCCAAACAAAAGCCTGCTTTTGATCTCAACCCAGAGTTGGGGACTGATGTGAAGGAGGAGAGAGCATGAAAACACTTTTTACTACTCCTTTTGCTGTGTGTTTCTAAGGAAGTCACTAGACCTCAATTCCCCACCTAAAGGAAGGAGATGCTATCGTCCCCTTTCTCTGAGAGGGGAAAGGACCCCTGAAGATCCAGTTACAATGTATCCTGGAGTCACGGCATATTTTGTTGCATTAATTAAGGGGGAAGAGAGAAGGGCATCACTTGCTGAGCAGCAATGTGCCTGCCCCCCTATACTAGGTGCTTTCCTTCTTTCCTTTTTTTTTTTTTTTTGAGATGGAGTCTCGCTCTGTCGCCCAGGCTGGAGTGCAGTGGTGCGATCTCGGCTCACTGCAACCTCCGCCTCCCGGGTTCAAGCGAGTCTCCTGCCTCGGCCTCCTGAGTAGCTGAGATTACAGGCGCATGCCCACACGCTTGGCTAATTTTTTGTATTTCTAGTAGAGATGGGGTTTCACCGTGTTCGCCAGGATGGTCTCAATCTCCTGACCTTGTGATCCACCCGTCTTGGCCTCCTAAAGTGCTGAGATTACTAGGTGTTTTCTTTATATAGTCTCCTGTTATCTTCTCAACGACCATATGAGAAATCTTACAGATGAAATAACGTAGGCTGAGGTTAAGAAATACACCCAAGTTAGGCACAGTCAGGAGAGTGGCCAGAATTCAAAATCAGCCTGTCTTCCTCCAGAACCACCTCTGCCGGTGTAACTTTAGCAGGAATTAAAAGTAGCATGTGGGAGAACCTGGAAAAGCCCAGACCTAGCTGATGCCAGGCATGAAGCTGGTACACACAGCAGCGTCCTACTGTAAAGCCTTAGGCTCGGCAGCAGCTACAGACACCTTCTCTGCTTTTTGTCTTGACTCTTTACTCTCCCACTGGCCTCCTGGAAGGCCTGCTGGGCTGGAGGGATGGGTCTTTGCATCCTGAGTGCTGGTGGGAAGATAGAGGCTGAGATCTTTTCTTCACCATCAAATGTCCTACAGGAAACATCAACCCCACAAAGTCCCTGCCGCCTCCGCTGACCACATAGATCAGTGCTTGGGACTGTCACTGTACAACGTGTGCCTTACCCTCTATTAGCACACAGGGTTCTCAGCCACAGTCTTAAAAAAAGTTGTCCAGTCAAGACCCTGAAAGCCAGCTGGGGCCTCTTACTGTCCAGCCATAGGAGAAATAACACACTGAATAGCCAAGCCAAGAAGCGTCCTTGCAGGACAGGAAAGAATATATAAAGATAACCTTGTTTTAATAGAAAAAAGGAAATGAGACAGAAATTGGCTCTTTTACTGCAGGGAATGGAATCCTATGAACTCAACTTTAGTTTTAGTTGGAACAAATATTTACTGAGCCTCCTATGTGCGAGACACTGCAGCAGGCGCCTCCATCATATTATAATTCCATTTCTTCCTCCCACCAGTATTGGGCTCAGAAGAAAGAAAGGCTCAGTGAAGTCAAGGGACCTATTCAGAACTACTGGAAACCCAGACTTTCTGCCTTTTCACCCGGAACTCTTTCCATCATTCCACAGCTGCCTTCTCCTAAGTGTCCTCATGAGCTTGTATCATCATCTGTAAGGATGGGTCTGGACCTCAAAAGGTGGATTCTGGACCTCAAAAAGATTAAAAGACATGGACCACAGCCAGGCTCAGTGGCTCATGCCTGTAATCCTAGCACTTTGGGAGACCGAGACAGGCGGATTGCCTGAGCTCAGGAGTTCAAGACCAGCCTGGGCAACATGGTGAAACCCCGTCTCTACTAAAATACAAAAAAATCAGCCGGGCATGGTGGCAGGCACCTGTAATCCCAGCTACTCAAGCAGCTGAGGCACAAGAATTGCTTGAACCCAGCAAGCAGAGGTTGCAGTGAGCCGAGATTGTGCCACTGCACTCCAGCCTAGGCAACAAAGCAAAACTCTGTCTCAAAAAAAAAAAAAAAAAGATACGGTCCATGGTTCCCAGGTATGAGATGAGAGAAGAGCACAGGTCTCCATCTCCCCCTCAGTTCACAGCACTTTTCTCCCAGGATGTCTTTTTGGCATCTCCTACGCTAGGTGTAAGGTCCTGCTGTGATCTCCATAGCACTCTGCTCTTCTCTGAGCAGAGCATATCTCACTCCATGTTGTAATTGCTTATTGGTTGTTCATTTCCCTTAACTCACCAGAAGCTTCTGCAGGACAAGGACAACTTTTCCTTTGTTCACCATTGATTTTCCAGTGTTTGGCATATAGTAGGTGTTTAACAAAGATTTGCTGTATTATTGATTGAAAGAAAGAATAGAAAGATGGATGGAGGGATGGATGGATGGATGATGATTTATCAGCTCTTCAGTTACTATGTCTCCACGTAATTGGGTAACTTATCCTTCCATTCCTGACAAGTTAACTTACCCAACTTCCCTAGTTTGTCAGCAGTACTATTCAAAAGACAGTGAGGTGTAAAAGCTTTGAATCTCCTGACTTTATATCCTGCTTCAATCATTTACTAACCATGGGATGATATGCAATTTATTTAATCTTGCTAAACCTTAACCTTAGTTTCTTCATTGTGGTATGATATTGTGATACCTGTTAATCATGCTTATAATCTCTGGAATATACCAGGAGGTAGATAAATGGTCGGTATCAATCTTGGCATATGTAACAATGTATTCAGTCATTTATACTCAGATTCGGTGCCTCTTTTCTCTTCCACTCTTTTCACCCACATTGATTGTTATGTACTTAACCCTGTCAAATCTTTCTTCCCAATGTCTTCTACACTGTTTCACTACCCTCATCTTATCTGCCTATTTAATACAATAGGTCCTAAACAGTCCCTGTCCTTCAGGTTTCTTCTCCAGTGCGTCATACACTCCCGTTGATAGCTCTAGAATTCCTGTAAAGGAGAGGTTTAGGGTGGTACTCTTTGGCTCCCCAGAAATTGGGAAGGACAAGGGAAGTGTCTTGAATCTGCATATGTATATCACTCTACAAAATATTGAGACAAAGGTAGCTTGACAGATATGAAAGGGTCGCAAAAGTTCTCCACCCTGGCCAACTGTTGTAGTCACCTCTGGGCAGAAGCTGCCAATTTCCACTTCCTAAAATAAGGCTCTCATCAAGGTGATTTTTCTTAAATTTGTTTCAAAGAGCCTGGAAGAACACTGCAGAACGAGTTCTAGAATCCTTTTCCTCACATTTGGAACTTGTCACAGTTTTGCCCCCCAGGGCATTTTGCTTCAACAACAATTTTTATTTCAAGCATTTCATTTCATTCAAGGCCCCTCAATATGCCAAAGCTATTCCTAACTCCATGTCTTTGTCCAGGAATGCCCCCACTCATGGCTCTCCCCAGCTCATCTCTTCTAATGACATTCTGTTCATCCCCCAAGGGCTGGTTCCATCATTGCTCTCCTCCGCAATTACCCCAGCCTAAGGTGCTCTTTCCTTTCTTGGAATTCCCACTGTTTTTTATTGTCAGGATAATTTACTGTGGCATTTAACTATCTAACTTTCTTGTATTGTTGTTGAAACATTTCCCATGTTGGTGTTTTTTCTCCCTCTGAACTGAGAGGTCCGTCCATTCAGGGTAAGGACTATCTCGTAATCTTGGGATCCTCCGAGGCACCCAGCCCAGAGTGGGGCCCAGCACTGGTAGGGATGGGATGTGAGTTACAAACCATCGCAGAAGCACTCTCTCTCTGCTCTTCCTGCCCAGAGACCCATGCCAATAGAAAAGAGGTTTCAGATTTAGAGACAGACACCTTCAGGGACCCAAAGATCCTCTTCCAAAAAATATGTGCCATATTGGCTACAAGACTTGGGGCTGGGAAAATTGAGTGCTTGTGACCCAATCTCAGTCTAATCATTTCCTGTGCTGGTGACTAATGACCTAGAGCCAAAGGCGCCTGTTACCTTCGGCTTGAGCAACTGGGTTTAAACACATATCTGCCTACACCCACACACATCTGTCTTCATGCGCACACCAGCCCTCAAGCAATAAACAGCACTGGCATTACTAAGTTCTTGAGAAAGGCCACCAGCAGCGGTGGGGTGGAGGTGAGGCTTTAAAACTTGTGCAAAAACCCCACCTCTAGAGAGAAATAAAAAGGGGGAATCTGGGTGAAGAATTTTTGTACTATTTTCAACTTTTTTGTAAGCCCAAAATGTCAATTTTTTTTTTAATTATAAAGCAGAAACAACAAAAGAGTTACCTTCTGTATGTAGTTTTTCTGCCACCTTCTCCAGCCTTTAAGAATTACTGTTTTTGGCTGGGGATGGTGGCTCATGCCCGTAATCCCAGCATTTTGGGAGTTCGAGTCAGGTGAACTGCTTGAGCCCAGGAGTTTGAGACCAGCCTGGGCAATACAGCGAAACCCAATCTCTACCAAAAATACAAATATTAGCCGGGCATGATGGTGTGAGCCTGTAGTCTCAGCTACTTGGAAGGATGAGGTGGGAGGATCACTTGCACCCAGGAGGCAGAGGTTGCAGTGAACCTGGGTGACAGAGTGAGGCTCTGTCTCAAAAAAAAAAAAAGAAAAGAAAAAAGACGGTTTTTTCAACATATTCATTTACAAATTATAGTTGTGAATGTATCTATTTCCCCTATTAGACAATTAGTATGAAATGGAAAATAAAGTTACTTCGGAGTCAAAGAGACCTTTTAAACACTTCTCAATATAAAAAATAATATTTTTAAATATTAGAATATTAATATTGGAATAGAAGCATTTTAATTCTATTGTGATCTGGGGCAAGATATTTAGGCCTCTCTAAGTTATAGTTTCCTTGTCTTCCTATTCATGCTAAGGGATGGTGATTTTTTTTTCAGTGACTATCCCTTAGCAGTATAATAAGAATGATATAAAAAGGTCAATAATATGACCCAATAAAAACCACGTAATAATATAATATGATTCTGGGTCCATACTTGGTGTTCATGACATACTCCTCCCAGGTTTTTTTAAATGTCAACTTCCAAGTTCTACTCACTTTGTGTCCTCACACCTAAAAAAGCACCTGGCATAGTGTGGATGCTAACACATCGGTATCGAAGGGGTGAGGGAGTGAGTGGAGAAATGCTGCAATTCTAAAGCAATGCTCCAGCTGATCCGCGAGCCCTAGGAACAGCCCCAGCTTTTGCAAGTCCTCTGAGTGACCTTGTGAAACTTCCATAACCTCTCCAGGCCTTTGCTTTCCTAGTCTGCGAAATGGGACGGGTTTTCATTACACATTTGCATTTCATTGCAAATGTGTGACTCGGCAGCCCACCGGCCCCGGCGGGGTTCATCTTTCTTCTCAAGAGCGCTGGCCCCGGCTTCCAACCTGGGCTCTGGCGAGGCCGAAGGTGAGCGATTGCGTCATCATGCCTCTGGGCAGCTGAGGGAGAAGCCCTCCAGGGACATTCAGAGACTGGGACCAGAGTTTCTGAGAGGCCCTGGGCACAAGGTCAGGGCAGGAGGTCCAGGCAGCTGAGGTCTGAGCGCCACCCTCACTGCCCTTTCTTAGTCTCGCTGCCTCCCGCTGCCGCTGAGCAGCAGGGTAGTGAAGGGCAGACTCCCAGGGGCCGACCCTGGGGCGGGGCTGCTCGGCTCCGCGGAACCCACCGTCCGCCCCCGTCCGGCCGCCAGCCTCCTGCCCTCCGCGAGCCTCCTGGGCCGGGTTCCCGGAGCCCGGGCGCGCAGGCCCTGGCACCAGGGGGATTCTGCTCCCTCTGCCTTATGTTCTTTCTGAAAGGGGGTGGTGCACATTTTGGCCAGGGCCACGTGCAGAGCACTTTGCTGCAAAGCATCTCGATAGACCTCTTTCCACGGGGCTGTGGGTCCCCTTCCCCTGGGTGCTGGCTGGCTTAGCTCTGCTCGGGACCTGAGGGAGCGCTGCTGCAAATACCGACAGTAGAAAGCGAGCGAACGCGAAAGGCCCCAGGAAAGCCAGGCCAAGGGGGGTAGCCGGGTGCCAAAGCAGGCAGTCGGTGGGGAGAGCCCTGGTCGGCCGGCCGCTGGCTGCCTTCGCACCCACTTCCGCGCCCCGCCGTCGGCCTGGTCAGTCTGGTGGCTTTACACTAACAGAACCAGACGGGGAGGGAGAGGAGAGGCGAGAAGAGCGCAGAGGACAGAGGGGAGAGGGCATGAGGAGACGAGGAGGGAGAGGCAAGAATGCGAACAAGGAGACCTAGAGAGGAAGAGATGGAAGAGAGAAACGCCAGATTTGTGAGAGACGTGGAAGCAGAGAGAAACGAGAGTAAAAAAGAAGCGAGAGAGAAGTGGAGAGAAGGACCAAGTGAGAGCAGAGCTCTAGGAACGGACAAGGCCTCGTCCATGGGCTCTCAGCCGAGGTGTCACCAATGCCTCCTGCAAAGAATCAATCCTACGCCCGGCGCCTCTCAACCCACCCGCCTCTGCACGGCCCCAGGTCTCCCCCGGCCCTCCCTGCCCGGCCAGCTCACGCTTCTCCCCGACCGGCCCCCACCGCAAACCCCAAACGCCGCGCGGGAGGGAGGGAGGGAAGGAGGGAACAGCGAGAGAGAGAGGGAGGGGCTGCGGTAGGAGGCAACCATGTGGTTCCAGCTGAATTTTTTTTTTCCCTCTCTCTTTCTTCACTCCTTTTTCTTTCCAAACAGGGAAAAGTGTTCCACGAAGCGGTAGCGCCTTTTCGCCTCGCGTTTTCCTCCCTGACCCTGGTCCCGGCTCCCGTCCGGGCGCCAGCTGGTGGGGCGAGCGCCGGGAGCCCATCTGCCCCCAGGGGCACGGGGCGCGGGGCCGGCTCCCGCCCGGCACATGGCTGCAGCCACCTCGCGCGCACCCCGAGGCGCCGCGCCCAGCTCGCCCGAGGTCCGTCGGAGGCGCCCGGCCGCCCCGGAGCCAAGCAGCAGCTGAGCGGGGAAGCGCCCGCGTCCGGGGATCGGGATGTCCCTCCTCCTTCTCCTCTTGCTAGGTGAGTGCCTCTGGGAGGGCGGGAGTTTGGATGGCCGTGGGCAAACGCAGCCCTGCGTCCGGGAAAGACGCCGGTTCTGACCGGGTGTCCCTGCAGCCCCTGGAGTCAGCCGGCTTTTCAGTCCCTGCCTCCTGGCCACGGAGGAGCACATCTGGCAACCGAGGGCCGCCCAGTCGGCCATCGAGATTGTCTCGCACATCTGGGCCCTTGAACAGGCTTGGGGAACCGTTTGATGTGCAGGGTCCTCTTTAGGGCGGTGTTTAGTTTCTGGTGTATCTGGGAAAAGTGGAGAATTGGTGGAGGGAAGGTTTATCCAGGAATTTTTGTGCCAGGTTCCTGAGGGTGGGGGTTTTTTGTTGTTGTTTCAAACAGGCGCCTCCGAGGCTCAGATTAGAAACAGATGTGTTAAAGGGTGAGCAGAGTGGGGGATAGGCAGGGTTGGAGAGGAAAGGGGAGAGGGAAAAAGGGCAGGGCCCAAGGAGCACCAGGAAGATGCAAATGCCCCAAGTCACACAGGGAAGGAAGGAAAAGGGGAAAGGGGAAGGGTTGGGAAGGAGAGAGAAAAAGAGGAGAACAGGAATGTAAAACAGAAGAGCAAGGCTGGGGGAGTCCGAGCACAGAGAGTGAAGAAGACTTGGAAAAAACGCAGCAGAGGAACCAGAACAGAGGGAAATAGAGCAAGCACCACTTTTTCCTGAAACAGGCTCCAGAGCAAAGGGAAGAGTCCTCCTGAGCGTCCCTTCCTGGGGTCCCCCAGGCAGGACTCTTGGGGCCTCAGAGGCCCTGAGGCAGAGGCAGGTTTGCAGGAGAGGACATCAGGGATGTGGGTGGTAGGAGCCCACCGGAGTGACTGGAAATGTCTGAGGAGCCAGGGCAGGAAAGGCAGTCAGGGAGAGCCAAGGGCACGTCACTATGCACCCTGAAGCATGGGATCCACTGCAGACAGGCCCCACAGTTAGCTGGAGATCAGAAAATCAAAGAGCCAGCCAGTGGTCAAGAGTGAGCACTACCCTGAACACCAGGCCACGGGAGAGCTGGTCCTGGTTTTGAACTGACTAGCTGGGTGGCCTCAGACAACTTACTCCTTATCCAGGGCTTCCACGTCTTTAGCTCTGGAAAGAGAATACTAGATGGTTCCTAAGTCCCTTCTAGCCTACAACACCAGAGGTTTGAAGGAGGCTGGTGTCTAGAAGAACCACCAAATCCTGAAATACGTGGTTAGAGTTCTCTGTCTTTTTTGAAACTTTACAAACCAATTATACTGTATGCATACCCATCTTGGCCAGCCTCAGGCTGATAATCACTTAAGTTAGAGAAATGAAAGAGGTGGGCTAAGCCAAACTATTGCTCAAGTAAGGCAGGTGGGGAGGGGTTATTTTCTAAACTCTTTTAGACTTAACCAAATACTGCAATACTGTTCCTGTGCACATCTGGCGCAGCTGGATGGCACCTTGATTCCCTTTACTGGACTCTACCACTAGGTTACCAATCACCAGATATTTAGTAGAATGAAACTTCAGGGCTCTCTTATTAAAAACAGCTAATAGTCCTTGTTATATGAACACTTTATATGTACTATCTTGGTAATTCGTTTGTTCTTCACAACAAGCCTATTGGCTGCCCAGCCATCCTTGTTGGCTACCCTCATTTTACAGATGAAGAAACCAAGCTGTAAAAAGGCCAGGTAACTTGCTCAAGGCCACACACTCATAATTAGGGGAGACGGAATTTGAGCGCAGGCTGCCTGCTTCCAGAGAAAGCTTGCTAAAGCGCATTGCTTTACAGCCTCCTGTGGCTGCAGAGATTCTCAAAGCGCTTACCCTCTGCCACACCTGGCTGGCTCTTCGATCTCACCATCCTCTTCATGGAATGTAAGATGTCAGCGTGACCTATAGGAGAGAGGTCTGGGAAAGGGAAAAAAAATTTGCACTTTTTGAGCACCTGTCCTTATTTAAGAAATGGTTTGGAGCCATGGAATGCTCGGACACTGTTCAGCAAAGGCAGAAAGAAAACACAGCAAGTTGTCTGAATCCTGAAATCATCATACTGGTCCTTTAAAGGGGCAGTTCCAGGGCTGCTTCTGATCCTGGCTGGCATGGTTTTTGGCTTCTCTTTTTCTAAAGATTGCACAGTATCAAACAGGGGCTGGGAGGGTGGAGAGTGTTCATCGTCTGAACTGTGGGACAGTTGACTCCATGTTTCCTGGACCTGCCAATGAGTGAGGTCAAATAACCCACCTCTCTGATGTGAATGAATAAGAAGTGCTCTGAGCCCCATGGAGAAGAGAGAAGGAGCTCCAGCTCAGCCCCTCTTCTGACCCACTATCCTGCCTCACTCCCGTAACGTTCCGGCCCTCATTGTGCCACCTTAACTTCTCTCCTGGATGACTATAGTAGCTGCCACGTTCCTGTCCTGCCTGTCCTCTCTCCTCCATCCTGCACACTGCTACCCGAGTAACCCTGTGAGGCCGCTGGTAGAATGCACGAAGCTGGAACTTAAGAGTCTGGCAACCTCTCTGGTTCTTATTCTGACTCCCTTGTCTGTACAATGGGCATAGGGGTAGGGGAATGTTCAATTCAAAATTTCTATAATTCTATGGTTTTTCTCCCTTCTTCCAAAAACCTTTAGTAGTCTCATTGCTTTTAGTGTTGAGTATAAACACTTCATTCTGACATCAAAGACTTTACATAATGTCATTCACAGCTCTTCCTCTACTCACCCCCAGATACTCGGTAGGGAACCTGAATTACTTCATGCGCCCAAAACATGTCCCATGCTTCTTTCTAATTCTATGCTTTTGTTTATGATAATCCCCCCACCAAAACTGCCTCCTTATTTCCTGCCACTGCAGATCAAAATCATGTTCATTCCCCAAGTCTCACCTCAAATGCCACTTCCTCCATACACCTGTCCATGGTTTCACCAGCTGAATATACTTTTTTTCTTTTGAGTAGTCTATTTGACCTTTGAATCCCAATAGCCTTCCTCTTATGCTACTTTGTATTATGGTGTTCCAAATGCTTATCTAACACCCCATTAGAATGGAAGCTCCATGAAGGCAGGGACAGTGTCTCATTCACCTGTGAACCATGTTCAGTACCTTGCATAAACACTTGTGAACTATTTGTTAAGAGATAATTGGATTTTTGAAGTATTTGAAATCTTTAAGGTCAAGAGAGGTGAAAAATTTGGAAGATCACTAACCTTTGACTGCGGGATAACCCAATAGTGAGGAGCCCAGTTTTAATTCAGCTTGCTTTGAGCTTCCTTGTCTATTAATGCAAATAGGACCAGTCCTATTTTTAAAAAATTCACAAAGAACATTACAGGGATAGGGACCAGATAATATATTTGTCATACAAATTTATTTTGTATATCGTGTGTGCTAGTACCAGATTAAAAATAGACTTACCTGTTGAAACTTCTGCCAGCACGGGGAAGGAGCCTGGTTTCGCAGAAAGTGAGTTTGAAGAAGGCATGAATGCATAGTCCATTGGTCTGTAAGATAACGACAGGTCTCAGTAGGATTCCATGTCCTACCCTTATCTTCCCACTTTAATGGTGATGGTCATAATAACGATATATTCCCTGTAGGCTTATATCTAGTCATATCCTATTTTTGTCTTGTGCTTATCTGGGCAGGGTACACATGAGTATTATTTCATGAATGCATCTAGTGATGATGGATATTTTTTAAAGGTAGAGTCAAAGATTGCCAGAACTGGAGGAAAACTAAGAGACTGTTTAAATCAATCGTTCTTAAAATTTTGAGTCCCAGACCCTTTGTAGAATCTGATGAAAATCACAAAACCAACTTCTTAGAAAAAGACATGTATACATCAAATTTGCCAATAATATTTAAGACCTCATTGAGACCTCCTGATACTTTTCCTTGGAACCCAAGTTAATCTTTCATCTAAATCTATGCCTTCTTTTAAGATGAAGAAGAAACCAAAGTTCAGAGAGGTTTGGCTAAGGTTATACAGCTAGCTCAGTAGAAGGGCCAAGACTGGAACCCGAATTCCATGATCCTATTACACATTTTTGAAATAGAAAAATGTCTCTCCTTCCTTTTCAGCTCATGTACTTAAGCTTCAAGATCACAGCTGCTCTTGTGATGCTTCAGTTAAGTGAGCTAAATGCTGAATAATTGGCATTGGTTTTTATTATATGAGAAATTGCCTGAAAAATCAGGCAGGCGTCATAACATTTCAATTTTGCCAACGTAACTGGAAGTCCTAGGAACTCTGCAGTGTCATGTATGTCTGGTGTATTCAGGAGAAAGGAATTAATACTCAAAGTCCCAAAGATGTGGGTGTATGTGTACAAGGAACAGGACTGGAAATCAATAGCTTTAGCTCCTTAATCATTTCTTCTGGGTGAGCCTAGGAAAATCATACCACTCTGAGCCTTAGTTTTCTCCTTTGTAAAATGAAAATATGAGATTAAGGTTATCTCTAAGTTTCCTTATACCAGTAACATTCTCTGAATTTTTTTTAATTCTGAGAATTTTCTGGCTGGTCCAGATGTGGTTGTCATCAGGAACAGATGGGTGTTACCCTGCTTATTGATTTTTTCAGGCACTGTTCACTCATGGCAATTGGTAGCACATGATGATAAACCAAGAAGGGTCAACGAACTAATTGGAAGAAAACAGTAGTAATCTCCATCCTGGAACTGCCCTGCGGCACTGTTAGCCATGGAGCACCATTCAGGTTCAGGGTGATGGCCCGATCCCCCCACCCAGGAAGTTCAGTAACTGAAATACTCACCAAAAGGACCTCATCTTAAGCAGGGTTACCTACAGAACAGCCTCAAGCATGGACACCTAGGATAGACTTCAGTGCAGAGGGGCTACGGTATAAAACTATTTGTAAGCAGGAGCTTTGTTTTTTTTTTTTTTTTTTTTTTGAGACAGAGTCTTGTTCTGTCACCTAGGCTAGAGTGCAGTGGCACAGTCTCCACTCACTGCAACCCCTGCCTTCCGAGTTCAAGCGATTCTCCTGCCTCAGCCTCCTGAGTAGCTGGGATTACAGGCACCCACCATCACGCCCAGCTAATTTTTTGTATTTTTAATAGAGATGGGGTTTCACCATGTTTGCCAGGCTGGTCTCAAACTCCTGACCCCAAGTGATCATCGGCCTCCCAATGGGCTGGGATTACAGGCATTAGCCACCGTGCCTGGCCATTTTCTTCTACTTTTAAAATTAAGGCAAAATGTGCATATAAAGCATACCTAGTAAATGTACAGCTTAATGGATTCCTTGCCTAGATTTGAACTTGTGGTTGGATTTTGAAATATGAGATGTATATATTACCAGCCCACTTGTAGTACTCTGACAGGGGATTATATGGGCAGGAATATTATGACAGTATAATTAATTTCTAACATTTGTACAAGGTTTAGTAGTTTACGAAGTATATTAACATACCTTATCTCACCTCAAATCACTCTTTGAGAGTAAGTATTATTATTACTCCATTTCACAGATACATAAATGGAGGCTCAGAGAAGTAAAGTGAGCTTCTTTCTCTAGAATACACTGCGAGTAAACAGCTGAGCTAGGACACCAACCCAGGACTTTGGATTCCAAAAACCATGTGTTTTCCACTTACCAGGAGACACATGGTTATTCTGAAATCAAGGCTCTGTGTTACTGAGAAGAGTGGATCAGGCTGAAGCAGAGGCTTCATCTTTAAACCCCAAAGTGGAAAGTTCTGCTAAACATTTATTACCCATCCCCTTCCCCCACTCCATTCCAATGGTTAAGAAATGTGTTTGGATGACTATTGTTTATAACTGAGAACTACTTCTACACACATCATGTATGGATTACTAGTGTTCCTTCTAATACGTCAGAAGACCCTTCTAGTGTCCAAGAGGTCAGATGCTTTGGGGTCAGATGCATGAGCTTCCCTTGCTGACACTATCCTGAGACTGTGGATGATGAGGTTTATGGATTGGGTATGACTCACCTCATATGTTGCTTTTTCTGCTTAAAGTCCTGTTTTCAGCACCTCTGACTTACTTGTTTCCTAAAGAAAAAATGCAAACCATAGCTTCCTCCCCTTCAAGTTCTGGTTATCTGGATGTCTGGATACTGGAAAAATAAAAGTTTATTTCCTTTGGCACCACACAGACCAAAATGGGGGAGAAAGCCGAGATGAAACCTTTATTTTGTTAGCAGCAGTCGGTTGGGTCACTGTGTGTGGAGCCTCAGCCAAAGCCTGGCGGTGAGAAGACTGAATGCTCCTTTGTTTCAACAGCAGGCAGGGGAGAAAGCTGTTTCCTTTGTGCCCATACTGAGAAGAGAAAATGGGCAACTATCTTCAGAATAGTCCCTCAGTGGGTGTGGAATATTGGGGGTTTTTGTAAAGAGCGGCAGCAAGGGGGATGTGGAAAGTTCAGGTCACGAACGGTGGCAGAGGAGAAGAAAGGAGAGGAGGAGGAGGAGGAAGAAGAGGAGGAAGAGGAGGAGGAAGAGGAGGAGGAAGAGGAGGAGGAAGGCACAGAGACTGTAGGGGATGAAAAAGCCAAGCTAAGCTGACCTCCTGGTGTTTACAGAGCAGCCTCTGAGCGCGTTCTATTTCACGGATGGCGGGAGCAGCTCAGTGATGTCCCTTTTAAGATCTTCTTTAGGGCTTACATCCAAGCTGTAACATTTCCTACTTCAGGCACACGCTGTCTCACACAAAACAATTACAGAGCGGGTGCGCCTGCTAGAGTTCGGGCCCCTAGCTGGGCTCTGAGACCCCGATCGTACAAAAGGCACCCTTTCTACCTTCTAAGAATTCAGCTCAGTGGGAGAGACGTATTCACGAACAAGGAATGTCAGATACATGAGGAGGCTATTTTGGAGGAAAGTACCAAGGATTCTAGCAGTCCCAAAGAGGAAGCTGCTTCATTATGTGCTGGCTGCTGTGTATTTCTTCTCATGCAGGTCTTCGGGGACTGTGTCTGATATTCCTGTGCCCCTCACAGCACTTGCTCATTATTGAGATCACGCTAAATAAGCAGTTGGTGGGTTGATGGATCACCCATCAGCGTCAGAAATGAGTAGAATTAATCAGTGCATCCTTGGCATTCAGCCAGGAGCTTCCTGGAGAGATTGAGACTCCCAATGTCCTTGCCTATTGAAGGTTATGGTCTCATTCTTCATCACAACCTGCCAGTGACACAGTTACCTCTAAGTCCTCATCTCTCATGGGATGTTTTCTAAAAAAAAGAAAGAAAAAAAATGTATCTGTGAATTTGGATCTCTTAATTAAGAATGGCCATCTACTCACCCCAGGTTTGTATCTTATTACTCCACAGGGAAAATGAATAGGATCAAGCCAAAGAGGAATTTTTCTGTTCCAGGAGAAATTCACTGTACTAAGCAGAGACTCAGCCCCAGTGTAGTCATACTTCTTTTCTTGGTAGGGGAGGAAAGAGGGAAAAATGAAATCCCTGAGAGAGAAATTGCTTTGTGACTTCATTGTTTAAATATAGGCTTGGGTTTGTGGGGATCGTTCAGACTTAGAGCAATAAGCCTTCTAACCCAACCTCTGTCACTTCTCATTACTTCCAATGACAGTTCCAATTATTTCCAATCACTCTTCAAGGGAACAGCAGGGAAGGCGCACACGGCTTCCATGTAGACCAGCCATGGAGCAACCGCTGTAAGAATTGGCCCCTGGGCTCCCCAGACCCTGCTGGAAGCCAGGCTTGTCTACTTGAAAATTGTGTGACCTTGGGCAAGTTACTTCACCTCCCCAACCTTAGGTTTCTCATCAGCCACTGCATCTAGTAACAATGTCATAGAGGTTTTTTTGTGAAAATTACATGAGGTGATGCGTAAGAGTTTTAACGCTCTGCTTGGTACGTAATAAATAGTAAATGAATGTCTGTTGTTATTATCATGAGTTTCCTTTCTGGGGGAGGGTCAGTTCATGGGTATCTGGAGGGTCTGCTTGAAGTCAGCGACCACCAGGCCATCAGCACCAGCATTTGGGGCTTTGGCCACTGTGGTTCCTCACCCTATAGGTGAGTCCCTAGTGTCCTTTAGGGAATATTGCCCTGCTCCAGGTCCACAACAGGCTCACAGATTCTGGCCAGGCTCTGGCTCATGCCTGTAATCCTAGCACTTTGGGAGGCCGAGGCGGGTGGATCACTGGAGGTCAGGAGTTCAAAACCAGCCTGGCCAACATGGCGAAACCCTGTCTCTACTAAAAATATAAAAATGAGCCTGGTGTGGTGACGCACGCCTGTAATCCCAGCTACTCGGGAGCTTGAGGCAGGAGAATCATTCAAACCTGGGAGGCGGAGATTGCAGCAGTGAGTTGAGATCACGCCACTGCATTCCAGCCTCTGGGTGACAGAGTGAGACACCATCTCAAAAAAAAAAAAAAGCTCACAAATTGTGCCCCAACTCTCCACAGCTACTCTGGGAGAGCAACTTTTTGTGTTATTTAGCCCTAGGCAAGAGGTGCCCTTCTACGCTGCTTGGCATATCACAGCTGTGAGTCTTCTTTTCCTGGGTTCTACCCTCTTGACTCATGCCCCCGAGTGCCTGTGCCAACTTAGGCTGCCCCAGCCTGGGCTTATAACTGGTTGGTTCGTTTCTGCTTTCAGTGTTAAGTAATGTTTAACTGAGCAAGTACTATGGACTAGGCATTGTGCTAGGGACTTCCAGACAAGTAATTTCTTATATTCTTAAACAACCTGTGAGATTGGTATTATTGTCCCTATATTACAGGATACAAAAGTGAGACATAAGAGGTAAGGTATTCCATCCTAGGCTGTACAGCTTGAATAGAGCAAAACAGCAGACGCGAGCAGAGTTTGCCCTCTTCAGCACTGATCTGGGAAGTAGGCATGACGAGGCAGCCAGGTCACATAGGTACAGTGACACACAGACAGACAGGAGGCCACTGAGAGGCCTGGCCTGTGGGAGCTGCAAGTTCCTCACCCCCAGTTTCCAGGCAGTCATTTGTCCTGATCAAAATTAAACTCCAATGAGCCCTACACCCAAATACAAGATGTGTTGAATTATGTTTGCTTTTTAAATAGGAGGAAAGGAAAACCTCAAGGTGAGAAGAAAAATCTGTTTGTTTTTTTCTTCCCACTGACCTGAACAGCAAAGTGCGATTTTTTCTCCTCATTAAAGAGGGCTAAACTGGTGTCCCAGATTCCTGCGAGCCTAGAATTCCCACTCAGAATGAAGTCCTGGGCCAGGCAGGCAGAGTCCGGGTTTTCAGCGGAGGCCTGGTACCCATCTGCCTTCCCCTGGGGGAGCTCTACCCGACTCCACTCCCACCAATAGGGAAGGGCAGCCGGCTCCCGCCTTGCCTCCGCTCCATCCCCAGGGAGGGGAGGCCGGAAACGAGGCCACCTCTCCGCAGCCTCCTTCTCTGCTCCACTGCCTCTCACACCCTGTTCCCGGAGTCCTGCAGCTTCCCAAGCCCTGAGGAATGCAGGTGACCGTCCCCACATGCTGCTGCCTCAGCCTGACCTTCCTCCTGCTCTCTCTCTCTCTCTCTCTCCCCTGGCGCCAAATTGGCCTGCCCTCAGATCTGGCACTTAACAAGACAGACAGACAGAGAACAAAGACCAGCGTGAACTCCGTCAAGCTCATCTTTCATGTATTGCCCCTTTTCCTCTCTCCCTCCCTCCCCAACTCTCCCAAATTCTCACTGCACAACCTCTGCGAGGCACCCACTCCTGAAAGCCTTTGCTCTCCTCAGCCTAAGCTAATAGTGGTGCTTTGTCCCCTGGTCCCCCACCCTGTTCTTGAAGACCTCCACGCTGTTACCTTCCATCCCCTGTGACCAGCCACCTCTTCACCACTTCTACCCTGACCAGCTCCCTCCCATCCGCCGCCTCATCTACAGAGGCTTTCCTGACTCTCCAGACACAGAGCTGTGCTCGCCCCTCTCAGCCCCGAGAGCACCTTGTCCACACCTTTAGAATAGTTTGTGGCATGTTATGGTACAGTTTGGGGTTCTCTGTCTTTCCTGGTGACTGTGAGCAGGGAACAGTGTCGTATTGTCAGGAATACCAAGCCCGGTGAGCGGCTGGCACATGTTAGATTCCTGCCAAATGAATGAATGAGGGAACAAACAAATGTATGAATGCATGTAAAATCCCGTTCCAGGAGAAGGTTGGCTGATTCACTTTTCACTTAGTAATTTTTAGGACATGTGGCCTCTCCTTTCAGCTTTAGTTTGAACTTTAGCCTTATTAGTGGTCAAAGCCCTCCCAGCAATGTTGACTGACTCCTTCTCTGGCCCTTTTAGGTCCTCTGCAGAGAATGGCAAGAGTCGTGTATGGGCTCTGAGCCAATTCAGGAGCTCCTTCCGTGGTGCATGGAGTTTAAGGCCCTCTTCCTCTCCTTTCCTCTTTTGCTTCCGCCTCGCCAGGTTCACCCTGTTCATCACTAACCTTGCCTGGGTATCACTGAGGCAGCATGAGCAGAAGAAACACAAGTCAGCTAATGAGCACAGAAAATTTTGGTGGGATTTTAAAAATATTATTTCGGCTGGGCACGGTGGCTCATGCTTGTAATTCCTGCATTTGGGAGGCCGAGGCGGCAGGATCCCCTGAGGTCAGGGAGTTCGAGACCAGCCTGGCCAACATGGTGAAACCCCATCTCTACTAAAAATACAAAAATTAGCCTGGCGTGGTGGCACGTGCCTGTAGTCCCAGCTACTCAGGAGGCTGAGGCAGAATAATCACTTGAACCCGGGAGGCAGAGGTTGCAGTGAGCTGAGATCACACCACTGCACTCCAGCCTGGGCGACAAAGCGAAATTAATCAAAAAAAGTAATAATTAATTAATTAAAATATGATTTCTAGGCTAAGTGCTTATCCCTATGTTAGCACATTTAATCTTCAAGATAACATTATGAGACAGATGACAGCCTTCATTTTGCAGATGAGGATCAGAGAGGTTAAGAAATTTTTCTGGTGTTACCACAGCCAGTTAGTCAAATCAAAACTCGAAGCCAGGTCTTCTGGCTCCTGAATCATTACTCATCCTACTGCCCCACATGACCAGGAGCCCCATTATGAGTGGCAGCCACACCCCACCGCACTCAGCAGGGCTCTGTGCTGGCTTATGGCTTCTGTGTTTCATCCCCACCCCAGCACATCGGGTGGGCAGTCAGTGAGCTTTCCCTGAAAGATGGTTGCCAGGTAAGGCTGTCTTCTCTGGGAAGATTTGAGATTTGAGATTTGTTTCACGCATACAGTGACCAAGCATCCTGTTTGCCCATGTCCTGTGGGTTCCTCAGGACATGGAATGCAGGATTCTCAGTGCTAAAACTGGGACAGTCCCAAGAAAGCCATTTAATTGGTCACCCTAGTAGTAGAGTATCTTGCTACTCAAAGAGTGACCCTCAGGCCAGGTGCAGTGGCTCACACTTGTAATTCCAGCACTTTGGGAGGCCGAGGTAGGTGAATCACTTGAGGTCAGGAGTTCGAGACCAGTCTGGCCAACATAGTGAAACCCTGTCTTTACTAAAAATACAAAAATTAGCCAGGCATGATGGTGGGTGCCTGTAATCCCAGCTACTCAGGAGGCTGAGGCAGGAAAATCACTTGAACCCGGGAGATGGAGGTTGCAGTGAGCCGAGATCCCGCCACTGCACTCTAGCCTGGGCAACAGAGCAAGACTCTGTCAAACAAACAAACAACAGCAAAAAAAGTGACCCTCAGACTAGCAGCAGTGGTTTCACCAGGGAGCTTGTTGGAAATGCAGAATCTCAGACCCACTAACTCCAGACCCACTGAACCAGAATGCACATTTTAGCAAGATCCCCATGGAAGGGGAAAAACATTATAGAAGAGCAAGTACTGAAGGCACATTTGACAGAAGTTATGGAAATGAAGATTCATACCTGAATCATCTGACCTGAGAGAGGTGACATCCTCACTTTTCTAAGCTTGCATTTTATATGTTATGGCTTTGCTATATACCTCAGGTGATGCACATTGGCACAAAAGACTTAGGTTTATAAACTGAGGAAGAAAGGAGTTAAGGGTCCACATTCAGTCCAAATGGAATGAAAGGCTGGAGGGTGCGTGAGTGCTGGGTGAGGGTGTGTGGGCATTGAGTTATTTCACGGTTAAGCCTTTCTTGCGTCTTTGAAATGATGATGTTCTTACGAAGGCCTTGGAGTTTTCTGGATTCACTGGCCTACACCCTTTTGCCGAGGTCGGGCTGGAGTGTCACAGTGGACAGCAAATAAACCAGACTGTGTGTGAGGACAGCAGTAGCCTGTGTTCTTGGGCCTGAGGATTCAGAAAGGGAAATAAACGCCCAGAGGGTAAAGCATATAATAGGAACCACGCTTGGTGAAGAGTAGACCCTCAGTAGTTATAATTGAAGAAATAATTAGGCCACCAAAGAGGTATTCCAAGACTACATGTTTTCCTGTTTGATGCCTGGCTCTGAATCTAGGTCTCATTTTCACCCTGTCCAAGGAGAGATCAGAAGGGAAAATTTGTAGGTCCCTTCCCTGCTGCAAGAGTCTAACCCAGATTTGGAAATGAGTTATTCATGGTTCCCCAGCCTGTCCTACCCTGTGGTGATGACCTCGCTCGGATGGAAACAGAAGTGATGGAATCTGTGCTCCAGGTGAGAAAGTGGTTGGCCAGCTCTTCGCAGGATGCTTCACCAGCTTCTCTAGGGTCTTGGCTTATCTCAAAGCAAACTTGGGTCAGAGCAGTTGTTCGGTCTTTTAAATCGGTGCTGTGTGTCATCCTGGGTCAAAGTCACTGTAAAAGTCTTTTAAATGGGTGCTGAGTGTCATCTTTTGTTAATGTTTTGCTCTAAAACCAGACTGTCAGATGTTAAAATAGCAGGCACCAAGCAAGGTAGGAAAAGACATTTGTATTTCTAGGATTGCGGAGCAGCCTTGAACTAAAAGAAGCATAACCCACATTTGTCGACTTTCTCTCTATTCCAAGTCACATGCCCAGTAGGGAGCCCAAAATAAGGGCAGCCCAGGGGAGGGAATGACAGGCAGGCCTGGAAATGAATGTGTTCATCCGTTCAGTTCGAGCTGTTTCAGACAAAGCTGATTTCTGCTGTGATATTAATCCCACCCAGACAACAAGAAATCGAACTGTCACTTTTCTCAGAATGGGGTGAAATGTTTCTGACCTAGGTTTGGTTTTATAACAATTTCTTCTGTGTGTATTGTTTTCCCTGGGATCTCAAAGGGCTAGCTGGGGGTGGATCTTAGAGGAAAACACAGATTTCACTTACAGGGCAACTCCCTTGCCTGGTACTGTGAGTGGAGATAGTGCCGTACAAGACCCGAGAGCCTGGTCGGGGAGCAGATTGACAAAGGAGAGAAACTGGGGAACAAAGTAGGACGGAATGGAATTCATTGCCAAAATGTTTGGTAGAGATAATAAGTGAAACAAAAGTTTTGGGAAAAGATAGTAAGGGAGATGGAAGAACTTAACTTCAGCTCACAGTGGAGCAAGAATATCTACCATGAGGCGAAAGCAATCGCTTGAGGGCATTGCATTGGGGTGAGCCAGGGCAGGAGCTGCAGAGAGCCTGGGACCTAGGAAGAGAGCAGGAGAAAAGACATGTGGGGATGAGGTGGAGACAGTTGTGAAATTGTTCAGTCTCACTCTGGAAAGAGAACACATTCATAGTTTATAGGCCAATTTGGAGACCTTCTCAGGCTGTGTGGCGGTGTTGGGAAGTGACTGAGCAACTCACCTCTGGGTCTCAGTTTTCACCCTGCTGGAAGATAGACTGGAAGGGAGAAGGTGTAGGTTCCCTCTCTGCTATAGAGGTCACGCTGTGTGGTATTCATTTGTGGGGAGCCATAGACTGGATTGCGCATTGTTCTTTCCCCTGCAGGCAGCATGAGCTGATGCTCTTGACACTGAGGTTGGAGGCAGAGACCCTCTCACATGCACACACCCCGGGCCCCCAGTCTGCTTGCTGCTGCTGGCTCTGCCCCCAGTGCTTTCCTATCACTAAGAATAGAGACCTTCTCTCCAGGCATCCAGCTTCCCACACAGTCTGACTCTGCCCAAGCCTCTGCCCTTGAAGATGCCAAAGTGGTTTCTGTCTCAGAGTCTTTGCGCTTGTTTTTCCCTTGCCCAGGAATGCTCTTTCCCCAGATGGCTGCAAGGCTGGCTCCTTGCCTTTCAGGTTTCAGTGCAAACACCACCTCAGTGAGCGCTTTCCTGAAACCCTCTCTCACCCCTGCCCCAGCTAACCAGGGACTCTGCCTAGTCACTATCACTTTGCCTTGTTATATTTTCTCCCTAACACTTATCAGTGTCTTTTTTTTTTTTTTTTACTCCTATGCATTTCTGTTTTTGTCTGTTCAGGCTGCTTAACAAATTACTGTAGACTGGGTGACTTATAAACAACAGAAATGTATTCCTCACAGTTCTGGAGGTTGGGAAGTCCAAGAGCAAGGCACAACAGGTTAGGTGTCTGGTGAGGGCCTGCTTCCTCGTTCATAGAGAGCCACGTGGTGGAAGGGGTAAGGGAGCTCTCTGGGGCTTCGTTTCTAAGGCTCTGCTCTCATGACCTAATCAGTCCCCAAGGCCCCACCTCCAAATACCAGCACCTTGAGGGTTAGGATTTCAACATATGAGCTTTGTGGGAAACACACACATTAGACCGAATGTGCCAATGTACTTGTTTACTGCCTGTCTCTGCAATAGCCAAGACTTCGTCTATATCATTTACTTCATTTACTTCTGGGTCCTTGGTGCTTAGGACAGTGCCTGACACAGAGATGCTCATGTACTCACTGAAGGTGACACAGCTGGTAAGCAATGAAGCCTGAATTTGAATCCAGGCAGTCTGACTTTAGAGCTGGCTCCATAAGTTAATGTTATTCAAGCCATCTAAGCCCCTGCTTCTCAGTTTTAGAATTTACCTGGGGATCTTGTTTAAAAATGCAAGTTCTGATTTAAGTCTAGGGTGAGGCCTAGGACTCTGAATTTCCAATAAGTTCCTAGCCAGTGTTACTGGTCCATGGAAAATGCCTCTCAGGAAGAAAGGGAGGGAGGGAAGGAGAGAAACAGAGGCTCAGAGAAGTTAGGGTGGACTTTCCTTAAACTATAAAGCTAGTTGGTGGCAGAGTTGGGACTCCAGCCAAGGGGCCTGGCTCCCAGCCCAAAGCTCTTTGAACCCCCGGCAAGCCCAAGGATTTTAAGGCATACTTACATCTTGTATTGGTAATTGCAAAGGGGGCCCAGGACACTGGCCTCTGCCCCCTGCGGATCACTGGTACTTGGTTGCCACTGGCCCTTCCCACTACAGGGCACAACAGTTCTTGTTTTGAGAGACAAGAGTGGTTTCCCCAGAATTTCCAAACCCCCTCCTAGCACAAACACAGGTATATAATCTCCACTCTCTCTGCCTCATGAACAAGACCCCTCTAGCGGCTCTAGGGTTTGCCATTACAGTATTTGTTATAATGAGTGTCAGCTCATTTGTGTGGACTCCACCCTTCCCCAGGCTTCCTTGTTCCTTTCTTTCTGACACAAGAGATGAGAGCTAGACCTGTTGGAAACTTTTACAAATCTCTCTATCCCGCCTCCACCCAATAGAAATCCCTTTCTGAAAGATGATCATGCATCCTCCATTTGAGCAAACAACAGGAAGCTCAATACTTGCAAAGCCCTTTCCACTCTCAGGCAGCTCCTTCCATGAGAAAGGACTTTCTCCTCTGAACTGGAGTTTCCCTTCCTGGCATCTTCCACCAACCGAGGTAACAAATATTAGTAATGGCCATAACTGCCTTACAAGTAAAGGGTCCTCCAATTTATAAAGCGATGTTTTAAAAACATTTATCAGGCTGGGTGTAGTGGCTCATGTTTGCTAATCCCAGCACTTTGGGAGGCTGAGGCAGGAGGATTGCTTGAGGCCAGGAGTTGGAGACCAGCCTGAGCAACATAGGGAGACACAATCCCTAAAAAAACACTTTTTAAATTTATCTGTAACAGACACTGTGCTAGACGTTTTCATATATGTGAACCTCATGTAATACAACCACACCCTGAAGTACAAAGCACCAATCCTCATTCTACCAATACGTAAACTGAGGCTCAGAGGATTTAAATGACTTGCCCAAAGATAGAGGCCCTGTAAGCTTCAGAGGCCATGTCCTAAGACACCACAGCCACACATCCTCCTGCTACTCAAAAACCCTTTAAATAGAGAGAGTCCTTTCATTTGCATCTCCCATCCTGCTCTTCTCTTTTACAAATGTAACACTCCTATCCCTTTAACCTTCCTTTCTAGTTGTCACAATAATGCTAACCATCATGAATGGAGGTCATGTTATGTCCCAGGCACTCAATATGTAGACTAAGTTAATCTCCATAACAACCATCAAATAACTCCATTTTATAGATGAGCAAACTGCTGAAACTCAGAGAAGCAATTTGTCCAATGGCACTCAATTAGTGACTGTCAAAAAGCTAGGATTCAGCTTGGGTGTCTTTGCGAAAATGAGAAAAATGCTAGAGTGAAGGAATGGAATGAAGGCAATGGGAATCCAAGTGAGGAATGATGCACACTTGGATATTCTCCCATTTAAACCATCTTTCTGGTGATGGCACACTTGACCTCTCCTACAGAATGACTTAGCACAAAAGGAGGCTCTTCAGGGGAGTCTAATCTGGGCAGAGGAGTAGAGCCTGAGCTATGGAGGCCATTGCTCTATGGAGGTCATTTGACACCAATTCTAAGTACACTTTTTAAAAACAAGATTTGGCCCAGGCACCATGGCTCATGCCTGTAATACCAGCACTTTGGGAGGCTGAGGCGGGTGGATCACCTGAGGTCAGGAGTTCGAGACCAGCCTGGCCAACATGGTGACACCCATCTCTACTAAAAATACAAAAAAAATTAGCCCAGCATAGTGGCACGTGCCTGTAATCCCAGCTCCTCTGGAGGCCGAGGTAGAAGTATCGCTTGAACCCGGGAGGCGGAGGTTGCAGTGAGCCGAGATCGTGCCACTGCACTCCAGACTCCAGCCTGGGCAACAGAGTGAGACCCCGTGTTAAAAATAATAAAATAATTAAATAAAAATAAATAAAAACAAGATTTTTTGGGATATAATTAACATACAATGAACTGCACATATTTAAACTATATAATTGGTTGAGTTTCATATATGCCCATGAAACATCACCACAATCAAGATGTTTTAAACATGTGTCATAAACCCAAAAAGGATGGCATCTCAAGGCTGGGCACAGTGGCTCATGCCTGCAATCTCAGCTATAGTCCAGACTGTATAGAACCTGTCATCCTCCCTTTGCTTCTGGATTCCCATACAACTTTGTAGTTTGATGATTTGTTTTGATCTTGAGGCCCAGAATCCATGTTTACAGCCCTGTTTGGCTTCTTCAGATTCCCATGAACCCCTCATGTGAGTTCAAGAATAAATTTACCATTAAGTCCTTGGGGCTGAAAGATGACGTAAATGTAACCCAAACGTGTTGGTCCTCCAGCTGAGGGTTCCTGATTCAGCAAGGATGAAGTGACCCACCAGAGCCTCCAAGAAGATGCTCAGGAGACAGGAGGCACAGGGCCAATGTCCACTCCCCACCCTCCCATCTGCTTCCTATTGCCTCATTTTTGCTTCCTAAGACCGCACCTCCCAAATACACACTGCATCAAAGGAGCAAAAACACCCCAAAGCAGTGAGGATTTTGAGGGAAGGGCTCTGAATTCAGACAGAAGCCTGCTCTAGGACTGCCTCTAAATGGCCTAAGTACCATCTTTACCCTAAGACTGTCTATATTCCCCTCCATCAAATTAATCTCTGTCTACTCTAAGCTCTCATGAACTTTCTGTTATGGCAACAATCACCCGCACCTGCTACCCTTCAAAATGTGATGATTCACACGTATTCTTTCACTTTCTAGACCATAAGCTCTCTGTAGGCATGGTGCTGATCTGATTCTTCTTTGCATCCTCTGTAGTGGCTAACATGTGGTACTCAGTGGGTACTTGTTGAATGGACAAGTGAATGACCCACTTTGTCCTAAACCTCAAGGCAGGACTTAGAGCTGAGCATAGCACTACCCTTGTGTCTGTCACACCACATGCCACATATAAAGTATTAGTATATGACACCCAAAATGGTGATTCTCTGTGTGTAATATAAATAGAACCAGGGAGATGCATACACTGTCTCCTTCACATGCACTGTTAACTCCAAGCAAAGGTAAGGCTTGGCCTGACAGATTGTCACTGGTAAGGCTGCTTCTGGGGTCAGATATAGCTCCCACCTCCAACAGCCCCAGCTGGTGCTAAGGAGCCAGGAGAGAACAGGCATTCAAAGTGAGAGGGAATAGTTACCAGCATGGGGGTGGAATCTCAGCAACTAGGGTCCCACTGGCTCAGTCTCAACCTTCAAAGGAAGCCTGTGGAGTAGTGGTGCCTGCGGGCCACCAGCCTACCATTTCCCTTCCAGAGATACTCATTCCTTGAACAAAACGCCCAAATGGTTAAGCTTCCTTGGGTCACTCAAAGAGGAATCTTTATACATCAAAGTGTGATTTCAAATACAGACATGCCTAAATGAGTGTTTCTCAATTTTTTTTTTATTTCAGGAACTAGTGTAATTTCAAAAATAAACTTGGGCACAAAATCAGGGGCTCACTTTTAGAATATTATTGACTATAGTTTTAAACCAAAATACAAACTACCATCCTGCTGTTAAAATTATTCCTAAAAAGAAGCAGAATTTCAAAAACAAAGATAAAAAGGCAGTTGGCAACCATTCATGGACAGCTCTCTGTTTCCAATAGCTAACACTTAGTGAGTGCTAAATGTACACTAGACACTATTCTAAGTATTTTAATAACACCTTATTTTATACACATGCAGATTACATCATCTATATTTTTTCTTACTCCCCTGTGAGGCAATGAAAATGTCAAGGACCAGTGGCCTAAGTTTACACTCTAGTGCTAGGGAATGGCTAGCATTTGGTAACTAACTAAAATAAGATTTCTTGAGGCAACTCACAGCTGCAGGAGTCAAAACTTCTATGAATCTTCAAGTTTCCACCTGATGCAAAGGCCAGGATGTGATCTTTCAGAGTGAGCTCTTTCTATGCAGGATCTAGATGACAAACATCTTCCTCTCAAGTTTCTTCAATATATGGAACCCATTGAGTTGACACGGAGACTCATAAGCTTGCAGCCTTTGTCAACCAATGCAATGCCTCAAATAAATAATAATTGAGCCAAAGCTAAAATACTTCAAACTGTATTTTTGCATAAAAGATAAAGGAAAAGCAAGCTGGGCGTGGTGACTCACACCTGTAGTCCCAACTACTCAGGAGGCTGAGGAGGGAGGATCTCTTGAGCCCGTCAGCCTGGGTGATATAGTGAGACCTTGTGATATTCTTTGGCTCTGTGTCCTCACTCAAATCTCATCTCAATTTGTAATCCCCACCTGTCAAGGGAGGGACCCGTAATCCCCACATGTTGAGGGAGGAAGGTGACTGGATCATGGGGTGGTTCCCCCCATGCTGTTCTCATGATAGTGAGTGAGTTCTCGTGAGATCTGTTGGTCTTATAAGTGTTTAGAAGTTCCTTCTTTGCTCTTCTCTCTCTTGCTGCCTTGTGAAGGTGTCTGCTTCCCCTTCCACCGTGATTATTAGTTTCCTGAGGCCTCCCCAGCTACGCAGAACTGTCAATTAAACCTTTCTTTATAAATTACCCAGTCTCAGGGAAGTTCTTTATAGCAGTGTGAAAATGGACTAATACACCCCGTCTCTTAAAAAAAATTTTTTTTAATAAGTCAGGCATGGTGGTGCAGGCCCACAGTCCCGGCTACTAGAGAGACAGAGGCAGGAGGATCACTTGATCTCAGGAGTTTAAGGCTGCACCAAACCGTGATTGCATCACCATACTCCAGCTGGCGTGACAGAACGAGATCTTGTCTCTAAAACACCAAAGAAAAGCTACCACTTTTGCAATAGAGAGCCCCTTTCCCCTCTTTCCTTGCCTCTGCTTCCAAAATACAGGCATTAACATTCCACTAGTATGTTTCACAATGAGCACACACCAGATGGCTTTAATCCAGGGAAGGAATGCTGGGTTGAGTAACAGGGTGATGAATTAAATAACCCTTAGATAACCATTTAAAAAATCCTAAGTGCTTCCTAATTTCTAGATTAAAGAAAATTCATGGGGCCTTAAAAAAGAGAGAATATAAAGGACATTAGGTTGCCACCTCTAGACAGAAGGGCCTTTAGAAGATGGATAGACCAGCAAGGTCAGCCATTGCAAAAGTCTCCCCAGAGACCAGACACATCTTCCAAAGGAGGAAGGAGGCAGCAAGTGGGCAAGTGGGAGGCTCTTTTATTTATTTTTTCAGTGCTTAACAAAACAACTCAAGGAGACCCAATGTCAGGCCTAGATATGAAATATTATATTTTGGGAGATAGAGCTTTAGTGTCCAGATGGAAGAGAAGCTGGATTCAGGATAGGATGTCGCCTAGTCCAGATGATCTTTGCCTATGCCATCCCTTCCCATTAACCATCTTGTTTCCCTGAATAAGAAGGAAGGAAACAATCAGAATTTCCTATTATACATAGTATGAAACAGAACACTTTTAAGCTATTTCCTGTTCCCAAAAGAACTGATGTGGAGGGAGATATGAGGTAGCACAGTGCAGTAGAAGGAGCATGTAATTACGTGTAGGAAGAGCTTGCTCTGAAGGACAATGTCTTGGCCTCTATGTAAGGTGGAAAGGTTAAGGTTAAACTTAAGAAGTTTAAATTTCTAAGCCTGGAATTTTTATTTTTTGTTTTATTAAAAAAAATTTTTTTTGAAACAGGGTCCCACCTGTTGCCCAGGCTGGAATGCAGTAGCGAGATCACAGCTCACTGCTGCCTCAACTTCCCAGACTCAGGTGGTCCTCCCACCTCAGCCTCCCAAGTAGCTGGGACTACAGGTATGCACCACCATGCCCAGCTAATTTTTTGGATTTCTTGTAGAGATGAGATTTCACCATATTGCCCAGGCTGGTCTCGAACTCCTGAGCTCAAGCGATCCACCCACTTTGATCTCCCAAACTGTTGAGATTACAGGTCTGATCCACAGCACTCAGCCCAGGCCTGGAATTTTTTTTTGATGTGGTGAAGGAGTGCGGCATCCTGGACAGAGCTGTTATTTATCAGCTCTGTGATCTTAGGCAAGTCACTTATTCCTGAGCTTCAGTTTCCTCATCTGCAAAACAAGGACACTAACTCCCATTTTACAGAGGAGGATGAGGCTCTTAGAGGTTAAGAAATGTGGCCAAAGTCACAAACTAGTATATACCTTATTGCCAAGCCTGTGCTCTTTTCCTTAATCACCCCAAACCTCAAGATGAGATCATATGCATTAAAATATTTTGTAATGAGCCAGGCACTATGCAGTCATTCCCTTGTGGTTATTACACGCAGACTTCCATCTGGCATGTATAAAAAGGAATGTCGGCCCACATCTACATGTGTCCATGAATGCATTCATGTAAGACTGTGTGTTACAAATAGAAGTCACTTTGTGGTCTGACTGGCTTGAGAATACTTTTGGAATAACAGGATAGAACAGGGACTCTCCAAGAAAACCCAGGCTATGTGCTGGCTCCAGCCATAAAACAGTCTCATATCATGGGAAATTACACATGCTGTCATATCAGCACTGCAGCTGGCACTGGCTTGTTCCCAACAGGGGATCTTACCTACCATCCTGTCCCAGAACCGAGCTCTTTGTAAGAGATTAAAGCAAACCATATCTGCTTTTACTAATAATTGTTCTAGAGAAGTCTAGGAAAAGAGGATGTTAACCTTGAGAGTGAAGCTCTGGGTTTGTATCTAAGGGTGCAAGGTGTGACATCTCATGCATCCTGAAAAGGTGTCATGCAAAATGGTGACAAGGAAAATACTATGGCCCTTATAGAAACATCCCTCTGGAAGTGCTCATACATTATTAGTGGGGTGCAAACAGCACAAACCTCTTTAAAAAACATTTAAAAGTCAGCTTCAGGAATTTTAAAACCATTCATAGCCTTGGCCCAATAATTCCATTGTTAGAAATCTATGCTAAGGACATAATAAAATACAATGTAAAAAAATGTTTATTGGCTGGATGTGGTGGCTCACACCTGTAATCCTAGCACTTTGGGAGGCCAAGGCAGGTGGATCACTTGAGCCCAAGAGTTTGAGACCAGCCTGGGCAACACGGCTAAAACCTGTCTCTACAAAATAATTAACAAAAAATTAGCCAAGTATAGTGGCTCACGACTATAGTCCCAGCTACATGGGAGGCCGAGATGGGAGGATCACCTGAGCTCAAGAGGTTGAGGCTGCAGTGAGCCAAGGTGGTGCCATTGCACTACAGCCTGGATGACTGAGAGAGGCCCTGTCTAAAAAAAAGCAAATAAATAAACAATAAAAGTTTATTGCAACATAAACACTGGCACAAATTAACATCTCAAAATAAGAAAGTGGCTAAGTAGGCTGGGTGCGGTGGCTCAAGCCTGTAATCCCAGCACTTAGGGAGATCGAGGCAGGTGGATCACAAGGTCAGGAGATCGAGACCATCCTGGCTAACATAGTGAAACACCGTCTCTACTAAAAACACAAAAAATTAGCCAGGCGTGGTGGTGGGTGCCTGTAGTCTCAGCTACTCGGGAGGCTGAGGCAGGAGAATCACTTGACCCCAGGAGGCACCTGGGCAACAGAGCGAGACTCCATCTCAAGAAAAATAAAATAGAAAGAAAGTGGCTAAGTAAATTAGGATTCATGAATCTATATAATCAAATATAACACTGCTCGTAAAACAGATGACAAAGAAATTTTATGACTTGGATAAATGCTCATAATATAATGTTGAGTAAAAAAAAAATACAGAATTGTATATACAGTATAGTAAAATCTCTACAGTGAATATGTATAAATGCTTAGAAAACAGCCTGGAAGGAAATCTGCACTGAAATGTTAAGAGCCAACACAGATGATTGTTATTTTCTTCATTATTTTTGTCCTTATTATCCAAGTTTTGTATAACAAGTATGTATAACTTCTATTTTTAAAGTATTACTTTAAACATCTAAATGTCTAAGTGCCACTCGTCCTTAAATGGCTTTCTCTCTTGCTTGAATTAGTACGACAGTCTTCCAACAGGCCGAGCGCGGTGGCTCATGCCTGCAATCCCAGCACTTTGGGAGACCGAGGAAGGCGGATCGCTTGAGGCCAGGAGTTCGAGACCAGCCTGGCCAACATGGTGAAACCCTGTCTCTACTAAAAAACAAAAATTGGCCGGCTGTGTTGGCACGCACCTGTTAATCCCAGCTACTCGGAAGGCTGAGGCAAGGGAATTGCTTGAACCCAAGAGGTGGAAGTCGCAGTGAGCTAAGATCACACCACTGCACTCCAGCCTGGGTGACAGAGCTAGACTCCGTCTCAAAAAAAAAAAAAAGAAAAGAAAAGAAAAGAAAAAAAAAAATCTTAGGGAATAGTCTCCCAAATACCCTCCCTTCTCCAGTCCCACTCCCTTTCCAGCCTGCTGTCTCCAAGGTTACCTTCTGTGGACTCTAAGGGACCAGCTAGCCCTTAGCTTAATGCAGACTTTGTCTACTTGGTGTCTTTAAACTAGGAGAACCCTTTAGACTCCCTGGTGTGACTTGCTGTTCCCCACACAGGCCAGACCCTTTCAGATCTTCTGGTCTTCATGCTTGTTCTTCCCTCTACTTAGAATGACACCCTTTCCCCATTTTTCTACCTGGGAAATGCTTACTTGGCATTTAAGGCCAAGCTCAGAGGTTAGCCCCTCTGGGAAACCTTGCCCGTCAACCCCAAGCAGAGCTGGTTGCTTTTTGCTGTGGTCCCCAGAGACCTTGCTCATACCCTGGTTTTAACAAATATCATAATATGTTGTGATAAATGTATTCGAACGTCTCCCCACATAAGATCATATGATCCTAAGGATGAAGTCTTGAGACTCATTCGTCTTGGTTTGCCCAGTGCCTGGCACAGAGTCCTCGCCCCGTGATGAACAGATAAAGAAACTGGTTATTAAGCTGTGACCAAGGAGGCAGCAGGGAGTATTAATGCCAGCAAACAGTCTTTATAGGATGACAACGAGCTGATCTTCATGCCTCACAGCAGCAAGAAAAAGCAGGCTTCGGCTGGGCGTGGTGGCTCACGCCTGTAATCCCAGCACATTGGGAGGCCGAGCGGGGTGGATCACTTGAGCTCAGTAGTTCGAGACCAGCTTGGCCAACATGGTGAAACCCCATCTGTACTAAAAATACCAAAAATTAGCCAGATGTGGTGGCCTGCGCGTATAGTACCAGCTACTCCGGAGGCAGAGGCAGGAGAATCACTTGATCCTGGGAGGTGGAGGTTGCAGTGAGCCAAGATCGTGCCACCTCACTCCAGCTTGGGCAACAGAGTGAGACTCCATTTCAAAAAAAAAAAAAAAGCAGGTTTCATGTGCAACACAACACTTAAGTTAGCCAAAAGGAGGAACTTCCACAGATCGTTATTGAGGACTAAACTCTGACCTGTTTTCTTCTCTTTCCCAAATTACTACCTAAGAGGCCTGGGGAGTTTGCCCTACAAACCATGAAGTCTCATCAGAGGGATTTGATTTAACCCTGTATAATGTGGCCTGCTTTCCAACCTGACTCGGGCACATCACATAACAAATAAGGAAGGAAATGAAAATATTTTAACCCCAAATATATTTCCTTGCCAGATCTTGAAATTGCCCTACAAAGTCATCTCTTGGGGTTAAAAGTCTACATTCTATAGAGAATTTCCTTTTCCTCTTCCAGACCCTTTTCCTGATCAAAGAGAGAATCCACTAAAAGTCTGGCACCTTTTTAAGTCTGATAAGAAATTTACAATCAATTGTCTCTGAAGCCGTACCTGGAGACTTTATCTGCATAATAAGAACCTTGGTCTTTACAACCCCTTAACTCAGACACTTCTATTGATTGCAGGTCTTTAGATAAACTCTTTCAACCAACTGCCAATCAGAAAAATTTTAAATCTACCTATAACTTGGAGGCACCGCCCACAAACCCCCCAACACCGGCTTCCTCTGCTTCGAGTTGTCCCACCTTTCTGGACCAAACCAATGTACATCTTAAATGTATCCTAAAATGATAAAACCAAGCTGTGCCCCTACAACCTTGAGCATATGTTGTCAGGGTCTCCTGAGAGCTGTGTTATGGGCCATGGTCACTCTTATTTGGTTCAGAATATGTTTCTTCAAATGTTTTACAAAGTTTGACTCTCTTTATTGACACTATGATTGCAATGGATGAAAAATGGGGTAAGAGGGAAGTCTTAGGAGTGGAGTAAAAACCTCCCTATCTAAGAGGGGTTGGACACTGTCCTTCTTGGAGACTGGAAGATGGACAAGATGACCTCAGTCAGACCTAGGCTCAGTGTCTTGTCCAAGGAAGCAGGGTGGAAGCTTTCTCCTGGAGCCCACGGTGATTCTGCCGTAGGCCTGGGCAGGTTTCCATGTCAGCTGCGCTAAAAAAACCCAGATCTGCAATTTGAACCTGAAGCCTTGCAGACAAAGAAGACTGTGTGAAGAGTAGGCCCAGTTACTTGCAAACCCAGCAGGGCTCTTGGCTCCTCAATGCTCATTAGCATCTTAAGTTCACATAAATATATATGAGGCTTGTGGATTCCTCTGGGAATCCCAGAGGCCCTCAGAGCCAAAGCAAAATCTCTTCCTCTTTGCACCTCCTCCTGGACATTTGGAGCCCAGCTGCTTTGGGGAGCCCAGCTGCCTCCAGGGATTCCCCAGCAGGGACCTGACACCTCATTTTCAGAGTGCAAAAATAGACACTTGGTCTTTTGAGGGACCAGAGCTTTGTTCTGTCCCTCCCTCTCTTATGGTGGTCTTTCATATTCATGGGTCCCTGAAGAGCAGGGTTTCCCCACTACCCTCTCATATGCCCCAATCCTGAGTGAATGCTTGGATGCCGCACGTTCTGTGCAAAGCCGGGAGTAGATGCTGCATAACCCAGGGAGGGCAGGTGCAAGAGCGTTGAGGGGAATGAGACCCAGAACATTTTATTCTTAAAGGACTCCTAATCTAATGCAATATGCAAAATAGAGAAGGAACAGCAGAAAGTATACACTTAAGATGCAGCATCCACCTCACATAATCAGCAGCATTTGAACCTTGTAAATTCCACAGAGATGAGGCAGGACAAGAAAGAGTTGCTGCTGGATCCGATTGCAGAGGACTTCTTGGAGGAGGTGGCTTTTGACAAGAAAAGGATGGGTTTTGGAGGGTTCTGACTATTGGTCAGGGTTAGCCGACCCTGTCCTACCCGGCTCCCAGGGGACACTGCAAGGCAATTGAGTGGCAAGGAGAAAAGCAGCCCCAAGGCTTCCTCATTCCCCGTGAATATCCCTGCCTCATTCCCAACTAACTTGCCCAACTATCTCAGTTATTTCCAAATCTGGAAGGAAGAGAGGGCTTTCAGAGAAAAGCCACAAAAAGAAGACAGTGGAATCCAGATGTAGATAGGAAGAACCAGGGGGGGCAGCTGCCCTAGATGCTGTCTGGTCAAAGCTGGAGTGCCGTGGCCCCAGCTCTGGGGTGTAACGCTGCAGCCCTAGCCCTGCCCTGGCCAGATACATGGCCTTCCCTCTGCAGCCTGCTTTGTGGAAAAAGCATAGGTACCACTTAGTGGACCTGGGGTGGGGGTGGGGGGACAGGCAGTGAATAAACGTGGAAAAGGAAATGATGGTGGCAGATGTTTAACCCCAATCATGCTTTTCAGCTCAGATTCTTAGGACAGGATTTCCCCGGTCCCAATTCCTTTGTTGACCATGGCAGGCTGGCATCCCTCCGTCAGTTTAAGAACAAGCTTTCAGCTTCTGGAAATATCGTTCATGCTAAGTAGCCTGTCTGTCTGTCTGTCTGTCTGTCTGTCTTTCCTTCCTGGGCTTGATAAGAGAGACTGCACTCTCTCCATTTGCTTCTCAGGAACTCAACAATCCTCCCTCATCCACACAAGCTTCCTTCTGGACAGGGAAGGAGGCATGTTCCCAACTAGGGAAGAGCTTCCCCTTTCCTTGAGATCTTCAACTTGAAGTCACAGCAGGTGAGATTGGAAGAGTCCTTTGAGGTCATTAACTTCAACTCCTACTACAAGCCCAGAGTGAGGAGGTGACGTATTCAGAGCTGGGGCTATAATCCAGGGTCATTGCTTTGCCAGTAGGGTAAGAGGTAGCATGGAACGGAGGCTGCAGCACAATATCTGCAGCCAAACTGGCCAAGCTTCACTAAAAAGACATCTGTCTTTCGGCGGGGCGTGGTGGCTCATGCCTGTAATCCCAGCACTTTGGGAGGCCAAGGCAGGCGGATCACGAGGTCAGGAGATCGAGACCATCCTGGTTAACACAGTGAAACCCCGTCTCTACTAAAAATACAAAAAATTAGCCAGGCGTGGTGGTGGGCGCCTGTAGTCCCAGCTACTCAGGAGGCTGAGGCAGGAGAATGGTGTGAACCCAGGAGGTGGAGCTTGCAGTGAGCCAAGATCGTGCCACTGCGTTCCAGCCAGGGTGACAGAGTGAAACTCCGTCTCAAAAGAAAGAAAGAAAGAAATAAAAGACATCTGTCTTTCTAACTGGATGGTGTCAAGGTTTCAAAACCTTGAACAAGTTGAACTTCTCTGTATGTGTGTTTCCTCAGCTTCCCAAAACAAAGGACGATAATAATGATACCTCTTCATAGAGTGATCTATAAGATTATTGATAGTAATCGCTATCACTCATCAAATACCTACTATGTGCCAAGCACTGCGCTAAACACTGTATGTGCCCATTACCCCAAGGTACCTAGTGCCATGCCTGGCATGTTAACTGTAATGATTGATTACTACACTCAGAACACAATGATCCACATTAGCCAAGGATATCTCTCCTTTGGTGGCAGATTTTTTTTTTTAGTTTTATTTTGTTTCTAATTGACACGTAATAATTGTACATATTTATGGAGTGCAATGAGATGTTTCGATGCATGTATATGATACGTAACGATCAAATCCGGGTGATAAGCATTTTCATCACCCCAAACATGTATCATTTCCTTGTGGTGAGAACATTCAAAATCCTCTCTTCTAACTATTTTGAAATATACAATACACTGTTGTCAACCATAGTCACCCTGCCGTGCAACAGAACCTGAACTATTTCCTCCTATTGGCAGCAGACTTCTGAGATGGTGGAGCTCTTATGGCCCCCAGTTTCTGAAAGTCAGGAAGACCTAAAAGCAAGAGAGCAGCTCACATTCAGGCTGCACCATGTCTTGCTGACCTGTTCTCCCACACTGGGGAAGGGTCACGGGCCTTCTAGTCCAAACACGGCCTGCTCTCATCTTGTTTAAACAAGGCCCAAGAGGCAGGCAGGCTGTCTGTGGTTAGGGAGGAAGATACAAGGCTGTTTGGGATTCCACGCAGCAGACTCTGGGCTATTGAAGCCGTCAGGCTGATACACAAGCTCTGTCAGGCTTGCAGCTCTTGGCATTCTGACTGCTTCCCCCATGACCATTTATAGTCAATCTCTCTGAAGAGGGTGTAGCCCTGGGGCTTGGCGAAAGAGATAAGGCTGGAGAAGAGGCACCTGGATGTAGGGATGCCCACAGTAACTACTAGAAACCTCGCTACATCCAACACTACCAGTGCCCCAGAACTTGGGCTCGACTGCTCCCCCTTCAGGCCTGCGAGGTATGAAGCCTCACGATGCGGAAAGGAGGTTGGAAGGTGGAATGAATGGAAGGATTGTGGCTGCAAATCATGAATTTTTGGTGGCATTTTGATGTAGGATGAGTCCATATGGCTTTGTAGTAGAGAATTCAGATCTTATGCCTGTTGAATTTTAAAATTTTCTCTTGAAATTTAAGACCTTTTTAAGCATACTGGAAGTAGCAAAACCTTAATAGAACTTGGGAAAATGAAAGATGGCTTGACAGTGTTGACAGTCCAATCTGGTTGCTGACTGTGGGAAGGCCGGCCTCTCTACATCACCTTGCTTCCCGTGGTATCTTCCTGGGGAGAGGGCACTAGGTCTCACTTGTCCTGCTTGTCCTGGGTAGACCCTGTGCTCTCTTAGTCCCTAGGCTGATGAAAGATTAAGGGAGGGTTTGGGAAAGGTCCCTACAGTCTTTGGGCTGGGTACAAAGAACACTGCTTTTGAAGCTGGCTCGGTGAATTTCTAGCAAGTCAGGAAACTGAAAATAATGATGCTAAAAAGAGGAAAGCTTTTAGTGGCGAGCTGCTAAGGCCTGGGGAATCAGTACTTTAAGATGGTCACCATGGACACCATGGACCTTTGTGCACCTGCCAGGATGCAGAAAAATAATAATGTCCTTGTTAACTATGAGAGGGACATCTGGGCATGGAGGGAAGGGATGGTCAGGAACAGGGCTAGAGTATTAATATTATGCGGTAGGTACCAGATACTGGATCATGGACTTCATATACACTATTTTGTTGTTTTAATGTCATAACTGTTAGTTTCATCCTTATGAATGAAGCTAAAGTTGTAATAGGTCAAGTAAATTGCTCAAGGTTTTAGACTTACCATATGGTGGAGCTGGGATTCAAACTTCTCCCTACTTTCAGGCTGTTTTTAGCAGCCTGTTTATACCAAGGTTAGCTACGTGTTTGGAACACTCCCTCCTGGGGGATGCCTTGTCATCAGAGGGCAGCTGACAGATCAGAAGATGCTATGGTGGATATGAGGATCCTTCCATCAGGCTGGTAAAAACTGGAAAAGTTGTCTCTGGTCTGAAGAGGTGTCTATTTTTATCAGACGCGTAGCCTGTCCCATGCACAATGTAGAATGATACTGTCAAAATCGCGTTTTTACAGTCCTTTTTCTAGAACTTTGTAGAGAGCATGACCCTTCTGTTACGACATCCTTTCTTTCTTGGACATATTAGAATATACTTGATTATGTTATAACATTCTTTGGTTAGTTTCAATTCCAATGATTCTAAGGTCACTTTTCCTAACTTTAGGAGTGTATTATCATGTTTTAAAAACATGTTAGTGCAAACTACAAACTCATTTATTCATCTAAATGTTTTGAGCACTTACTTTATTGAGGCTGACACTAGGTTCAGACTGGGAACAGGAAGATGGATAAGCTCATCTCTTCCCATGTGAGACAGATGCATAAACAAGTACAATGTTGTGTGCTAAATTGTCACGGTGTTTAAAGTGCTATACAGATAGCTACTCTCACTTGATTAGTTTTTCATTCATTTAAAAAAAAAAAAATCAAGCCAGGCATGGTGGCTCACATCTTTAACTCCAGCACTTTGGGAGGCCGAGATGGGTCAATCAACTGAGGTCAGGAATTAGAGACCAGCCTGACCAACATGACGAAACCCTGTCTCTACTAAAAATACAAAAACTAGCTAGGCGTGGTGGCACGTGCCTGTAATCCCAGCTACTGGGGAGGCTAGGGTGGGAGAATTGCTTGAACCCGGGAGGCAGAAGTTGCAGTGAGCTGAGAGTGGGCCACTGCACTCCAGCCTTGGTGACAGAGCAAGACTTCCTCTCAGGAAATAAAATAAAAATAAAAATAACAATAACTAAATCAATGAGTTCCTACTAATTGTGAGGCCCTATTTTAGGTACCAGGAAATCCAAGGGGAGTCTATTAAGGCAGACAGACAAAGAAATAGATAAATTATATGATACGAATGGGGGTAAATATAACAGATAAGGACAATTTTTGGTAGGTATTTACTATTGATTTTCGTAGAAGCAAATTATTTAGTACTTCCCCTGGAACAGAGCAAACACTGATAAATAAATGGTAGGCCATGTTGTTGTTAATATCACTATCATCACTACTGGAAAATAAATAGTTGGCCAATTAATTTGGATTTTTTTAATAAAACAAAATGTGGGCACTATTGTCATTGTTGCATTTTACAGAGGGAACCTGTAGACGATGTGATTGAGCGGCTCCACTGTACAATGATTTGCAGTAAAGATTCGAAATTTAAGCAGAGACACTCTAGCTCCCAACATCTCCCTCTAGCTGTGGGCCTCAGAACCCATAAGCTGGTCATTAGTCTGGCCCTCTCAGCCTCCACGCAAATTAATTCTGACTCTACCTCTAACCCCTAGGATCCAGTCCTTGAAAGATCTGACATTACCTTAGGACCTTCTCCCTCTCCTGTTCCCTACACTTAGTAAGTTGCCAGGCCCTAGGGGCCAGTGGTTCTCCCCTTTTACTGAAGGCTCCTGGCAAAATGCAGATTCTGATTTAGTAGGGATCTGGGTGGGGCTCTAGGTTCTACTTTTCTAACAAGTTCCCAGGTACTGCTGCTGGTCCCCAGGCCACGCTTTGAGTAGCAAGCCATAGATTACAGCTCCATAGTGTCTCTTTCAACTCTCTTCCTTTCTCTTGCTCCTGCTATCTCCAGCTCAGGCCATGCTTACTTCTCCTCTGGAGTCTAGACCAGGTTTCAGCCTCCTGAATGGTCTCCCTACCTGTAGCCTGTCTTTCTGCTCCATGCTACATGTGTCTGCTAAATTAATCTTTCTAAAGTATGACTTCCCCATGTTAATTCCTAGCTGAAACACCTTCAGTCACTCCTCACTGACTAGCAAACAGGACACAAATTTCTCCAACTGAAGTGAAGACCCTCTAAGATCTAGCCGTGGCATTTTCAATGGGAACTCTCAGGATTCCCATTGATTTATCCTGTTCTTTGTCTCCCTTGCCTCTTTGCTTAGGGAATTTGTGGACACCCTTCTTTCTCCTGACTCTTCTTCCTGCTTCCAGCTGTAGCCCTAATCTCCCCTTCCTTCAGCCCCCAAACCCTCTCCCTTCTTCAAGGTACAGGTACCCACTTTCCTAGCTGGGAATGATCTCTCCTGCCTTGAATCTGCCATGGCTCTTTGCCTAAATATGGTTATTTATGCTGATTTTTTATTTTTTGGTTTTCTTCTCTCTTTTTTTTTTGAGACAGGGTCTCACTCTATCACCCAGGCTGGAGTGCGGTGGTGCCGTCTTGACTCACAGGCAGCTTTTGAGCCTCCCGGGCTCAAGTGATCCTCCTGCCTCAGCCCCCCAAGCAGCTGGGACTACAGGCACTTGCCACCATGCCTGGCTGCTTTTTTTTGTATTTTTTTTTTTAGAGACAATGTTTCGTCATGTTGCCCAGGCTGTTCTCAAACTCCTGAGCTCAAGCGATCCGCCCACCTTGACCTCCCAAAGTGCTTGGATTACAGGTGTGAGCCATCACACCTGGCCATTTATGCAACTTTTATCTTCCCTTGTGGACTATAAGCTCCTTCATCTCTCTCAGCAAACCCCATAGCACCTCTGACGGTGTCTTGCTCCCAGCAAGCCCTCAATTAATTCATCCCAGGTGCCTGAAAGATTTATTTCCCAGTTCCTCTTAATGGATCTCTGTTCTATTTGCATTATACATGCATTATACATTATACACGTTCCTGTTTTGGATGTGTTTTAACATTATAAACCACCTCAAATCATTTTGGAAACTGGTGTGTTATAAATCATAAATAATCAGCTGAAGAGTAGACTCTCAGGAAATGTTTGTTAAATGAATAAATGGATGCTTTCTTCAAAGCTGAGTCGCTGTCTGTTCTTCCCACTTTCTCCTGCCTCGGGTCCTTCTGCTCATCTATTCCTCTGAGAGATCTTCCTGTAGCTCTTTAGAATCCTGTTCAACTCTAAAATGAGCTCTGTGTCCTCCAGGAACTTCCCCTTAGACTGAGCTGTTCTGTGGCACTCAGTGGCATTTGGTTTAACATTGTCCACTAAACTGTGAGCTTCTTCAGGTTGGGGCCATGTTCTCTGCATCTCTGCATCTTTCCTGTTGCCAGCACAGGGGTTCTCAATCCTAGCTCCACATCAAGGTTCTCTGTGCAGGTATTCAGGAGCTCAAAGCCTCATATTGTACATGAGGCCTACTGAATCAAGTGGTTCTCCAATTTGAGAGCCAGTGCATCGTTAGCACCTGCAGGGCTTGTGAAGACACAGATTGCTGGAATCCACCCCAAGGGAGTTTAGGTCCAAGAGTCTGCATGTGTAATACGTGACCAGATGATGGTGATGCTCGTCCAAAAACTACTCTTGGGGGACTGCTGTTCTGAGGGGTGACGCCCAGCCATTCTGTATTTATTTTTGTATATTTGTTTGTTTATTTATTTATTTATTTATTTTGAGACAGAATCTTGTTCCGTTGCCAGGCTGGAATGCTGTGGTGCAATCTTGGCTCACTGCAACCTTTCTTTCCCGGGCTCAAGAAATCCTCCCATCTCAGCTACCCAAGTAGCTGGTACTGCAGGCACATTGCCACCATGCTTGGCTAATTCTTTGTATTTTTTTCTTTTTTTAGAGATGGGGTTTCACCATGTTGCCTAGGCTGGTATCGAACTCCTGGGCTCAAGCAGTCCACTCACCTTGGCCTCCTAAAGTGCTGGGATTACAGGCATGAGCCACCATACCCGAACCCATTCTGCATTTAAAGAAAAAAAAAATCAGTGCTTCTCACATGCAGGCTGAGCATGACTGGTTTAGTGCATGGTAAGGGCTTGATACATATTTAACAGGTTAAATTATTTGCTCCATCTGTCTCAGTTCTACAGTCTCAAATAGATTATAAGTAACTTGTGATTAGAAACCAAGTCTTAAAGCACTGCTCTTACAAATCTCACTGGGCAGAACCCAGGGCTAGGCCCAGGGCTGGGCACGTAGTAGGCACCTGGTACATACCTAGTACATACCTTTGGACAAGTAATTGCCTTTCCTGTCCCTTTCCAGTGCTGCTGTCAAAGGAAGGCCAAGGAAATCTAATGCTGCCTGTTTCAATCAATAAATAGGAAGGCAAGTTTCTTGTCACCTTTTTTTTTTTTTTTTTGAGGCAGGGTCTCACTCTGTCACCCAGGCTGGAGTGCAGTGGTGTGATCTTGGCTCACTGCAACCTCCACCTCCTGGGTTCAAGCAATTCTCCTGCCTCAGCCTCCTGAGTAGCTGGGATTACAGGCATGCACCACCACGCCTGGCTAATTTTTGTATTTTTAGTAGAGATGGGGTTTTGCCAGGTTAGCCAGGCTGGTCTTGAACTCCTGACCTCAGGTGATCCGCCCACCTCAGCCTCCCAAAGTTCTGGGATTACAGGCTTGAGTCACTGCACCCCTCCCCCTTGTCAACTTCTTTGAAGAATTCATGCCTGAGATGTTTATAGAGGAAGAGGCTTCAAAAGGAAGAGAATGGAAATAGGACTAAGCTATTATACATCTTAGAAAACAAGTCAATCAGAGACTTGTCTCTAACTTGAGCCAATCCAAATAATTCTGCATAATTCAGCTCCTTTCCCAAGTTTCTCGTTGCATATCTGCTGCACTCTGATTTCCCCTTGAAATTAACTGCGTCCATGTGAGCCAGCATTTAGGAAATCATTAATAAGTGCAGTGAAGACATGCAGCAAAACATGCTTCTAAGCACTGTCCTTCTGAAAATGTCAGTATCTATCTTCTCAGGAAAAAGTTCAGGGTATAATTGGATTATTGAAATAAATTCTTTTACTTTCCTTTTTTTTTTTTTTTTTTTTTTTTTGAGACAGAGTCTCGCTCTGTTGCCCAGGCTGGAGTGCAGTGGTGCAATCTTGGCTCACTGCAACCTTTGCCTCCCGGGTTCAAGTGATTCTCCTGCTTCAGCCTCCCAAGTAGCTGAGACTACAGGGACGTGACACCATGACCGGCTAATTTTCGTATTTTTTAGTAGAGACAGGGTTTCACCATGTTGACCAGGCTGGCCTCAAACTCCTGACCTCCGGTGATCCTCCCGCCTCAGCCTCCCAAACTGCTGGGATTGCAGGCGTGGGCCACCGCACCCAGCCGGGATTATTGAAACAAATTCTTACCACCAGGGTCTGTTTTGTGGTTCTCCGAGCATTTAACAGCTTGTTACAAAAATAAAATTATCATCATCATCAGGCAGGAGGTCTTAAAAACAAACCAATGTGCTAGATGTAAACCAAAAAAATTGATACATTCCTCATTGTTCTTCCTTTTGGCTAGAAATTGAAAATAATTTTTTAAAGCAACAACTATTAATTGACTGAGAGGATTGGCAGAGAATTATGGAAAACACCTACTCATCCCTGCAGACTCAAGGTGCCACAGCCATCCTCCAAAAACCACCCTTCCTGTGTGCCCCCTGGGCCTCCCGCCACCTCACTGCCTTGTACGTGTCAGTTGCCCCTCCCTTATTCTGTTAAGTGTGAGATAATTATGCCAAGATTGAAATAGTAAGGCTAACATAAATTAAAACTGACACAGCACACCAATTTTATGCATTCCTTGACTCCAACCAGTAAGTGACAGGTTCTCATGTTCTCATTCAGATGCTGCCCACACTCATATGCTGCCTGGAGGGTACCCCAGGCTTGCCTGCCCACAGGAGACCTGAGAAGACACACTGTAGCCTCCTCACCCACCGCACCTGTTTCTTCCTCCTCCTTCCTGTCACATGCAGGCTTGCCCCATCGCCGGGCCAAGCGCAGCTCCGTCTTAGTAGCCTGCAAGCTCCCACGTGGACTAATTCCGTAATCTACTATGAGCACATTCTGGAAGGCTGATATTTACCTTCTCACTGAAAGTAACTGTTAAACTATTTCCGGGAGAGACTGGGTTTTTGCTGGGCTTTCCAAACACCATTTTAGGTATTTTTTAAATAACATACACACATCCAATTTTAAGCACAATGATTTCTTTAATGCTTTGACGGATCTTTGGCTTTTCTCACATTTTCGAAATGTCTTAGAACTAGGCCTACATAGCAACTACTTCATGAACTGCTTAAGGGAGGTCTGACTTATATTTGACTCCCAAGTGCCTAGCACAATCCCTGGCACATAGAAAGGGGTTCAGTGCATTAGACATAGAATAGCAATGGTCATAGATAATATTCACTGAACATTCTCTCTATGCCACACATCGAAGCCCTCGATGCAATTATATTATTCAATCTTAGTAATGACTACCTTGTGTGCTGTGTATCACTAGCACCACCCTTTGTAAATGAAAACAACCTGGGGCTCACAGGGGTGAAGAAACTTGCCCAAGTTCAACAGCCAGGAAGTGACAAATCAGATTTCAAACCCAGGTCTGTCTAGTTCCAAAGCCCCTGTGTTAAACTCAGCACAGCATAAGGACAACAGTTGAACTAACCCTGATTTTAGAGACTGTAAATAATCAGATAGTCTCCTGGCTTTGTGGTCTACTGCAAAACTAAAATAATACACCCAACAGCATGACAAGTGTGGGAAAACAACGAGCAGTGCCCTTTTAAAGGGGGAGACAGTGAGGCCCATAGAGGAGGGCAGGTCCACCCAGGGCTGCAAAGGCATCAGGCCAGAGCAGCACAGTCCCTGGAGTCCCCAAGACTGATTTCTAACATTGGAGGAGACTGGCACTCAAACCTTCCGCCGATCCTGAATTCGCCACCACTGTTCTAGCCATTAAACAGCCTTCTCCAGGAGAGAAGCATTTTATTAAGATTGCAGCATTCTATTATCTAGACGCATTGAGAGTTAGCTGGATAACTCATTAAAAAGGATTGCATCCACTGATTGATGGGATGGCAGACTATAATTGGAAGGGCACTTAGAGGCTGAGAGGCAGTACGTGACTTGCCTGAGATCCCAGTGCAGACCAGTGGCCAATATTAGAGCCCCAGCCTAACCGTGCAATAGGGGCACTTTGCATCTTCCTGCCCTGACAAAGGCTTGCTGGGTGTCGGAGTTTGAGTGAAGCAGTACAGAGTACTTTTCGGGTGGATTGAGTAATGTGTGTGAAAGCCTGGGAGAGCGAAACTGGGGGTTTTGTGCAGAAGAGAATGGGTTGGAAGCAGCAGGAAAAAAATAATGTAATAAAGAAATGGCTGTGGGGAAGGCAATGGGGCAGTACTGTGTTGGTTCCAAAATATCACTTAGAAGAAGAAAACGGCCCCCAACTCTCTCCCCAGTGCTGAAGGGCAATGGAACCACTTGCACTTAACATCCAAAGACCAGCGTCCCGGTCTCTGCTCCGTTACTTACACGCCGTGAACCCAGGCCGGTAACTCCACTTTGGGCCTTCACTACTTCTTTTTTTTTTTTTTTTTTTTTTTTGAGTTTCACTCTTTTGCCCAGGCTAGAGTGAAGTGGCGAGATCTTGGCTCACTGCCACCTCTGCCTCCTGCCCCACTCGGGGTTCAAGTGATTCTCCTGCCTCAGCCTCCGGAGTAGCTGGGATTATAGGCAACTACCACCATGCCCAGCTAATTTTGGGGGTTTTGTTGAGACAGGGTTTCGCTCTTGTTGCACAGGCTGAAGTGCAATGGCGCGATCTCGGCTCACTGCAACCTCTGCCTCCTGGGTTCAAGTGATTTGCCTGCCTCAGCCTCTGGAGTAGCTGGATTAGAGGCATGTGCCACCACGCCGGGGTAATTTTGTATTTTTAGTAGAGATGGGGTTTCTCCACATTGGCCAGGCAGATTTCGAATTCCTGACCTCAAGTGATCCACCCACCTCGACCTCCCAAAGTGCTGGGATTACAGGCATAAGCCACCACGCCACGCCCTCATTTCTTCTTTATTCATGATATAAAGAGGTTGCCCTGGGTGACTTCTAAGATATCCTGGTTCTGACACTCAAGTATTCTCCTGGACTGGGATGACTGAAGGTTACATCTGATGTCCTAAAACTACTCAGAATATTCCACCCTTCTGTGGCTACTCTGTGATGGTCACCTCTCCAAGTGCCTCTGAGTTTTGTTTTGGAATTCAGAGCCAGGTGATAAATTGGCCCCAAGCTTTTAACCTCTGGGATTCCTCTGTTTTCCTGGGAGTAAATGTATCCCTCAGTGTTTCTGTTCCTAATGCTGTTAAATGTTATTTTGGTCACAAGCCTCAGCCACTGAATAGAAATCTTAACCAAAATAATTGCTTAACAAAGTAAAAGGCAGAGTCCTGGAAAGAAAGTGTCCAAGCAGTGATTGGTATCCATGGAGGTTTTCCCTGCAGCCATGTGCACTGCTGCTGGGGAAGCTTAGCAAAGCTTTCTGGGAAGAAGAAGGAAGCACATTTGTGAGATTTTTATCTGTGGGATGGAGCAAAGCTGGGCATCTCCCCCTCACATTTCTCCACCTTTTTGTATAGCTGAAAGAAGAAAGCATTTCCCTACCACAGGTAAAGACTCGCAAATGACGCTTCCTTCTTCCAGCTGTACAAAATGGCAATGGGCTTTAATGCTTGGGACAAAAGACCCTCTCCCTCACTTCTTCCATCAGTTATCTATCACTACCAAAAAAATCCCCCCGACCACCACTTAATGGCGTAAAACAACAAACATTTATTATTTCACAGTTTCTATGAATCGGGAATTCAGAAGCAGCTTAGCTAGGCGGTCCTGGCTCAAGATCATGCCCGAGTTTGCAGCCAAGATTGGGCTACAGTCCTCTGAAGACTTGGTTGGGGCTAAAGGATCTGCTTCTGTTCTGGCCTGTATGCTCAGGCTGTCATAAAATGACACAGCCTGGGTGACTTAAATAACAGACATTTATTTTCTGGAAGCTAAAATTCATAAGCAAGGTGCTGACAAATTCAGTGTCAGGTGAGGTCTATCTTCCTGGCTTGTGGATGGTTGCCTTCTTGTTGTATCCTCACACGGCCTTTCCTCAGTGCCTGTGCGTGAGGGGAGAGAGAGTGAGCTCTCTGGTGTTTCTTCTCATAAGGACAGTAATCTTATTGGATCAGGGCCCCACCCATTTAACCTTAATTACTTCCTTAATGGCCCCATCTCCAAATATAGCCACATTGAGGGTTAGAACTTCAACATATGAATTTTTGGGGGGACATAAACACTCATTCTATCACAGTTCCTAAGATGGTATATTTACAGGTTTTGGTTGTTGGCAGGAAGCCTCAGTTCCTCCCCATGTGGGCCTCCCCTTGGGCTGCTTTGTCATTCTCATGCCATGGTACCTGGCTTCCCGCAGACAGCAATTCAAGATAGCAAAGGAGAAGCCATAATATGTTTTATGACTGAGTCTCGGAAGTCACACACTATCATTTCTGCAAAATCCTACTGGTTACAAAGCTCAGTCTTATTCAATATAGGGACTATACAAGGACATGAATACCAGGAGGCAAGAGTCCCTGAGGACCATCTTGGAGGCTGGCTATCACATCTCTGGATGAAAGGACATTATGGTATCAGAAAAAGAATGTATGTTTTGAAAACCAGTAGACCTGGAACTAAAATAAAATTCTAGCTCGACCTCTTGTAAGATGCAAAACTAACCCCTCTGAGCTGGTTTCTCCATCACTAAAATAATAATACCTTCCTCACACGATGGGCGTAAGTACCAAATGAGAGAACGAATTTACTGTGTCGCAACTAGCAATCATCTGGTAAACACTCTTTCCCTCCCCTGCCTTCCCTAGTCTCTCACCACCTCGCTGTTCCCACCTTCAGCACTTGCCCAGGCTTCAGCACTTCCCTTGTGCAATGGTAATACAAGTCAAGAATTCTAGAATGCCAGAGTCAGAAAGGTCTTCCGAGGCCAAGCATGGTGGCTCATGCCCATAATCTCAGCACTTTGGGAGGCCAAGGCAGGAGGACCCCTTCAGGCCAGGAGTTTGAGACCAGCCTGGTGAACATAGTAAGACCATATCTCTACAAAACAAATTTTAAAGTTAGCTGGGTATGGTGGCACATGCCTGTAGTCCCAGCTACTCAGGAGGCTAAGTCAGGACGATCACTTGAGCCCAGAAGATCGAGGCTGCAGTGAGCTGAGATCGTGTCACTGCACTACAACCTGGGCAACAGAATGAGACCCTGTCTCAAAAAACAAAGCGATTTCTGTATCATCTATTCTAACCACCTAACTAACTTTTTAACCACCAAGGCTCTTTCTATTATTTTCCTCCCAATGAGCCCCATATTTTGAAATAGTTCTGACCACCAAACAAATTACAGTAACTACATATTTCATTTCCCATTATATTCATCAAAAGGATGTATAACTGCCCATCAGAACATCTGATCAGCGAGTGAAAATCTGGGCCTTCACAATGGATTATAATCATTTCAGTGGAAAGTAAAGCAGTTATTATTTTAGGGACCCAGAAAAATGAGGGGGATTTATCCAAGGTCATTCAGATTAGCTGCTGATAAAACTAGGGCTCAATCCTGGACCTCCTGACTCCAAATCAGTGATCATCCCCTAGTCCTAAGTGGTCACCTTATTTATTTGACATGACATGCCGTGTCATGATATCTCTTATGTCATGATATCTGACATAAGAGATTTAAATCCCTTCTAGCCAAACAGTATAAAACTTCAGAATAAAATATCTACTTTTTCAAGGCCCTACTTGCATGACTAACACAAGTGGGCAAGCCCTCTGCACCCCTAAATGTGGCTCATCAACACCACAGAACAGGCCATTGCCTAGGTGGCCTCCATGCTGGGCTGTCTCCCCAGCCAATGTGCCTATAGGTTCTACAGCTATTTAGCAGAGCTATAGGATAGGGGGCAAGTTTTGCATGTTCAGGCTTTCTGGTCCATACCAGCTTCTCATTGACGAGTAAGAGTCAAGTCAGAGTAGGGTGCAAGGAAGTCATCCTTGAGCCTACCTGCATGGAGGAGGGGGTGAGAGAGGGCACGGTTTGGCATTGACTCCGTCTTGCCATGGAGAGCAAGAGCTGAGAAGTATGAGGGCTCCATACTCATCCTGGTGTGGGCCATCAACCTCATTTATTGGCTGGAAGGTCAGCATTATGATAGGTGTCCAATCCCAACACCTTCTATAAAAGGGAACAAAAAAGAACCAAAGGAAGAAAAGCCTAAGAATTAAAAGGGAGGCCAGGAGAGGTGGCTCACGCCTGTAATCCTAGCACTTTGGGAGGTTGAGGCAGGTGAATCGCTTGAGCTCAAGAGTTCGAGACCAGCCTGGCCAACATGGTGAAACCCCATCTCTTAAAAAAAAAAAAAAAAAAAAAGTGAGGCATGGTGGCATGCACCTGTAGTCCCAGCTACTAAGAAGGCTGAGGTGGGAGGATCACATGAACCCAGGAGGTCGAGGCTGGAGTGAGCTGAGATCGTGCCACTGCACTCCAGCCTGGGGGACAAAGTGAGACCCTATCTCAGAAAAAAATAAAATTAAAATTAAAAAGCATTAAAAGGGAATCCCTCCGGCCGTGCAATGGAAATAATTAGTGCCTATGAGTAAGTTAAGTGAGCCTGTTGTTTAAAAACCAATACTTCACAAAATGTGTATGCTCTTTATGTGTGTGTGTTTGGGGCAGTCCCTCCCTTTAGTTCATAGTAGAGTTCCTTTTGAATGCTGCCGCCCACCTTAGCTTTATTAAGGGGCACAAGGAAGGAGGATTTTGTCTTTTCCATACTTGGGCCAAAATTTTAGGTGGAAGAGGTAAATCTTTAGGGACAAATATGGTCACGGCAATAGGATGCAAAGGAGAGAAGCTGGCAAGAGAGAAAAGGAAATTCAGAGAACCAGATTAGATAAAAGTTTTCAGTTGAGCCCTCCGTCTTGGAGAGAAAATATCTGAAACTTGTATTTGCTCAAACGCTGGAAGCCATTCTATGCCTGGGGGAGAGGAGAAGAGTTCAGTGTTCCAGATGACTGGCAAGCTTGAATGTCAGCCTTGCTGCAACACAGACCCGGAAACCTTGGGAGTTCCATCGGCGTGGTCCAGAGAGATGCCGTAATGTCAATTACATTTAATGTCACTGCTCTGTACTCGCTCAGCCAGATGTGTTCCATGGCAAGAGATGTTGTTTCCTAAGGAAACCTTTAGGAAAAAAGAATAAACGTCCTCAATGAGCTTCCTCTGGGGGCAATTTGTATCCGCCAGTGGCTGAACCACTTTATCCAACATCCTTCTCTCCCTCCAGATATTACGCACACAACCTCTATGCTCAAGATCCTTCACCAGGCCCTCCTGAGTATGTTTGGGACATATATGATATAAATGGGAAAGGATACAGGGGGCAATGTGGACACAAAGGGAAAAAGTGGCAAGGTCCTTGGCAAATAATTACCTATATTGAGCTAAAATTACCTAAATCAAAAGTTACCTGTCCTTGAGGGGTGTATTTTTTCCCCTGGGGGTGCCAAAACAAAGTACCACAGACTGGGTGACGGAAACAACAGAAATGTATTTTCTCACAATTCTGGAAGCTGGAAGTCTGAGATCAAGTTTTTGGTAGGGTTGGTTTCCTCTAAGGCCTCTCTCCTTAGCTTTCATTTTATTTATTTTTTATTTATTTATTTATTTATTTATTTATTTATTTATTTATTTTGAGATGGAGTCTCACTCTGTCATCCAGGCTAGAGTGCAGTGGCACGATCTCGGCTCACTGCAACCTCTACCTCCCGGGTTCAAGTGATTCTCCTGCCTCAGCCTCCTGAGTAGCTGGGATTACAGGTGCCCACCAACATGCCCAGCTACATTTTTGTATTTTTAGTAGAGACGGGGTTTTACCATGTTGGCCAGGATGGTGTTGGTCTCTTGACCTCGTGATCCACCCATCTCAGCCTCCCAAAGTGCTGGGATTACAGGCATGAGCCACCGTGCCCGGCCACCACGAACACTTTTTAGCTGGGCAGTGAACATAGCAGTAATAATATATGTGTATAGCTCCTTATAATTATTAAGATTTTTCATCAACGATCTCATTTTCATCACTACAAATACTCAGTGAAAGCATCAGGGCATCACTGGAATCATTCCATAATGATTATTATAGGAAATTGAGGGGAAGAGAGTTTAAATTGCTTTACCAGCAGATTCGAGGGCTGCAATCAGAACTGTGCTATAGGCAAATTCATCTGACAGACTTGTGAAGAATGCTCTGGAGAGGGAAGAGGAAGGAGGCAGGGAGCTATTCAAGATTAGAACAGGAGTGAAGTGATAAAAGCTGGAATTAGGGGAGTGGTACTAGAACTAGAAAAATGCCTTAGAGGAAACCAGCCCTACCAACAACTTGATGTTGCCTTGGATAATAAACATGCTAAAAATGAACATGCTATGAAATAAGCAAAAAGGCCCCTGGAAGGGTAATGCATTTATTTGGTTCCTATCATACTTCATATCTCAGCAGGAATTAATTGATCAGATTCTTCCCTGCCTTTGCTAAGTAGGAACACGAAGAAGGTGCAGCTCTGTTCCCACATGTCTTTCACAGGCATTTAGTATATTACCCTGTAATCATGTATTCATATATTGTCTTTCCCACTAGAGTATGAGTTCCTCCGCTGGAAAAGTGGCAGTACAGCATTGTATTCATTTTTGTATACCTGATACACAGCAAAATGCTTCTGTAGTTAGACGCTTAATAAATACCTTTGGAATGAATGAATGAGTGGGCAGGTGAATGAGTGAACATAAATAGCAGAGGCTAAGACCTTAAGGACAAGTGCCAGTGGCTTAGAGCCATCAGGTAAATCTGTCCTGAAAGACATCTCTCTAAGATCCAGAAACTTAAAGCCAGGACCGAATACTAGGTCACTTCAGGTGACAGCCATTTCCATATGTGGACTTTATCATAGAGAACTGCCAGGGAAATGGCAAAGATGATCTGAAATAACTTGTTCCACAGAATAGGTTTCTAGGTAGAAACCAATGGTTCCCTCTCCATGGCCCTGCCCTGGTAGTGGTCCAGGGGTCCTTTCTTGTAAGCTCACAGACAGCACGCTGGTCCTCCTTCCTGCTGCCATTCTCACATCACTGCCTGGCACGTGGCAGGAGCCACCGAAACACCTGTTGAATGAACAAGTCTGGCAGTAACAGAAAAGTGGTGAGATAAGATGGAAAGACCCAGGCCAGGCACAGTGGCTCGCGCCTGTAATCCCAGCACTTTGGGAGGCCAAGGTGGGCAGATCACTTGAGGCCAGGAGTTCAAGACTAGCCTGGACAACATGGCAAAACCCCGTCTCTAATATGCTAGGAGTGGTGGCATGTGCCTGTAATCCCAGCTACTCGAGAGGCTGAGGTATGAGACTCACTTGAACCCAAAAGGCAGAGGTTGCAGTGAGCCGAGATCGTGCCCCTGCACTCCACCCTGAGCGACAGAGTGAGACTCCATCTCAAAACAAAACAAAAAAAGAAGTCATGACTTTCAGAATTTGTGGGAGAGTGGGATGGTATTCTACCTCCTATCCACTTTCTCCCCACACCTACCTTCCTTCCTTCCTTCCTTTCCTTCCTTCCTTCCTTCATTCCTTCCTTCCTTCCTTCCTTTCCTTCCTTCCTTCCTTCCTTTCCTTCCTTCCTTCCTTCCTTGCTTGTTTCTTTCCTTCCTTCCTTCCTTCCTTCCTTCCTTCCTTCCTTCCTTCCTTCCTTTCTTTCTTTCTTTCTTTCTTTCTTTCTTTCTTTCTTTCTTTCTTTCTTTCTTTCTTTCTTTCTTACCTTCCTTCCTTCTTTTGTTCATCTTTTTGGCTCTAATTTAACCTGCCCCTGTGTCAAACCCCCACACCTTTCTGACCATGGAAGATCTTCCTTGGAACTCCCAGTAACTACAATTCTCACCTCTTAGTCTATTGTTCTCAAGCCTATCTGTCTCACCTGTCACAGCCCTCTATGATCTAATCCCTGTGTGTGTGTGTGTGTGTGTGTGTGTGTTTAGTGTGTGTGTAGCATTTTTTTCCAACTACTTCTGACAATAACATCTCTCCTACTTTTACCTCCCTTCAGTTTTCCTTCTGAGAAACCTTTCAGAGTCTGGGCACAGTGTCTCATACCTGTAATCTCAGCACTTTGGGAGGCTGAGATGGGAGGATCACCTGAGGTCAGGAGTTCAAGACCAGCCTGGCCAACATAGTGAAACCCCATCTCTACCAAAAATACAAAAATTAGCCAGGCATGGTGGCGAGCGCCTGTAATCCCAGCTACTCAGGAGCCAGGAGAATCATTTAAACCCGGGAGCGGAGGTTGCAGTGAGGTGAGATTGCACCACTAAACTGCAGCCTGGATGACAGAGTGAGTCTCTGCCTAAAAAAAAAAAGAGAGAAAGAAACAAAGAAAGAAAGAAAGGAAGAAAGAAAGAAAGAAAGAAAACCTTTTGAGGACCTCTTTTCCCTTTGAGAACCTCTCTTCTCCCATTTCCCCACTTGTTCCCAGTTCCAGGGATGCACAAAGTTCTCAGGCCTAGCCAGTTACAGCACTCCATCCCTATGGTGGCAGGAACTGGTTTGGCAATGGACACAGAACTCAAGATTGACCAAACCCAGGCTTTTTACAACTAAATTGGTCAAAGTTAAGCCTGGAATTTATATTCTGGGGCCATTTTGCTCCCCTTGGGAAGAGCTCACCTGAAATGAAGTCAACTCCAAGATAAACAGAACCCAGAGATGGTGACTGGTATATTTCTGATGACATGATATGTATAAGCACCTGCATTTAACCATGCCTAAAGCCAGAAATCCCTGGATTTTCAGATATAAAAATGTATCAGTTTCCCAGGGCTGCTGCGGGAAATCACCACAACCTGGGTAGCCTCAAACAACAGAAATATATCCTGTCACAGTTCTGGAGGCCAGACATCTGAAATCAAGGTATAGCAGAGTGGTGTTTCCTCTGAAGGCTCTAGGGAAGAATTCTTTCCTGCCTCTTCCTAGATTCTGTAAACACTTTCTTAGCATGGCTCAGTGGGCTCTGCAGATGAACACGTGGCATGTAATTTACAGCCATCTCCTCTGGTGGTAATTTAGACACCCGCTTCCTGAAAATTCAGGGCCTTTGATATTTTGCCCACCCCTCACCACATCCCAGCCCATCTCTCCTTGCTTGAGCCCATGTTTTGACTAAACAGAAAACAGATTCTAATTCCTGTCTTGAGAAGCAATGAGTGAATGCTCCGTAAGGATATACCCATGACACGGTAGAGGTAGCATTTGATGTGCTCTTCTAAAAGAGGCAGATGTTTCTAGAAGCCGAGGCATTAGGCACACCCTAGACCTCAGTCTTTATGGAATATAACAGAGGCAGTAAGTTGGAGAAGAAGTCTTGCTCATATACATTTCTTAGCAATGACTAGAACCTGGGCCATGCACGCAATTGACTAGCTTCCCACTGTAAATGTTAGGCAGGTACAGATGAGGCTTCTAGGACATGAGGGCAGAAGTTTAGGGGGGTTGACATTCAGACTTGAAGTTCTTCAAGGGAGAATCTGTTCATCTCTTAGAAGGTCTGAAGTCTGGAGGTAAAGATTCCTACTGTCCAAGGAAAATCTTGGGCATCCAATACCCTTCCCATCTGCTAATCTAAGTCAAGAGAGGATCTGTGACTAGTATGAGACAGAAGAAAAATAGAACGGGAACCAACTTATTTTGTGGACATGTAAATTTAGGCTATTCCTGTTCATGGGGTTGGATTTTCTCCTCATTCTTTTGCCATAGGCAGGTACATTCTTGCATGCTAAGCTCTATGCTGCCACAACTGCGGACCACTGATGCTCTTCTCCCCTTCTTCTTCAGATTCCATCCAAATGCCCTTGTGCAGAATTCAGACAAATCTGTGACAGCAGGGCATAGTGAAAACAGCATAAGCTTTGAGGTCAGAAAGACCTGGACCAAATGCCAGCTTTGAAAGCCACTTAAAAGCCCTGCGGCCCTAAACATAACAGCTACACTTACGTAGCACTTAAAACACGCCACGTACTATTCTATGTGCCCTACACATGTTAACTTACTTAATTCTCACCACTAACTCATGAGGTTGTGTACTATTAGCATCCTATTTTATAGATGGGGGTGTTCAGGTATGGAAAGGTCAAGTAACTTGCATCTAGGTAAGCTGCAGAACGAAGATGTGAATTTACACAGTCTGGCTCCAAAGTCAGTGTCTAAGCCACGCACGGTGGCTCATGCCTATCATTCCAGCACTTTGGGAGGCCAAGGTGGGAGGGTCTCTTGAGGTCAGCAGTTCGAGGCTGCAGTGAGCCATGATCACACCACTGATCCAGCCTGGGCAACAGAACAAGACCCTGTCTCAAAAAAAAAAAAAAAAGTCAGTGTCTTTAACCACTAAGGCAAGTTTCATTACCTCCCTCCATTCATTTCTTCAACAACTGTTTCCTGAGTGCCTACTCTGTACCCAGCACTGCACAAGATGCTGAAGATGCAGTCAAGGACATGGTCCTGACCCTGCAGGCACTGACATTCTAGTGGGAGAGGCATCACAATACACAGTGTGGGTTGCAGGTGTGCTATGGGAATCCAGAGTAGGGGCAGTCAAGAAAGGCTCGCTGCTGGGCATGGTGGCTCACACCTGTAATCCTAGCACTTTGGGAGGCTGAGGCAGGAGGATCACTTCAGCCCACATGTTCAAGAGCAATCTGGGCAACACGGTGAGACCCCATCTGTAAAGAAAAAACTATCTTTTTAATTTTTTAAAAAAGAAAGGCTCATTGGAGGATGTGACCTCTGAGTCTTATGGGGCCAGTGAAAGGTAGACCATGGGGCCACAGGCAGGATAAAAGAGAAGGACAGGTTTTTCCAGGTGGAGAAAATAGTGAATGCAAAGATAATTGTGTGACGGTTCATGTGCAGAATAGAAGGCAACTCAGTGTAGCTGGAACAGAGCATGGCAATGGGACAGCTACACGAGATGAGGTTGGAGAGCCAAGCAAAGTCATATTTCCAAGGGTCTTTCTACCGTACTAAATTTGAAGTTGAACTTGAAAAAAAATGACATTTTTAGAAAACATAGTGAATACACTGGAAAATATGAAACTGAAGGCAAAGAGTCCATTTTACACAAAGATGTGAGAGTTTGCATTAAGCAGGTTAACAGGGATAGAGAAAGGTCAGAGTCAAAGGTATTCAGGAGCTCGAATATATAGAACCAGGGCTGGCTGAATGTGAAGCAAAGGAAGAGCGAGGGATCAAACATGCCTCGCTGGTTCTTGGTAAGTAGGGAGTAGCCCCATTCAATCCGATAAGTGATGCAGGAGGCACAGCGCTGAATTTGAGGTGCTTGTGAGACCTCCAAGGGAAGCCACCTTGTCTGGTTATACTGGTCTTTGAGGAGGAGGTCTGGTGGTAGATTTGGAAGTTGTTGGCATCTAGGTGTGCACAGGTCTGGGGGTGACAATGATACCAGGGGAACTGGGGAGGAGAGATGAAAGAGAGCTGAAGTCAGAACCAATGTTCACAACACACGCCCATGGAAAAAGAACCAATGGCAGGTAGCAGGAAGGAGGAAATTCTAGAGAAGAGGGTGTCATGCAGGCTGAGGCCAGAATTTTAAGAATGAGGATGTGTCACAGAGCTGAGGAGTGGGCCGACCTCTACTTGTAGGTGGGTCTGCACATCTAACTCCCCACCAAGACTGTGATCGAAGAGCAGAGTGGTGTCTGATGCATCTGTTTTCCCAAAACAGCAGGTGCTTAATATGTAAGGAATAAGGAAATAATAAGAGCCAATATTTATTGAGTGTGTACATGTGCCAAGCACTAGACACTTTGCATGGGTAATCTCATTCAGTTCTCACAACCATGGTATTAGGTGGATGCTGTTTATATATATACTCCCAAAATGCTGGGATTACAGACGCGAGCCACCACACTCAGTCCTGATAGCTGAATTTTAACAGGGAAGAAATCCTTTGAATGGCTAATCTGACAGAATTTTCAGCATCACTATTAGAACTGAGAAGAAATGATGCCTGGAGGTGTGCCAGCATCTTGGTTCTGCAGCTTACCTAGATGCAAGTTACTTGATCTTTCCATACCTGAACATCCCCATCTATAAAATAGGGATGCTAACAGCAGCCATGGTGCACACAGCTGGCCCTGCCCTACCCTGAGCCCCTGTGCAGCGTTAATGAGCAGCTGGGAGCTATCTGCGCAGGCCCAGACCCCGCCTGCTGGGGTTATGGGCCTTCCCCTCCAGGGAGGGCTATAGGTGGGAGCTGAAGAGCAGGAGGAGATAAGTAAAGTAGCAGATGGCGCTAATTTCCTAGTGCACTTATCAAGCTCACTAAGGCAGGGAAGTGCGGGACTATTCAGCCTTACACAGTGAGGAGCACAGCTCAGTCAGCACATTAAAACCAGCCGCAAGGCCGGGCACAGTGGCTCACGCCTATAATCCCAGCAGTTTGGGAGTCCAAGGCCAGCAGATCACTTGAGATCAGCAGCTCGATACCAGCCTGGCCAACATGGTGAAACTCCGTCTCTACTAAAAATAAAAAAAATTAGCCAGGCATAGTGGCGGGCACCTGTAGGCCCAGCTACTCGGGAAGCTGAGGCAGGAAAATAGCTTGAATCCGGGAGGCGGAGGTTGCATTGAGTCCAGATCGCGCCGCTGCACTCCAGCTTGGGCAACAGGGCAAGACTCCCGTCTCAAAAAAAAAAAAAAAAAAAAAAAAAAACAGCCGCAGAGCTGAACCCACTCATGGAGCACACGCTGACAAAGTCTGTGACGTGCAAGTAAAAGGAGTGTCCTCTTACTTCAGTTTCTGGTGACCCAGAACTAGACCTTGGGCAGTAGTTCTCAACCTGTGAGTCACAGAGGTTGGCACGAAAACAGACGAGAGCACAAAGTTAACCCTTTAATAGCACTCTAGAGCAATGCAGTCCAGTAGAAAATATAGAAATAGAAATAGAATGTGAGCCCCCATGGAATTTAAAATTTTCTAGTAGTCATGTCAAAAAGACCAAAGAGAAACAGGGGAAATTAATTTTAATATATTTTCATTTAACCCTAAATATATAAAATATTATTTCAACATATAATCAATGGAAAAATTACTAACAAGATTTTTTACACTCTTTTTATTATACTAAGTCTTTAAAATCTGGTGGGTGTTTTACATTCACTATGCATTTCAATTCCAGTTAGCCACATTTCAATTGCTCCATTGCCACATGTAGTGGCTGGTGCAGCACTCGAGCCTGTAAGTCTGAAAAACCGGGACAGCAGGAAAGTCAGGCCCCTGACACACAATCAGCCAGTGAAATCTGAGGAATGGGGTCGAAAGGGATCCACCAGCTTGTACCTGAGGTCCATATGCAATCAGCTGATAAATCTGCAAGATAGAAGATATCCCTGCACTTCAAAAACTCTGTCTACTGCTTTATATGACTTCTTTTCTGTCACAATGCTCACCTTCATGTCCATTTAGCCTCAGTTTACCAAAAAAAATCATTATCCCCGCTGGGAGTGGTGGCTCATGCCTGTAATCCCAGCACTTTGGGAGGCCAAGGTAGGAGGATCACCTGAGGTCGGGAGTTCGAGACCAGCCTGACCAACATGGAGAAACTTCGTCTCTACTAAAAATACAAAATTAGTGGGCATGGTGGCACATGCCTGTAATGCCAGCTACTCAGGAAGCTGAGACAGGAGAATCGCTTGAACCCAGGAGGCGGAGGTTGCAGTGAGCCGAGATTGCACCATTGCACTCTAGCCTGGGCAACAAGAGCGAAAGTCGGTCTCAAAAAAATATTATCCCCAAATATTTATTGAGAGTACAGCATGCCTGCACTGTGCTAGATATTGGATCCAGTAATGTATTCTGCATCTACAATGCATTGCAGATTACAAAGCCCTCAACACAAATCAAAGAAGTTGGTGTATCAATTATCTATTACTATGTAACAAATGGCTACAAATTTAGCAGCTTAAAACTACACACACTATTTCATCATCTCTGTGGGTTAGGAGTTCCAGCTATGGCTCAGCAGGATCCTCTGCTTAGAATCTCACAAGGCTGTCAGGTGCAGTGGCTCTTGCCTGTAATCCTAGCACTCTGGGAGACGGATCTGAGGCAGACGGATCACTTGAGGCCAAGAGTTTGAGACCAGCCTGTCCAACATGGTGAAACCCCATCTCTACTAAAAATACAAAACTTAGCCAAGAGTGGTGGTGCACACCTGTAGTCCCTGCTATTCAGGAGGCTGAGGTAGGAGGATCGCTTGGACCTGGGAGGTAGGGGTTGCAGTGAGCCAAGATTGCACCACTGTACTCCAGCCTGAGTAACAGAGTGAGACTCCATCTCAAAAAAAAAAAAAATCTCACAAGACTATAGTCAAGGTGTTGGCAAGGGCTGGGTCCTCATCTGGAGGCTCAGCTGGGGCTTGTCATGGACATGCAAGTCGTTGAAATGCAAGTTGTTGAAGCTGTTGAAATGTGAGCCTAAGATCAGGCAGCTTAATCTGTGAGGATGTGAGGACGTACTTCCACCCTCATCACTCACGTGATTGTTAGCAGTATTGAGTTCTTTGTGGTTGTAGGACAGAGAGTCAGCTCTCTGCTGGATTTTGATCAGAGGCCACCCACTGTTCCCTGTCTCATGCCCCCCCCGCCCCCCATAGGCGGTTCACATGGCAGCTAACTTCTTCAAGGCTGGCAGTACTTCTAATTCCAGTCTGCTGCAAGGTTGTTTTATACAATTTAACATAATCATGGAATTGACAGCCCATCACCTTGGCCATATTCTATTGGTTGAAAGCTCATAAATGTGCAAGACAGAAGATATCCCTGCACTTCAAAAAACCTGTGACTTGGTTGAAAGTGAGGGTCGGGGACAATGATTGGCAACAGTCACTCAGCTTGTAGGAGAAAAATTCATCACTAAGGTCCACGGATGCTGATTCCATGGCCAATGTCCCTTCTAACACAGAGTGACAGTGAAACGTGGCTCCTGCTCTCAGGCAGCTGGCTAAATAATTGGGGATGGCAGCTAGAAATAAGCTTACCCAGAACTCCACAGTGTCCCCACACATGTGAGAGACTTGGCCCAGGGAATAGGTTGTAAGGAACCTCCACTGGGTTCTTAAACTGTCCCTTCCTGGAGCTAGGCAGGAACATCAGAGATGAGACATGAGACTTTGGCCTGGCAAGAAGAAATCATGGGCTCATGTCTAGGAGTAGGACTGCCTGTTTTAAGAAACCTCATCGGCCGGGCGCGGTGGCTCACGCCTGTAGTCCCAGCACTTTGGGAGGCCGAGGTGGGTGGATCATGAGGTCAGGAGATCGAGACCATCCTGGCTAACAAGGTGAAACCCCGTCTCTACTAAAAATACAAAAAATTAGCCGGGCGCAGTGGCGGGCGCCTGTAGTCCCAGCTACTCGGGAGGCTGAGGCAGGAGAATGGCGTGAACCCGGGAAGCGGAGCTTGCAGTGAGCCGAGATTGCGCCACTGCAGTCCGCAGTCCGGCCTGGGCACAGAGCGAGACTCCGTCTCAAAAAAAAAAAAAAAAAGAAACCTCATCCAGCCAAGAACCTCATCCACAACTGTTCCTAGGAGATTTTGCACTGTAACTCCTAAGTTCCCCCTTCTCTCACTTAGGGCTTAACTGTAGGATGCTAAGGTCAAAGCCGCTTACTATAGGTTTCCCACTTTCTCTGCCAGGCACTGTGGAAACTGCCCTGATCTTAGGCTCATATTTCAACAGCTTCAACAACTTGCATTTCAACGACAAGTCCCTAGTGGTATATCGGAAAGCAGTGCCTGGACAATCGGATCTCCTAATGCCTCTGTTACCCCATCCCCAACATGTAGAATCAAGGTCAAACTTAAGGAATTTTGGCTAGATCAGCCAGGCGCAGTGACTTACGCCTGTAATGCCAGCACTTTGGGAGGCCGAGGCAGGAGGAATTGCTTGAGCTCAGAAGTTTGAAACCAACCTGGGCAACATGGCAAAACTCCATCTCTACAAAAAGTACAAAAATTAGTCAGGTATAGTGGCATGAACCTGTATTCCCAGCTACTCAGGAGGCTGAGACAGGAGGATCGCTTGACCCTGGGAGGTCGAGGGTCCAGTGGGCCGTGCTCACACCACTGTACTCCAGCCTGGGGGACAAAGTGAGACCCTGTCAAAAAAAAAAAAAAAAAAAGGCTGGGGGGATTTTGGTTAGCTCAATTTAATTCTCTCTGGCTCTACCAGAGATTGTAGCCCATCTGCTGGGGCCACAGTGGAGAGGAGAAATTTTGAGTGAAATTTTCTCATACAAAAGCGAAGGAGTTATAAAACGTTCACCATGTTTTGGGGGGCGAGATATGCACACTGCAAGTGATGAATGCAAGACAATATAAGCCACTTCATAAACATTATTAAAAATAATAAATTAATTAAGTTTATATCGTTAAGTAAAAAGTTACTATATACACTAAACACCTTAGCATTTCACAGACAGAAGAGCCCATTCTGAACCAGAATCAGGTAACTTGATTTGGGCTTAGGAAGAGACCTAGGTTTAGAGCAGTGGTTCTCAGGTGACGGCAATTTTGTTTCCCAGGAAACATTTGGCAATATCTGAAAACATTTTTGACTGTCACAGCACAAGGAAGGAGGAAGGGTTGTATTAGTCTATTTTGCATTGCTATCAAGGAATGCCTGGCCGGGCGCGGTGGCTCACACCTGTAATCCCAGCACTTTGGGAGGCCAAGGCGGGTGGATCACGAGGTCAGGAGATCGAGACCATCCTTGGTAACACGGTGAAACCCCGTCTCTACTAAAAATACAAAAAATTAGCCTGGCGTGGTGGCGGGTGCCTGTAGTCCCAGCTACTCGGGAGGCTGAGGCAGGAGAATGGTGTGAACCTGGGAGGCGGAGGTTGCAGTGAGCCGAGATCGTATCACTGCACTCCAGCCTGGGCGACAAAGTGAGACTTCGTCTCAAAAAAAAAAAAAAAAAAAAAAAAAAAAAGGAATGCCTGAGATTGGATAATGTACAAAGAAAAGAGGTTTGTTGGTTCATGGCTCTGCCGGCTGTACATGAAGCACAGTGCTAGGCATCTGCTTCTAATGAAGGCCTTGGGAAGCTTGCAATCATGGTGGAAGGCAAAGGGGAAGCCCATATATCACATGGCAAAAGAGGGAGCAAGAGGTGAGGGATGCCAGGCTCCTTTCAATAACTCACTCTCACATTAATTAACAGATGATCCAGAACTCACTACCAGAGGGGAGGAGCCAAGACATTCATGAGGGATCCACCCCCAAGACCCAAACATCTCCCACTAGCCCACCTCCAACATTAGAGGTCATATTTCAGCATGAGATTTGGAGGGGACCAAACATCTAAATCATATCGGGGGTATGGATAGGTGCAACTAGCATGTAGGGAATAGAGGCCACTGTACACTGGACGCTGTTATACATCCCACAATGCACGAAACCCTCCCACAGCAAGGAATTCCCTGGCCAGAAAAGTCGGTAGTGCTGAGGTTGAGGATCCCTGGCCTAGAGTTGGCAGAGAGAAAGAGAGGAAAGCTTTGGGCAAAGGTTGTGTGTGGGAGTGTGAGGGTTCGGGGGTAGAGGGGAGGTATAAGATGGAGGCAGGTGGAAGAACAATAGAAACACCAGGACACCCCCCCACATTGTCATCTGGAGGAAGATTCCCTCCACCAACTAATGATAACTTATCTTCTGACTTACTGATCTCCATTAGCAACAAATATAAGAATCCCTTTTACATTTCACCTTTCATTCCTGTTCACCTTTTATTCCTGCATGAAACAAGATCTAATAACCTTTCAGAGGTTTCTTCAGACCGCGACAAAATTACCTTTCACCCCTACTATACAACCAAAGATATTTTAGGTTTAATTTTTCTCCTCCTCCTACTAGTAACCCTAGTACTATTTTCACCTGACCTCCTGAGCGACCCAGATAACTACGCTTTAGCCAACCCCATCAACACCGCATCCCACATTAAGCCAGAGTGGTACTTCCTGTTTGCCTATGCAACTTTACGATCCATCCCTAACAAACTAGGAGGCGTACTGGCCCTTGTATTCTCCATTCTCATTCTAGCAGTTATTCCTGTACTTCACACGTCTAAACAACAAACCATAATATTCCAACCATTGAGTCAGTGCCTATTCTGAATCTTAATGGCCGAACTATTTACACTCACATGAATTGGGGGACAGCCCGTTGAATACCCTTTTATCGCCATCGGACAGACAGCATCTATTATGTACTTCTCTACCATCCATTTTATTTTATTTTATATTTTTTATTTTATTTTATTTTATTCTATTTTATTTTATTTTACTTTATTTCGAGACGGTGTCTCGCTCTGTTGCCCAGGCTGGAGTGCAGTAGCGCAATCTCGGCTCACTGCAACCTCCACCTGCCAGGTTCAAACAATTCTTCCGCCTCAGCCTCCCAAGTAGCTGGAACTACAGGCATGCGCCACCATGCCCAGCTAATTTTAGTAGAGACGAGGTTTCACCATGTTGGCCAGGCTGGTCTCTAACTCCTGACCTTGTGATCCACCTGCTTCAGCCTCCCAATGTGCTGGCATTACAGGCGTGAGCCACAGCGCCCGACCCTTCTACCATCCATTTTAGAATCTTAAAATGTTACCACTGAAGCTTAGAGATCCAGCCCAACTCCTTTGTATTGCAGATGTGGAAACTGAACCCTAAAAAGACAGAATTGATTGCTCAAGGCCACAGAGGTTTCTAAATAGCAGAACCAGCTGCAGAACGCAGGCCCCTAACTCACTGGCCAGTCCTGTTTCTTCTGTTTTATTTTTGACATCTAACAGCCCAGTAACCTTTTGAACATCTCACATTCAAACCTCTGAGCTACAGAATAGTTTTCAATTCAATAGGAATCTCAGGAGGTTCCTGTTGAGTTGAAAACTATTCTGTAGTTCAGAGGTTTGTAAAGCTTTTCTGCAAAGGACCGCAGAGTAAATATTTTAGGCTTTATAAGCCAGACGATTTCAGTCACAAATACTCAATGCTGCTGCTGTAGTGTGAAAGCCGCCATACACCATACATAAATGAATGGGTATAGCTGTGTTCCAGTAGAATTTATTTATAGACACGGAACTTAAATTTTATACAATGTATGTGTCAGAAAACAGTAACTTTTCTTTTAATTTTTTTCACCCATTTAAAAATGTTAGAAGAGTCCAGGCGCAGTGGCTCACGCCCTGTAATACCAGAACTTTGGGAGGCCATGGTGGGTGGATCACCTGAGGTCAGGAGTTCGAGGTCAGCCTGGCTAACACAGTGAAACCCCATCTCTACTAAAAATACAAAAAATTAGCTGGGTGTGGTGGTGCACACCTGTAATCCCAGCTACTTGGGAGGCTGAGACAGGAAAATTGCTTGAACCCGGGAGGCAGAGGTTGCAGTGAGCTGAGATCGTGCCATCGCACTCCAGCTTGGGTGACAGAGCAAGACTTCATCTCAAATAAATAAGTAAGAATTGTTCTTAGCTCCAGACCACACCAAATGGTGGCAGGGGAGGGGGAGGGGGGTGGGGGGCAGGTGGGAGCAGGGAGGATGTTACCAGATTTGGACTCTACATCAAAATTGCTGATATGCTGCTATCAGAAAGTAGATCTCTGTAACCAGCAGGAAAAAATTTTAAAAACCTCCAGAAAAGTGCAATAATTGCAAACAATACATACCATAAATACTGTTGTTGCTAAATGTAAGATAAAGTTTCATATTTCTATGTGTACACACACATACACATAAGCACCAGAGAAAGATCCAGAAGGATCTTCATAAAATTCGTAACAGGAATTACTTGGGGGAGGGGAGGAGGCTTGATGGGAATAGGTGAAGGAAGGCCTTGCAGTGTTTCCATGTGTTTTATAATGAGAATATATTTATGTCTTAGTCCTGTAACTTTTTAAAGTTTTAAATTTAAAAACAGTCCATGTGTATCTTATACTAGTTTAATGAATTTGCCTCACCCCTCACAAATCAACTTCATCCCTCCTTGCTGTCTCATCCGAGGGAATTAGGGACAGAGCTGGAGAAGCCCAGGACAGAGCTTCTGCCCCTGCTTAGCGAGTCGCCAGGAGGCAGCCCCGGGCCCTGAGGGTTTCCGGTCATTTTATGGTTTGGGGGAGGGAGGGGAGAAATGCTATTTCGTCAAATTAAAAAAAAAATAAAATTACTACTCTTTCTGCTGGGATACTGGTGGTCTAGTTAGAGGATCTGACTTTGGAAACCCCAAGGACAAAGGAGACGTAAAAAGCAGCCGCAGCCAGTCCCCTGGTGTCTGGGTCGCTGCTCTTGAAACCTCCAGCACATGTGGTTTCAATCACCGAGCCTGGCGCCTTCCGCCACTCAGAAGGCCAGCAGCTTCGGGGCGCCCAACTGACTTCTTTGTTTGCGAGGAGCTGGGCCTGGCAGGGTGGCCGCCTTCGAGAGAGGTTTTAGGCTCAGCCTTCCCCTTTCTATAAAATTCCGGAAATATCAGGGCAGCCCCAGGCGACAGGCTGCAGGCAGCCTGCAGCCTGCTCGGGGGAGCTCTCATCTCTGGGGACAGCCTAACCCTGAGACCTCTTGGCCAGCGCCGTCCAAAGCAAACAGTGAGCAGATGGTCCAAGCTCGGCCTCTGGTGAAACTGTTTATTCTTAGGAGATGGCCATCTCCCCTCTGGGACCCTGTCGGCTCCACCAGGCTTTGCTCCTCTTTCCCTTCCGCATCTCCTCCTTCCTCCTTCTAAACGCGAGTCCTCTGAATTTGATGCCATTTTTGAGCTTTAAGAAAGGTCTACCCCGTCTCTACTAAAAATACAAAAAATTAGCCGGGCGTGGTGGCGGGTGCCTGTAGTCCCAGCTACTCGGGAGGCTGAGGCAGGAGAATGGCGTGAACCCGGGAGGCGGAGCTTGCAGTGAGCCGAGATCGCGCCACTGCACTCCAGCCTGGGCGACAGAGCGAGACTCCATCTCAAAAAAAAAAAAAAAAAAAAAAAAGAAAAAGAAAAAAAGAGAAAGGTCTGCAAGGAAAAGTCAGCATTCTTTCCATTGTGGAAGGTTCATTTGGTTTCCTAGAGGAGAAGGGTTGAATGGAAACATACGGGGCTCGGGAAACTGGACATGGGAGGTTTACATACCCAGTTTGGAATGAGGACAAACCTTGTTTACCTATGTTGGCAGCCTGTCACATCTAAAACCAAATGCCATTAGCCAGCCCCATAAGTAAGATTCCATTTTTGGTAAATTACTAAAGTTATACTTTCAGAAAATCAAAGGTGACAGGGCGTCGTGGCTCACACCTGCAATCTCAACACTTGGGAGGCCGAGGCAGGTGGATCCTGTGAGCTCAGGAGTTCGAGACCAACCTGGCCAACATGGTAAAACCACCCTCTCTACTGAAAATGCAAAAACTAGCCAGGCAGGGTGGCATGTGCCTGTAATCCCAGCTACTTGGGAGGTTGAGGGAGGAGAATCGCTTGAACCTGGGAGGCGGAGATTACAGTGAGCCAAGATCGCGCCACTGCACTCCAGCCTGGGCGACAGAGCGAGACTCAGTCTCAAAAAAAAAAAAAAAAAAAAAAAAATTACTTAAAAGTAATAACCCAAGTTCCAGCCATGAAATATTACACTGGAGAGACCATAGACTTCCATCTTGGCCTAGAGCGGCCCTTAAAGCGCCAGGGAGAGGAGGGTGGGGTGGGGGGGGACAAGGAGGGCGGGGTGGGGGGGACCACCCTAGAACTGGCCACCGGCGGTATCATGGCAACCTGAACCCGGCTCCCCAAGAATATGAAAGTGAGGACGACTCTTACGAAGTGTTGGATTTAACTGAGTATGCGCGAAGACACCAGTGGTGGAATCCAGTGTTTGGCCACAGTTCGGGATCTATGGTGGAAAAATACGCAGTAGCTACCCAGATTGTAATGGGTGGTGTTCCTGGCTGGTTTGCAGGATTTTTGTTCCAGAAAGTTTGAAAACTTGCAGCAACTGCAGTAGGTGGTGACTTTCTTGCCGTCAGATTGCTAGTCATAGTGGCTACGTGCAGATTAACTGGAAGAGAGTTGAAAAAGATTCAAACAAAGCAAAAAGGCAGATGAAGAAACGAGCGAACAAAGCAGCACCGGAAATCAACAATTTAATTGAAGAAGCAATAGAATTTATCAAGCAGCACATTGTGATACCCGGTAGATTTGTGGGAGGCTTTTTGCTCGGACTTGCATCTTAAGGACGTGAATGTTCTCCCATAGTGGATTCAACTATGAGAAGAAAAGTGGCAGCAATAAGGGGTCTTTCAACAGTACATGCTGCCAGAGTCTGTAGGGCAAGGAGAAACAACTAGCTGGAAAATACTGAATTCACAGCTTAGCATTTTGCCACCCGAGGCTAGGCAAACTAGTATCTGCGACAATAGTATTCCTGAGCAAAACATGGCTCTCATCATTTTTGCAAAAATTTGGATCTGTTTAGAAATTAGCCTATAAAATATCACCATTGGATTTAGATATGCAGAGAAAAGAAATATGCTGGATTTATTGCCTAGTGAAATATTATTCTCTTTTTATGTAAATAAAATGTTCTTCATTGTGAAAAAAAATAGAAATACTACAGTGGAAATACAAACCTACAGGCAATCATCTTACCTTAACCCAATTCCTAGCCTGGACTCCTGAAATATCTATGACAGACACCTCATTCAGGACTTCGTTTTTCACTGTTCCCTCTTGGGACATTGTCAGTCCTTAGCTTTGACCATATATACATGTACATATGGTATACAGGCTCTATAAATCAGGGTCCCCTCCCCCCACCTTTTTTTTAACTTTTGAGAACACCACAAACACTGCAAAGATATTTGACAATTTTCTCAGGTTTTTTTTTTTTTTTTGAGACGGAGTCTTTTTCTATCACCCAGGCTAGAGTGCAATGGCATGGTCTTGGCTCACTGCAACCTCTGTCTCCCGGGTTCAAGCCATTCTCCTGCCTCAGCCTCACAAGTAACTGGGATTACAGGCGCCTGCCACCATGTCTGGCTAATTTTTGTATTTTTAGTAGAGACGGGGTTTCACCATGTTGGCCAGGTTAGTCTCGAACTCCTGACCTCAGGTGATCCACCTCCTTCAGCCTCCCAAAGTGCTGGGATTACAGGCATGAGCCACCACACCTGGCCTATTTTGTTGTTCTTGAAGTAAATAAGGAAAAAAATTTTCAAAACCAGTTAATTTGTTTATTGCTGCTCTTGGATTTATGACAGCTGGTATCCATGAAGCCAAACGCTGTCCTGACAGTGTGCTGGCACACTGACAAGCTCACGTGCTAGAGAGCAATTTTTTTTTTTTTGAGACGGAGTCTCACTCTGTTGCCCGGGCTGGAGTGCAGTGGCACAATCTCAGTTCACTGTAACCTCCACCTCCTGGGTTCAAGCGATTCTTGTGCCTCAGCCTCCTGAGTAGCTGGGACTACAAGCATGCACTACCATGCTGGGCTTTTATATTTTTAGTAGAAATGGGGTTTCACCATGTTGGTCAGGCTGGTCTCGAACTCCTGACCTCACGTGATCCCCCACCCCCGCCTCAGCCTCCAAAAGTGCTGGGATTACAGGTGTGAGCCACCGTGCCCAGTCTAGAGTGCAAATTTGAACATGAAATGCCCTTGCTTAAAAACCCCAATGGCTCCCCTTTGCCTAAGTACCAGGGACAAATTTTAATCTTCTTAGTATGCTATTGTGAAAGAAAAAATTAATCATAATACTTGTTAAAGATGGTAAGAAATATTCAAGGGGAGTGTAGGAGAAAGAAAAAATCTTTTCCTTCTACCCTTTTTGGTCCTTTGCTGGGGCTCTGTAACAAAAGACAGATTAATAAGAGAAAAGCATACTTTTTTTTTTTTTAAGACAGAGTCTCACTGTCGCCCAGGCTGGAGTGCAGTGGCGAGATCTCGGCTCACTGCAACCTCCCCCTCCCAGGTTCCAGTGATTCTCATGCCTCAGCCTCCCGAGTAGCTGGGATTACAGGTGTGTGCCACCACGCCTGGCGAATTTTTGTATTTTTAGTAGAGACAGGGTTTCACCGTGTTGGCCAGACTGGTCTTGAACTCCTGGCCTCAAGTGATCCGCCCACCTTGGCCTCCCAAAGTGCTGGGATTATAGACAGGAGCCACTGCCTACAAATTTATTTAATATAAGTCTTATGTGACATGAGAGCCTTCATAAGGAAAAGAAGCCCCAGAAAAATAGTTAGACATGTTTTTACTAGGTTTGATGAAGAGTAAAAAATCATGGGAAAAGGGTATGATCTAAGGGTAATAAGCTGGGGGAGACAGCAAGGCCTCCCCGCTCAGATTCGTCTCAGTGTTCCTGTCTTCACAGACAAGAACACTCCTTCCTCTGGGCATAAGGAGGTTGCCTCTCATATCAGGGGCTTATGACCTTCTTGAGGGGAAGGTCAGACAGTCCTTCCTGCACCTGCTCTTTCTCAGATTTCTTCGGCTTAAAATACTCAATATGCCAAGGTGTCATATTTTGGGGTAGGATGTTCTGAACCGCATCATAGTAGTGGCTACTACAATGGGGTTTTGTAGTATGGGCTAGAGATGGGGCTCAAATCTAGGGACAATAAGCGAAAGTGGAAGTTTATAGCCAAGAAACAAGGTAGGGGAATCAATGGATGCAAAATCACTAGGAAGTAGGGTAACTCTTTGCTAAACTGACTTAACAAGATTTCTGCTAAAAGGAAGCAAGGGTAAGAAGATGTTGACGGTGGTCAGACCGAGAGGAGGATTCCACTAAACTCTCTCAGTAGGATTCTTAATAAAACTGGAGTAAGCAGACCTAGACAGAGCCAAAGATTGGGCCTAGTCAAAAGGAGGACCCAGAGGAGCCTGACTAGGGCCCGGTCAAGGAGTCTGTGTTCATGTGAACTTCTGATTTTGCTCCATTACGCTTTTCCAGCCTCATTTCCAGTCATTAGAGCCTGTGGATTCTATACTGATGTCATTGCAAACTTCCCGTCTTTCCCTGAACATATCTCCAGGTCATCCCAACAATTCTAGAATTCCTTAGTGGGCAGTTATAATCTCAGAGGCCAGGCATAGTGACACACCCCTATAACCCCAGCCTTTGGGAGGCCGAGGCAGGCAGATCGCTTGAGGTCAGTAATTTGAGACCAGCCTGGCCAACATGGTGAAACCCTGCCTCTACCAAAAAATACAAAAATTAGCTGGGCATGGTGGTGCACGCCTACTTGCAAGGCTGAGGTGGGAGAATCACTTGAGCCTGGGAGGTGGAGGTTGCAGTGAGCGGAGATCACACCACTGGCCCTCCAGCCTGAGCCACAGAGTGAGACCCTGTCTCAAAAAAAAATAAATAAATAAAAATAAAATAAAAAACAGGGCCAGGCACAGTGTCTCACACCTGTAATCCCAGCACTTTGGGAGGCTGAGGTGGGTGAATCACTTGAGGTCAGGAGTTCCAGACTAGCCTGGCCAACATGGTGAAACTCCATCTCTACTAAAAATACAAAAATTAGCTGGGTGTGGTGGCAGGCGCCTGTAATCCCAGCTACTCAGAAGGCTGAGGCAGGAGAATCACTTGAACCCAAGAGGCGGAGGTTGCCGTGAGCCAAGATTGCACCACTGCACTCCAGCCTGAGCAACAGAGCAAGACTCTGTCTCAAAAATAAAACAAAATAAAATAAAATGAGAGAGACAAAAATAAGAGAAAAAAAAGGAAAAAGTTATCACCTCAGAGCACAGAGGAATAGAAAACATTGGGGAAACTGTGATTTAGGAAACAGCCATCTCCATGTGGGCCTTCCGAATAGCTTTCCGTATTTGACAGTTCCCCAAAGTAATCATTCCTTTGCTGAGTCCTTAATAGGGCAGCTGCCCACTCACCGGCCGTGTGCCCTGGCATGGGACTGAATCAGCCTGCAGGAAGTTAGGAATCATATCCTTCTGCAATTTGCTAAAAAGAAAAAAAATGCTATTTGTAGAGCAGAGGTTCTGCCTCAGCACTTGGTTCAGTTCTGCTCCTTCCTGAGAGGTTTCTTACACATAGACCCCCCCGCAAAGATTATTACTTTCCTTCACTTTTGTACTTCTTACTATAATAGCTAAGATAAATTTTATACAACGTGCTTTAAACAAGATTGCATTTAATCCTTATGAGAGCCATGTGAAAAGATGGCTCATTTTATAGATGATAAACGTAGGTTTAGAAAAATTAAGGATCTTGGTCAGGTGCAGTGGCTCACGCCTGTAATCCCAGCACTTTGGGAGGCTAAGGCAGGTGGATTGCCTGAGGTTAGGAGTTCGAAACCAGCCTGGCCAACATGGTGAAACCACGTCTCTACTAAAAATACAAAAATTAGCCGGACGTGGTGGCGCATACCTGTAATCCCAGCTACTCGGGAGGCTGAGGCAGGAGAATCACTCAAACCCGGGAGACAGGGGTTGCAGTGAACCGAGATCACACCATTGCACTCCAGCCTGGGCAACAAGAGCGAAACTCCATTTCAAAAAAAATAGAAAAGAAAAGAAAAAAGAAAGAAAGATAGATTAAGGTCAGAATCAGGACTCCAATGTGACCCAAACCCACTCAAGTAACCATCCTCCACACTGTGTTTTGAAACCCAGTATTTAAGAGTTTGGAAAAGGTTAGTTTTGGGCTTATTTTTGGTTATTGTTCATTTGTTTTGTTTTGCTTCTAATCTTAAATATATAAAATTAAAGTAAGAAGAGTTAGAAATTCCCTCCAAGAGTCAAAATATTTCTTTGTCAAAATATTCTTTCTATATTTTTTCTTTTTTTTCTGTATTTTTTTCTAATCTTTGTGGCTACCAGGAAATATTTCTCAATGGAATTGATGGAGCAAGAGAAATTTCTAGGCTCTTTATATTTGAGGGATGAGAAAAAGATCTAAAACTAAACAGTCATACTATTTGGGGGGAAAGAAAAATGATCACCTAAGTACTATTTTGGAATGACAGATATTATTTTTGAAATCCGGCTGGGCACGGTGGCTCACGCCTGTAATCCCAGCACTTTAAGAGCCCAAGGGGGGTGGATCACTTGAGGTCAGGAGTTCAAGACCAGCCTGGCCAACATGGTGAACCCCTGTCTCTACTAAAAATACAAAAATTAGCCAGGCATGGTGGTGCACACCTGTAATCCCAGCTACTTGGGAGGCTGAGGCAGGAGAATCATTTGAACCCGGGAGGCAGGGGTTGCAGTAAGCTGAGATAGCGCCACTGCACTCCAGCCTGGGTGACAGAGTGAGACTCCGTCTCAAAAAAAAAAAAAAAAAAAGGAAAAGAAAAAAACGATTCCATTTGGGGAAGGAAAACAAAGAACTTACCACACTTTTTGCTATGACGGTGTTTAGAAGCAGCTCTGAATGGAATTTTAGATTTGTGAACTATTTTCTGACTCCTGAACTACTTTTTTTTCCCCAACCCTTTTCCACAGCTCAACCCTCACCCTCCCAGAATGCCTGCTGTCCATTCCCTGGCATGTGCAGGAGGCAGGAACAATGCAGTTCCCAGTGGGTGCCTGCCAGTGAAGGTGGGCTTCTGTCCATCTGGGCGAGGACATCACTTAGGGGCCATCAGCTTGTGTCAAAGGAAGGGTGTTAAAATTTTTCTTCTCCCTCCTGACTTGCTTAAAAACCATCCAGACCATACCATTTTTCTTAATTTGCACTGGGTGGACGATAAATAATCTTTCTTCCTTTTTAATTTTGCCGAACCCTGCCCAGAAAGCAGGGCAAAGCCTTGATGGTCCTGGGGCCATTTCCCAGCACCTCCCAGGGAGCTCTACCAGACCACGGTGACTCTGAGTGACAATGATGGGAAGTGATCTTCATCCACGAAAGGGCCAGTTTGAGGCCTCTCGGGGCAGTTACATCCCTTGGACTCCCCTGTAAAGTTCCCAGAGTTTCAAATTTCTGAAAGATGAATACCATGCAGTGTTCTCCAGCCCCAACACTAATTTTCTTTACCTCCTTTTCCCTTGAATATTTTTACTCTTTCTCACCATCTGCATTCCTATGAAGAGAGGTTTCCACTCAATTCTGCTTTAACATGCTCTTTTCTGAGTGTGGGCAGAGTCTTCTCTGTGGCTTAGTGGTTTTGAATGCTAAACAGAGCAGGAGACAAAAGTTGATCCCTGGCTCTGTAACTTATATTTATTTCTCTAGTTTCTTACGTCTGGAGCCTCCAGGAAAAAAAAAAAGTGTGTTTTGATAAAAAGGAAGGAGTAGGTGGATTAGATGTGAAACACCGTTTCTGAAAGCAACAAGGTGTCAGAAGTCAGAAGGCCTGGGTTCCAGTCCCAACTTTGCCATTAACTTGCATCAGTGTGGCTTGTCATTTAGCTGCCTGATGTATAAGATAAAGTGGTCAAATGAGAAGTGGTACTGAACTATATCTATATATTATATAATATATAATATTATTTTATATAAATATAATATTTATATATATAAAATTTATATACTGAACTATATATCATATAATATATATTATATTATATAAATATAATATATATTATATACTATATAATTACAATATATATTATATAATTATATAATATATTCAATTATTTTTGAAATTGAATATTCAATTTTGAATTAGAATATATTTGAAATTTTTGAAATTAATTATATATAATCTATAATATATCATATGATATATTTTATATAATATATCATATGATATATATTTTATATAATATATCATATGATATATATTTTATATAATATATCATATGATATATATTTTATATAATATATCATATGATATATTTTATATATATGTATATTAAGACAGAGTTTCACTCATTGCCCAGGCTGGAGTGCAATGGTACAATCTCGGCTCACTGCAACCTCTGCCTCCCGGATTCAAGCAATTCTCCTGCCTCAGCCTCCTGAGTAGCTGGGATTACAGGCACCCACCACCACGCCAAACTAATTTTTTGTATTTTTGTGTCTTTGCTAGAGATGGGGTTTCACCATGTTGGCCAGCGTGGTCTCCAACCTGACCTCAGGTGATCCACCTGCCTCGACCTCCCAAAGTGCTGGGATTACAGGTATGAGCTACTGCTCCTGGCCCTGAACAACATTTAGAAGCACAAATTTTAAAGCAGACAGATCTTCAGTTTAACACCGGCTGTGCTAATTATTGGCTGTATTTCTGCAGTCAATTTCTTTGACTTCCCTAAGCCTCAGTTTCATCATCTATAAAATGGGAATAAAAATCATACCTATTGTATGGGGTTGTGTAAGGATTAAAAAAGATGCTGTTCACAGAGCTCTTAGCCAGTGTTCCATATAAGTAGCTATTAGTATAAAAGTTTCATAAAATTCTTCCCACCTCTATATATTTTAATATTCAATTTGAGAAAAAGGTCAAATTAGTTGTTTGACAGATACTGATGATTAAACTTTTAATTATTTTTCACTTTTTAACTTGCAGTCTTTTTCTTTTTTTTTGAGACATGGTCTCACCATGTTGCTCAGGCTAGAATGCAGTGACGTGATCATAGCTCACTGCAGCCTCTACCTCCTGGGCTCAAGCAAAAATCTCACATCAGCCTCCCAAGTAGCTGAGACTACAGGCTTGTGCCACCACATCTGGCTACTTTTTATTTTTGGTAGAGGCAAGATCTCGCTATGTTGCTCAGGCTGGTCTCAAACTCCTGGGCTCAAGCGATCCTCCCACCTCGGAATTACAGGCCTGAGCCACCATGCCAGGATTACAGGCCTGAGCTACCATGCTGGCATTACAGGCCTGGGCCACCATGCCAGGATTACAGGCCTGAGCCACCATGCCCGCCTTGTAGTCCTACTTTGTTTTTGTTTTTTTAAAGAAGTCCCCTTTCTTCCTGGTTGGCTGAGTTGTTTTTTTTTTTTCTTTTTTTAATCATGAATGGGTATTCAATTTGTTAAAGTCTTTTTCTTCATTCTTCATCTCCTGAAATGATACTGCTTTTCTCCTTCATCCTATAAATATGGGGAATTACTATGATTAATTGATTTTTTATTGTTAAACCAACCTTATATTCTGAGGATAAAACCTACTTGGTCTGATGTATTACCTTTTTTTTTTTTTTTTTTGAGACAGAGTCTCATTCTGTCACCAGGCTGGAGTGCAATGGTGCGATCTTGGCTTACTGCAACCTTTGCCTCCCTGGTTCAAGTGATTCTCCTGCCTCAGCCTCCTGAGTCTGGGATTACAGGCTTGCACCACCACGCCCGGCTAATTTTTTTGTATTTTCAGTAGAGACAGGGTTTTGCCATGTTGGCCAGGCTGGTGTCGAACTCCTAACCTCAGGTAATCCGCCCACCTTGGCCTCCCAAAGTGCTGGAATTACAGGCGTGAGCCACCGTGCCCGGCCACGTTACTCTTTATATCTACTACTTGGTTTGATTTTGTTAAGGGATGATTGCATGTAAGTTCATGAGTGGTACTGGTCTGTGATTTTCTTTTGTGTGTATGTCATATCTTTATCTGGGTTGTTGGGATTGGAGTAATGCTGATAAAATGAAAAGGAAGTGCTCCTTTTCTATTTTCTCAAAGAGTTTGGGTAGAATCACTATCATTTCTCCTCTCCGAAGGATTTAGTTCTGGCTTTTAAATGTGGAACAAACTGCCCCTTTTAGTCCTCCCTCCCTCCACGTAATAAGTCTTAATTACTAATATGGAAAATAAGTCATTATAAAAAGAGGTGGGCTGGGCGCTGTGGCTCACGCCTGTAATCCCAGTACTTTGGGAGGCCGAGGTGTGTGGATCACTTGAGGTTAGGAGTTCGAGACCAGTCTGGTCAACATGGTGAAACCCCGTCTCTACTAAAGATACAAAAATTAGCTGGGCATGATGGTACATACTTGTAATCCCAGCTACTCAGGAGGTTGAGGCAGGAGAATCACTTGAATCCAGGAGGCGCAGGTTGCAGCGAGCTGAGATCACGCCACTGCACTCCAGCCTGGGTGACAGAGAGAGACTCTGTCTCAAAAAAACAAGAAAGAAAAGAAAAAAAAAGAAATTATTTAAAGATGGAATTATATGTTCATAGTTTCCTGTACTTTTCCTTTATAGCATTTATCACATTTATACACTTAATTATATTTAACTTATCACATTTAATATAATTAAATTCTTATAATTATTTCTCTCATTACTATGAGTCTTTTTCATACAATTATAAGTGTCATGAGGGAAGAGACTAGTTCTGTTTTCTTTCTTTTTTTTTTTTAAGATGGAGTCTCGCACTCTCGCCCAGGCTGGAGTGCAGTAGCGCCATCCTGGTTCACTGCAAGCTCCGCCTCCCAGGTTCGTGCCATTCTCCTGCCTGAGTCTCCCAAGTAGCTGGGACTACAGGCGCCCACCACCACGCCTGGCTAATTTTTTGTATTTTTAGTAGAGACGGGGTTTCACCGTGTTTGCCAGGATGGTCTCGATCTTCTGACCTTGTGATCCACCCACCTCGGCCTCCCAAAGTGCTGGGATTACAGGCGTGAGCTACTGCACCCAGCCTAGTTCTGTTTTCTTATTACTGTCTTCATAAACTTAGCTCAAGAGTAGAAAGGCAGGAGACCAGGTGCAGTGGCTCACACCTTTAATCCTCACACACTGAAACGCTGAGGCTGGAGCATTCTTGAGTCCAGGAGTTCAAGACCAGCCTGAGCAACACACTGAGACTCCCGTCTCTACAAAAAATAGGACTGGTAAATAGTTGATTAATATATTGATAAATTAATTAATACATTACTTAATATTTTCAGATGAACTTCCCAGAGAATTTGCATGTCTCTCTGAAAACTTAATTAATTCGGCTTACATCCATTGAGGGCCTATTTGGTGACAAGCACTGTGTAAATACAAAGAAGAATTGAAAAGAATGGCCCTGCCTGGGGAATTTAACATGCAGTAGGAGAAAAGATGAGACACTATATAGGCATGACAAAATGTAAGATCTATTACAGAAGTGTCTACAGAGTATTATAGGAAAATGGATAAAAAAGAAATTCATGCTATTCAGGCGAAGCAATATATTCAGGCTGGCCCCTTGGAAGAGAGGAAAAGATTTTCTAAGCAGGGAGGGTGAGGCAATGAGCAGTGTGAGTAGCACATGGTGGGTGTGGCTAAGAAGTTGTCTTTGTTATACTCTAGCCCAGCACATTGTCCAGTGGGTGCTTCCTATGTGCTCCTGCTGTGCGAAGAGAGAGCAGAAAGCAAAGAGAGTGGGCTGGGCGCAGTGGCTCATGCCTGTAATCCAAGCACTTTGGGAGGCGGAGGCGGGCAGATCACATGAGGTCAGGAGTTTGAGACCAGCCTGGCCAACACGGTGAAACCCCGTCTCTACTAAAAATACAAAAAAATTAGCCAGGCGTGGTGGCACATGCCTGTAATCACAGCTACTTGGGAGGCTGAGGCAGGAGAATCACTTGAACCCGGGAGGCAGAGGTTGCAGTGAGCTGAGATCGTGCCACTGCACTCCAGGCTGGGCAACAGAGCAAGACTCTGTCTCAAAAAAAAGAAAGAAAGAAAAGAAAAGAAGAAAGAAAGGAGGGAGGGAGGGAGGGAGGAAGGGAGGGAGGGGAGGGGAGGGAAGGGGAGGGAAGGGAAGGGAAGGGAAGGGAAGGGAGGAAGAAGGGAGGAAGGAGGGAGGGAGGAGGGAGGGAGGAGGGAGGGAGGGAAGGGAGAGTGAGTGCTGGGGAACGTGGCCCCGGTCCACATCCTGAAGAACCTTGAGTGTTCATGCAGGAGTCTCCTCTTGATCTTGTAGGCAGTGGTAAGGCCACTCAAGATTAAGTAGGGCAGTGCTTTGCAAACTTCTCCATGAGTGCTTCTAAAGGCAGAGGAGTGTACATGCGGACCTTGGAGATTTGGGACATAGCCCAGAACAAATTGCATTTCTTTAAAGTCTTGCTTTAGCTTAAAAATGCATATAAGGCCAGGTGTGGTGGCTCTTGCTCTTAATCTCAGCACTGTAGGAGGCCGAGGCAGGCGGATTGCCTGAGCTCAGGAGTTCAAGACCCATCTAGGCAACATGGTGAAACCCTGTCTCTGCTAAAAATACAGAAAATTAGCTAGGCATGGTAGTGCACACCTATTGTCCCAGCTACTCAGGAGGCTAAGGTGGGAGGATCACTTGAGCTTAGGAGGCAAATGTTGCAGTGAACCGGGATCTCACCACTGCACTCCAGCCTGGGTGACAGAGCCAGACCCTGTCTCAAAAAAGAAATGCATTTAAATTTTGTATTCCACTCCATATGTATATATTTAAATACAGGGCAGTGTTTTCAATTACTTATTTAGTAAACTGACACTCCAAGAAAATATTGATTACATAATTATTTTAGAATGCTATATGTTTCTGTCTCACTGCCCAAGACCCTCAGGGATATGTACGCATTTCTGAGAAGGACAAAATAAGGAGAATATCCGTTTTGTTCACTGCTGTATGCCCAGCGCTGCAGATGGTGACTGACATATAGCAAGTGTTCAATAAGTATTTATTAAATGAATGAACGACATTAAATGACTGGTTATTCTAAAAAGTGATGTAAGCAGATGGTTGTTAGATTATTGCAGAGGCAAAATCCAGAGAAGTAGGATTTGGCCCTTCTAGTCTCTGCTGCCAGATAGTCCTGCATGCTGAATGAAATACATCCAACTACCTAATGATTTCAATTCACTCACCTGTGACACCACAGCCCACCAAAAATCTTGGATATTTAAGAGGGGTTTTGTGGGGTAGGGGTGAAATAGATCTCTGCTTGCCTCTGGATTAATCTCAAAGATTAGCAAACCAATCAACTGGGAAAACCGTAAGCTGTGCGTGGTAGTTCATGCCTGTAATCCCAACACTTTGGGAGGCCAAAGCAAGAGGATCACTTGAGGCCAGGAGTTCGAGACCAGCCTAGGGAACATAGCAAGACCCCCATCTCTACAAAAAAAGAAAGAAAAAGAAAATTATAGATAAAAGCGGACACTTGTTGTTAAACTAAAAATAACAACCAAAAAAATATAACAGGGCTGTTCTCTGTAGGCCAATTCCAATAATATTTACCTAGAAGTTTCCTTCTCCTAACTCTCCCATCAAATGAATCGCTCTCTCCTCACTGCTCCTTTTCTCTTTCCCTTGCAGTCTAACCCTGAGTAATGAGTTCATTCCCACCCAATCATCCAGAGCTCGTTCCTGCCTTTCTCCTTTGCATTTTCCCTCCATTTGTCTCTCATGTCTCATTTCCTGCACTGATTTTCATCATTTATGGGTCGCCATCTCCTCTGAGCTGCCACAGCATTAGAGGTAGTGTCAATTTTGTGCTGTCTTAAAGTATTTGCTAATTTTTTCACATGCCTTACAACTACACTGGATGCTACATGAGGACAGGAGTCAGGAATTGTGTATGGATTGTGTCTATTCTCACATTTTCCACAAAATCCCTGTACAATGCTGTACATAATACATGGTCTCATTGCGGGTTCCCTGATTGACACAGGAACTAATGGTGAAGGAAATCTGCCTGTGTGTACGCCGCACTTCCTCATGGGACTCGCCACCAATTTCTCATGTACAAAAACCTTGGCCAGGCACAGTGGGATTACCCCTGTAATCCCAGCACTTTGGGAGGCTGAGGTGGGCAGATCACTTGAGGCCAGCAGTTCAAGACCAGCCTAGCCAACATGGTGAAGCACTGTCTCTACAAAAATTCAAAAATTAGCCAGTGTGGTGGCACATGCCTGTAATCCCAGCTACTTGGGAGGCTGATCCACGAGAATGGCTTGAACCCGGGAGGTGGAGGCTGCAGTGAGCCAAGATCACACCACTGCACTCCAACCTGAGTGACAGAGCAAGACTCTGTCTTAAAAAAAAAAAAAAAAAAGGAAAGAAAGAAAGAAAGAAAAGAAAAAAATCTTCAGATCTCTGCTAGAATTCTGCAGAGTTCACGTGCCTGGAAGGGTCACAGCTGGGCAATATGATACGCCCAGAAAAGCTGATTCCTGGACTAGAAACCAGAGTGGCTTAGTGGCTTTTAAAGACCACAGAGAAAGCGAAAGATTTAAACAAATATTTTTCCTAAGAAGGCCTCGGTGTCTGGTAGGGTTTCCAAGCTGCAAACACAGCAAAAGGGATGAGGGTGCAAGAACGAGTTATTTTGAGCAGAGCAGGCCTTCGTTTCTATTGGACATGAAGGCTTCATCCTGAGCATTTGTGTACTTCTTTAATTTGTTCCGAAAGCCTTGATTCATTTCCCTTAGTCTGAACCAAAATAGCTTAAATACAACATGCCTGGTGAGTAGAAAGAAAGGAAGAAGGAAAGGAGGGAAGACAGGGAGGAAGAGAGGGGGAAAGTAAGAAAAACACAAGACATGAAAACAAAATCCCACACACGTTTTCTCTTTGGGTTTCATAGGTCAAAATTAGCAAAATGAGTGGCAATTTCCTCATTCCTGATGAAACTTGCTTTCACGTTTCTCTGCTACCTTTTTCCCAGATAAGGTTCTCGGGATAAGAGAGAGCCTATTGGGAAATAAAAGCTTTTTCTCCTTTTCTATCATGCTGAGCAGAGGGTGTCGCAACAGAAAAGCTTTCCAGTAGGAGTGTGGCCACCGTGTATCCCACATGAGCTTCCTGAGTACACGGACAAGCTGTTCTGTTTCCCGGAGGACTGTCCTATCTGTCCCAGGGTTAGAGAGCCAATATCACAGTCAGTATCGCAGTCGACAGACACAACCCTGCCAATGATGACTGTCTGTTGAACAGGGGAAGTGGGAGGATAAAAAGCCACAGATCTAATTAAATATTTTGTTGCTTTCAAAAATGGAGCAGAGTACCTGGCACAGTGGCTCACGCCTGTAATCCCAGTACTAGGAAAGCTTGAGAGGGTCTCTTGAACCCAAGAGTTCAAGACCAGCCTGGGCAACATAGCAAGACCCTATCTCTAAAAAAATTAAAAAATAAAAACGGAGCAGAGAAAATGTCTATAGTCTAGAAGACAGTACCTGCCCCCTAAATCACTTACGGATATTTTAGGTAATGTGGTAGATTGAACACATGTATTTTTCTCTGTTTCCTCCCCAAAACCCACTAAAATGAAAGTAAAGGGCCAGACACAGTGGTTCCCAATCCCAGCACTTTGGGAGGCCGTAGGCAGGCGGATTGCTTGAGTCCAGGAGTTCAAGACTAGCCTGGCAACATGGCAAAACCCCATCTCTACAAAAAATACAAAAATTAGCCGGACGCAAGGGCACGTGCCTGTAGTCAGTACCAGCTACTCAGGTGGCTGAAAATGGGGAAGGAAATAAAGGTGAAAGAGAAATGTCAACAAATGTTTGGCTGATGAAAGCAGGTGGAAGAGAGGTAACTGACTTACCAAAACACAGTGGCTGAAACCCCAGTGGTTATAAGCCAGTTTATTAAAAGGCTCAAGGACTGGAATCTGTATAGGTATACTCCTGACCCACTAAACCCACCCAGCTCAGAGAACATTGGCAGCCATTACCCACCTCCCACTGACAGATATGTGATTTTAAAATTTTTCTCTGGCCAGGTGAGGTGGCTCACACCTGTAATCCCAGCACTTTGGGAGGCCAAGGCAGGCAGATCACTTGAGGCCAGGAATTCCAGACCAGCCTGGCCAACATGGTGAAACCCCGTCTCTACTAAAAATACAAAAATTAGATGGGCCTGGTGGCACATGCCTGTAGTCCCAGATACTCAGGAGGCTGAGGCAGGAGAATTGCTTGAACCTGGGAGGTGGAGATTGCAGTGACCCGAGATTGTGCCACTGCACTCTAGCCTGGACGACAGAACGAGACACCATCTCAAAAACAAAACAAAACAAAACAAAACAAAAACAAGAATTTTTCTCTGGAGTAATTCAACAGCTTCAGAAAAAAGGCCTACAGACACTGACGTTGGGAATCCCACAATCAAACAGCCTACAAAGAAGCCCACTGTACAAGTCCTGCTCATTCTCAGCATATCCAAACAGCTTTTTTTTTTTTTTTTTTTTGAGACGGAGTCTCGCTCTGTCGCCCAGGCTGGAGTGCAGTGGCGGGATCTTGGCTCACTGCAAGCTTCACCTCCAGATTCATGTCATTCTCCTGCCTCAGCCTCCCAAGTAGCTGGGACTACAGGCTCCTGCCACACCATGCCCAGCTAATTTTTTGTAGTTTTAGTAGAGAGGGGGTTTCACCATGTTACCAAGGATGGTCTCGATCTCCTGACCTCGTGATCCTCCCACCTCGGCCTCCCAAAGTGCTGGGATTACAAGCGTGAGCCACCGCGCCCGGCCCCAAACAGCTTTTTAGTATCTCTGAATATAACATGAGACGTTTGAGAAAAGTAAGAGAAAAGCGAATAGAAACAAAGACTATGCAAGGAACCCTGTGATTAATATCCTGAGAGACATAATGGAAGACACTGTATCCATCAAACAAGAATAGGATAATAATAACAACAATAATAGCAAAATTTATTGAACATTTACTATGTTTCAGACATGTATTAAAACTAACTCGATTCTCATAACATGCTTTAATAATCATCATTTAATCATCAAATAATTGAATACAATTATTTCCTCCATTTTATAGACAAGAAAACTAAGAGAGGATAAAGAACTTGCCCAAGCTTGTAGAACTAGAAAATAATTTTTCTGGTATTTGAATTGCTGATTTTAACAATTATCTTATAATGCCATCCAAGAGATCTCTTGACAAACTCTTGGAACAACTCAACCAAACAACATGAGAGAAAAGATCTAAAAAAAAATAGAGGATCAATCCAGGAGGTCCAACATCTGAAAGATGGGTGTATGAAAAAGAAGGGAAAATGACATGAATTATTTGTATTTTTATTTAGTATTACTTTTATATTTTTGTGGAGATGGGGTCTCACTGTGTTGCCCAGGTTGGTCTCAATCTCCTGGGCTCAAGCAATCCTTACACCTTTGCCTCCCAAAGCACTGGGATTAGAGGCTTGAGTCACTGAACTCAGCAGAATTATTTTTAAATAGTACAACAACATTTCCTGACATTTAAATGAGTCTTTAGATTAAAAGGCACATCAAAATAAGTGAATGGGAAAAAGTCTTATACCAAAACCCATCATAGTAAAATTTTACAACTCCAGGAATAAAGATAAGACCCTATGCCAGGCGCGGTGGCTCACACCTGTAATTCCAGCAGTTTGGGAGGCCAGAGTGGGTGGATCACCTGAGGTCAGGAGTTCGAGACCAGCCTAGCCAACATGGTGAAACCTTGTCTCTAATAAAAATACAAAAATTAGCTGGGCTTGGTGGCGTGTGCCTCTAATCCCAACTACTGGGGAGGCTGAGACAGGAGAATCGCTTGAATCCAGGAGGCAGAGATTGCTGTGAGCAGACATTGCACCGCTGTACTCCAGTCTGAGCAACAAAGCCAGACTCAGTCTCAAAAAAAAAACAACAAAATAATGTGAGACATAAAATGCATATGAACTGGTAGGAGGAAAACTGAGGGTCACTGTGAGACAGACTTACTTTTCACTGTATACTATTTTGTTCTGTTTGAATGTTTACCATATGCTTACATTACGTTATTCGAAAAAGCTTTTTAAGGGATGCTAATAATTAATTAGATTTGTGAACTGCCCATCTTAGATATTAAAGTACTTGGGTGATTTCTTGTTCTTCGTTACCCCTGTAAGCACACCAGGTCTACAGGAAAGGCAGTCAGCCAGAACTGGTTTGATGCTCTGATGAAAACGCAAAGATCAGCCGGGCATGGTGAATAATGCCTGTAATCCCAGCACTTTGGGAGGCCGAGGCAGGCGGATCACCTGAGGTCGGGAGTTTGAGACCAGTCTGACCAACATGGAGAAACCCCCTCTCTACTAAAAATACAAAATTAGCTGGGTGTGGTGGCGCGTGCCTGTAATTCCAGCTACTCGGGAGGCTGAGGCAGGGGAATCGCTTGATCCCGGGAGGTGGAGGTTGTGGTGAGCCAAGATCATGCCATTGCACTCCAGCCTGGGCAACAAGAGTGAAACTCCATCTCAAAAAAAGAAAGAGAGAGAGAGAGAGAGAGAGAGAGAGAGAGAGAGAGGGAGAGGGAGAGAGAGAGAGAGAGAGAGAGAGAGAGAGAGAGAGAGAGAGAGAAAGAAAGAAAGAAAGAAAGAAAGAAAGAAAGAAAGAAAGAAAGAAAGAAAGAAAGAAAGAAAGAAAGAAAAGAAAAGAAAATGCAAAGATCACCTGGAAGACAATCCCCTGGCAAGACAAACTCAAGACTCATAGTTAGGTCATTTGAGTAAATACATGAGTGAATGAATGAGTACGTGAGTGTGAGGCAGCCATTTGAGTCATTTGGGTGTGAGGGAAGGACAGGAAGAAAGTAAAGTCAGGGGAAATGACTTGGCATTACAAATCCTCCCTTGCTGAGACGCGACATTTTCTGCTGGGATATAAACTGGGTGTCGGAGCCAAATTGCAATGCCAGGTCTATTCTTGCCACTTTAATGAGAAAAGTGGAAGTCTGGGTTAGTCCATTTATCTGCATACCATCATTTAGTTGCATACAGATCGAGGTCCAGGTTTTTAATTGCCCTGATCTGTCTCTGGCAGAAAAGAAGCTCCAATATTTTCTTTGTCAAGCATGAGCTAAGTTTGATTATAGTTCTGCTCACACATTTGATGTAAGAAGCAGATTAAAGTTTATTGCAGTCTTGGCTGGGCTTGGTGGCTTATGCCTGTAATCCCAGCACTTTGGGAGGCCAAGGCAGGAAGATCACCTGAGGTCAGGAGTTCGAGACTAGCCTGGCCAACATGTTGAAACCTTGTCTCTATTAAAAATACAAAAGAAAAATTAGCCAGGCATGGTGGTGCATGCCTATAATCCCAGCTACTTGGGAGGCTGAGACAGGAGAATCGCTTGAACTCCGGAGGCAGAGGTTGCAGTGAGCCAAGATTGTGCTACTGCACTCCAGCCTGGGCAACAGAGAGAGACTCCATCTCAAAAAAAGAAAAAAAAGTTTATTGCAGTCTTTGCGAACCTATACACTGGTTGTTTTAAAGCCACTTAAAAAGTGTATATTAAATGAATGGTATGATGCATATGGTCAGCTTTCCATGAACACATTCATAAGAATATATTCCAAAGATTTCTCCCCAGTGATCATAGGTGAGTAGCATCAGTGTCTTGGAGGAAGACCGCCACATTCTTTAGTGCTGTACACAAATGCCATAAAGAGAGTGAATTACTGCCTTTCATATTCTACCTGCCATACTCTTTGAAGATAATTCCTTTTTTCCTGCTAAGATCAGGATGGTACAGCTTTTGTAAAAATTGCCCTATGACAAATTACAGGAAAATTTATTATCAGGGTGGCACGCACAGCATTATAGTTTATTGTATTTATAGCGGATGAAAGGTCTCAGCCAGGCATGGTGGCTCACGCCTGTAATCCCAGTGCTTTGGGAGGCCAAGGCGAGTGGATCACCTGAGGTTAGGAGTTCGAGACCAGCCTGGCCAACATGGTGAAACCCCATCTCTACTAAAAATACAAAAATTAGCCAGGCATGGTGGCGAGTGCCTGTAATCCCAGCTACTTGGGAGGCTGAAGCAGGAGAATTGCTTGAACTCAGGAGGCAGAGGCTGCAGTGAGCTGAGATCGTACCACTGCACTCCAGCCTGGGCAGCAGGGCAACACTCTGGCTAAAAAATAATAATAAAAAATAAAAAATAAAAAATTTTTTAAAAAAGATAAAAGGTCTCAAGTCAAACTTAGTTGAAATTTTGGCTCTACCAATTATTATCTCTTAGATCTTAGCAAATAGGCCTTTCTAAGTCTCAGGTTTTACTCTGTAAAATGAGGCAAAATTTTGCTTTGTAGGATTGTTCTGATTAAATGAAATTATATATATACATATATATTTATATCCCTTAGTGCACAGTGACTGGTATATTATATGCATTTTACAATTTTCAGAGTATTATCAGATAATACTGTGAAATTAGTATTTCAGAGTATTCAGGGTGGCACCCGCCACCACTCCTGGCTAATTTTTGTATTTTTAGTAGAGATGGTGTTTCACCATGTTGGCCAGGCTGGTCTCGAACTCCTAACCTCAGGTGATCCACTCGCCTTGGCCTCCCAAAGTGCTGGGATTACAGGTGTGAGTTACCATGCCTGGCTGAGACCTTTTATCCTCTATAAATAATATAAACTATAACGTTGTTCATGCCACCCTGATAATATATTTTCCTGGAATTTGTCATAGGGAAATAACACTAAACTACAATTCTCACTTATTCTGCATAATAAAACTCAAAATATGTATGAAAAAGAATTGTGAAATCTGAAAAGTGCTTTGCAAACATAAAAGTGGTCATATCAAGCTTATTACATTTCTGTAAAACAGAAAGAAGAATTCATGTCATAACCTACTCTTACGAGATGTTGTGGTTGCCAAAAATCTAGTGAATTGTGAAAGCATTTTTAATTCTATAAGAAGACAATGATTGTTATTGTGAGTGGGGAGGCAGAGGACACATATGGATAATTTTTAAGGCTTTATTTATTTATTTATTTTTGAGATGGAGTTTCACTCTTATTGCCCAGGCTGGCATGCAGTGGTGTGATCTCGGCTCAATGTGACCTCCACCTCCTGGGTTCAAGCGATTCTCCTGCCTCAGTCTCCTGAGTAGCTGGGATTACAGGTGCCTGCCACCATGCCTGGCTAATTTTTTGTACTTTTAGTATACACAGGGTTTCATCATGTTGGCCAGGCTGCTCTCGAACTACTGATCTCAGGTGATCCGCCTGTCTCGGCATCCCAGAGTGCTGGGATTACAGGCGTGAGCCACCATGCCAGGCCTTTAAGGCTTTATTAAAGTGTGTGGTAGGCAGCCTTTAAGATTGCACCTAATGATTCCTGCCTCTTAATATTCCTCTCTTCTTGAGTGTGGGCTGGAATTATTGAATTGCTTATAACAAGTAGAATACGGCAGCAGAGATTAGACGTCTCCTCTGAGACGTCTCATCTTGTGCTCTTTTTTGCATCACCTACCCTGGGGGAAGCCAGCTGCCGTGTGGTGAGGCAGCCCTGTGGAGAGGTCCATATGGTGAGGATTGAAAGCTGCTAACAACCTCATGAGTGAGTTTAGAAGTAAATCTCCCTCCACCTCATGCGAGCCTTCAGATGAGACTACAACCCCATCCAACAGTTTGTATTTCATGAGAGACCCTGAGTCAGAGCCACCCAGCTAAGCCATGCTCAGATTCCTGACCCACAGAAACTATGAGATAACACGTTTATTGTTTCGAGCTGCTAAGTTCTGGGACAATTTGGTATGCAGCAATAGATAATATAAAATATAATATACATACAGAAGAACACAGCCATCATAAAGAGCTCAACAAATTTCGTGAAATGGTCACACCCAAGTAACAAGCACCCAAATCAAGAAATAGAACCGGCACCTTGGAAGGCCCCACCATGTTCCCTTATATTCACTACTGCTTACTCCAGGAGTAACCACTACCTAGACTTCTAACAGCACAGATTTTTTTTTTCTGTTTCTGTACCCTGGAATCATATAGAATGGAATCCTATAGAATGTACTCTTTTGTGTCTACTTGTTTCTGATCAGCATTACATTAATGACATGTAGTTTCTGAAAGCCTACTCTAAAATGCCATTGTTGAATCATAATATTTAATCTATTCCAAATAACAGTAAAGAAGACTGTGAGTTTATATATATGTAAAAAATGGGAGTCTAAGTAAAGAAAAATAAATTGAAAAACATTTCTAGGCCAGGTGCAGTGGCTCACACCTGTAATCCCAGCACTTTGAGAGCCTAGAAAAGAGGATCGCTTGAGCCCAGGAGTTGGAGACCAGCCTGGGCAACACAGCAAGACCTTGTCTCTACCAAAAAAAAAAAAATTTAAATTAGCCAGGTGTGCTGGTGCACACTTGTAGTTCCAGATGCTCAGGAGGCTGAGGCAGGAGGATCGCTTGAGCCTAGGAGATTCAGGCTGCAGTGAGCTATGATCACACCACTGCACTTCAGCCTGGGCAACAGAGCGAGACCCTGTCTCAATATATACTTTTTTGTAGATGACCAAGAGTAGAAAACATGAAGGTGAAAGCTTTAAGGGGAATCCAGAGCAAAAAATTTGTGTTAGCTACCTATACTGGGTAGCAGTCCAATATACTGTTCAGGGTATAGGTCTTAGAGTTAAATGGCTGGATTAGAATAGTGGCTCAATTCCTCGTAATCTGTGCGATCTTGGGCAAGTTAATCTTTCTGCATTTCAGTATCTGTCTGTAGAATGAAGATAATAGTGCTTACTTCACAAGATTATTGAGAAGATGAAGAAATGGAAATGAATATAAATCAAGTACCAATGCTTTGCACATAATAAGTCCTCAAAAATTACTATTATTAAGAAGTGTTACATTTGGGGGTTTTAAAAATTATAGGTTGCCAAATTTGTACTATCTGTGATTTTTATCATGTAGGACATGATTTTCCTGTGAGTAGAAAATGCAGGGCTGGGAGTGGTGTCTCACGCCTGTAATCCTTGCCCTTTGGAAGGCCAAGGAGGAAGAATTGCTTGAGCCTAGGAGTTCAAGACCAGCCTGGGCAACACAGTGAGACTCCCCCATCTCAAAAAAAAAAAAAGGAAGGAAGGAAGGGAGGGAGAGAGGGAGGGAGGGAGGGAGGGAGGGAAAGAAAATGCAGCTCCTTCAATTCTTTGTTTCATGGCTCTTCTGCCCCTCCTTAGGGAGAGTGAATGAGAGGAGCAGGGATGAAGTTCAAACCAGTCATCTTCTCTCTTCGTTATTAGCTTTGATAGGAAAGTGGAAGGGGCAGGATAAAACTAAAGGCTGAATTGAGGATTTGTCAGTGGATTTTAATTATCAACATAATCTCAATTCTTCCTGGCCATGGATCCCTAACAATCGATTATTTTCTTTTTCATAGTAAGTCTGTGTCTATTTTTAATTCCCGCCCCCTCTGCCTCTGTTCGAATCTCTCTGACGAAGGTAATAAAAGATTTAGATTTAGAAAGCGACTTCACATTTGGAACGAGACAGCGACTATAAATAGACATGTCAATGAAATAGGTTAGCATGAGATCTGGATCTCTGAGAGTCTCGGAATCAAAAGCATACATTCTTGCCTGATCTGTGTACTGGCACAGGCATTCTTGCCAGGGTGTTCAAGCAGTTGTGTGTGTGTGTTTCTGCATGTGTAAACATGAATACATGCATGGAACCATAAATAGCATATTATCAAGGACAGAATTCAGAGAGGTACCTGCTGTATTTCTGAATGGTGGAGTGATCTTTGTGGACCAGATTGTTATCCTTATCCTGACAATTATTACTGGAGAAATCAACACAAAACATTACTCCCAAATAGTCAACCCCCAGTCTGTAGAATAGCAGTGCAGCTTCCAGGCACAGTATGTTTTATTACTGACCATCCTCCTTCCCACCACCAGACTTTGAGAACCTATCAGGACGAAGGGTCCACAGTGATGTTCCGATCTGCCAAACGCAGAAGTCAGCTTGGCAACTGGTTTGCTAATCACTAAGGCTGCCATTCAGTCTGGAAGGTCATCGCCTGCCAGGTATAGCTGCTAAAATTCTAACGTACTCTTCAAGGTCTGGGATAAACATTTCTTTTACTATGAAGCCATCCCTGATCACATTAGTGATCTTCCTCCACTAAATTCCTAAAACAGTTTGACTCTTACACAATACTGACGATCGTACACTGCCTTGAACTGGGTGCCTGTTTTGTGTCTCTATTTGATTGTGATCTCTTGATACACAAAAGACAATGTCATTCATTTCTGTATCCCTGGCAGCACCTAGAATGGTAACAGGTGCTGCTCACATTTATTGAACAAATATGCACTCCAGGTTACTCACCTCTGGGTGCCAATTATTTTGTCAATGTACCTGCTAATTTGTGGTACCCACAACTGGAAGCATAAGGGGTGTTTAAGAAAATGTTGTAGCATCAGTATCCTTGAATATGTTATGATATACAATAATTAAAAATTGGGTACTGGGTGAGTGTGGTGGCTCACGCCTGTAATCCCAGTACTTTGGGAGGTCGAGGAGGGCAGATCACAAGGTCAGGAGATCGAGACCATCCTGCCTAACACGGTGAAACCCCGTCTCTACTAAAAATACAAAAAATTAGCAGGGCGTGGTGGCGGGCACCTGTAGTCCCAGCTATGCAGGAGGCTGAGGCAGGAGAATGGCGTGAACCCGGGAGGCGGAGCTTGCAGTGAGCCAAGATTGCGCCACTGCACTCCAGCCTGGGTGACAGAGCGAGACTTCGTCTCAAAAAAAAAAAAAAAAAAAAATGGGTACTAACAGACCTGTCAAGATCTTGGAACCGTTTTGCCGTGATTTCAGATCCCCAGTGACAATAAGAGAATGTAAATAACTTGATACATTTCAGCTGCCTAGTTTTAAATATGAAATTGGCCTGCAGATGGCCGAGCACAGCGGCTCACGCCTGCGATCCCAGCACTTTGGGAGGCCGAGGTGGGGGGGCTCACCTGAGGTCAGGAGTTCGGGACCAGCCTAACCAACATAGTGAAACCCCATCTCTACTGAAAACACAAAATTAGCCAAGCGTGGTAGCGGGCACCTGTAATCCCAGCTACTTGGGAGGCTGAGGCAGGAGAATCACTTCAACCCTGGAGGCGGAGGTTGCCGTGAGCCGAGATCACACCACTGCACTCCAGCCTGGGCGACAAGAGCAAAACTCCGTCTCAAAAAAAAAAAAAAAAGAAAAAGAAAAAGAAAGAAAGAAATTGGCCTGAAGGCAAGATAGTGACCAAATGACCTTCTGTGGGCCTGCCCAAGCTTGAGATTCTACATTACATATAGTCAGAGCATTCCAGGGTTTCGTAATTTACTGGCCTAGAACAAAAACTAAACTTTAAGCTTGAAAGAGCCTTCAGAGTTATTTTGCCAATTCCTTAATCTCCCTGAAGCCATTGGGGCAGACGTGTTCCGTTCCTCGTTGCCTTTTCTTATTAACTATCTAGAGGCCATAGTTGACCACATCTGATGAATTGATTTGTTTCATAATAAATTCCACAATTAAAATAAGTTTTTTTCCGAGCCAGGGGCATCACTTGAGACCCAGAGTTCAAGACCAACCTGGCCAACATGGTGAAATACCGTCTCTAAAAAAATAAATAAGTCTTTTTTGGTCTTAGACAAACAAAGTAAACATCTGCTTCAGTTGGAATAAGTTAAAACAGTGATCTTAAGTTATTAAAGTAGTGTACGTTTCTATTTCCTGGGAAAAGTTCCTCTCAAATGCCTAACCGTATTTTCTAAGATTTTCATTTTTTCCATGGGCCTTTGAACATTCAATGCACGTGGTTGGAAATTTAGCACATAACCACAAATGGCAGCAAAGTGCTTATAAGCTTAAATCCAAAGTAGTCTGTCATTCTTTGTCCATTAGAATCCTTGTTACTAAGAATAACTACCTTAAAGGTGAGGCCTGGCTAATCCTCCCTAAGTAAATTCTGCCCCCTTGTGGATTAAAAGAGCAACAGAAAGGAAAGAAATGCTGTAGTTGGATGGGCCAGTTCTTTTCAGTTCTTTGAAAAAGCGCTTCAACAATCTTGAAAAGTCCCTTCAACAATCTTGAAAAGTCATGTTAATAATGGAACAAAACTATGGCCGGGCATGGTGGCTCACACCTGTAATCCCAGCACTTTGGGAGGCTGCGGTGGGCCGATCACCTGAGGTCAGGAGTTCCATGCCAGCCAGGCCAACACGGTGAAACTCCGTCTCTACTAAAAACACAAAAATGAGCTGGGTGTGGTGGTGTGCATCTGTAATCCCAGCTACTTGGAAGGCTGAGGCACTTGAACCCAGGAGGCAGAAGTTGCAGTGAGCCCAGATCGTGCCACTGCACTCCAGCTGAGGCACACACACACAAAAACCACACACACAATGGCACAAAACTAGACCTTTTGTATAAATTGTGTAAGCGCTCACTGATGGTGACAAAATACACCGACAGTATTTTACACTTGTATTTTATATTTCGCATCACATTCAACTAAGACAGGGCCTTGAATATACTGAGCACTCATAATTATTAGTAGTTCATAGAATATTATAGTTAGAAAAGACATTAAATATTGGGTTTAACATCCACATATAAGGACCCCTTTACAGCTACTCACACACTCTCATTTGAATGACTCCAGTAATGGAAAACTCACTAAACAGTAGAGCTCTTTCTCTTATCAGACAGCGCTGTTACAGAGTCAGTCAACATATTAAGCCCAAATGGCATAAGCCCTTTCCTTCCTTTCCCTCAACTTCTCCCTTTTCCCTCACTCCTTTTCCCCATCTTTCTCCTCCTCTAAAACTAACCCACAGACTGGGAAGGAAGTAGATGCTCAATATCCGGCCCCCCTTGACTGACGCCCGCAGCTCAGGTTGTCACCTTGGTCTTTGTACCAACACCATTTTTTTTTCTTTGAGAAGTTTCGGTCTGTTGCTCAGGCTGGAGTGCCGTGTTGTGATCTTGGCTCGCTACAGCCTGCACTTCCTGAGTTCCAGCAATTCTCCTGTCTAAGCCTCCCTAGTAGCTGGGATTACAAGCAGGAGTTACCACACCTGGCTAATTTTTTTTTTTTTTTTCTGACGGAGTCTCGCTCTGTCACCCAGGCTGGTGTGCAGTGACACAATCAGGGCTCATGGCAACTTCCACCTCTCGGGTTCAAGCGATTCTCCCATCTCAGCCTCCCAAGTAGCTGGAATTACAAGTGCCTGCCAACACGGCCGGCTAATTTTTGTGTTTTTAGTAGAGACGGGGTTTCACCATGTTGGGCAGGCTGGTCTCGAACTCCTGACCTTGTGATCTGCCCACCTCAGCCCCCCAAAGTGCTGGGATTACAGGCGTGAGCCATCGCATGGGCAACACCACTTATTTCAAGGACTCCAGGAAGAAATATCCCCTTTGGAGGGATGGAAGGAAATAACTAGGCACCATAATGATTCCGTAATTCTGACCAAAGGAACAAAATGCAGTAAACCTATTACTTGTTTTGTGGCCTTTTAAATGATGGAAGGTAGCTACAATGCTGCCCCTTGGTCTTCCATCTTCATAATTTGTTCACCTATAACTGCATTAGCTGTTCCTCATATATTTTTCTCACCCTATCATTTGCCGGTCATGACTCCCCGAATGCCCCTTTTTGTCAATGTCCTTCCCAGTTTTCAGCATCTAAAACTGAACACAGTTGCTCTGGATATGCTAGGTTGGCTAGTATAAAGTACAATGGAGATGTTACTCGGTGTTTGGAACATCGAACCTCTATAAATGCGGCCACATCATACTGGTGGTCAATAAATCTCTTGGTTCCCCATGTCCTCCAGGTCTTTCCCACCCTGGACTTGTGTCTCACTGAAACTTTAACATTTGCTTCCATTCAATTTCTTCTTGCTTTGGGTCAGAATCCCAGCCAGCAGGATAACTATGTACCTCAGGTGTGTCCAACCAGATTAGCTCTGCTACCTAGCTCTGTGCCATCCACATTTACAAACATGATCTCTGTGTTTCCAATCTGCCGGTTTCAAGGAAAAGACAATCATCTTCGGTGTGGGGAAGGAAAAATAATAAAAACTAGTGATGGAATATCGGCAGTGTGGCCTTAGCTGTGTGGTCATCCTCAGTCTTCTCTTCTCTAAAAGAGTTGATAACATTGGCTCTCACGGGCTCAGATCGATAACAAATGATAACATTTGAGTCACGGGTTCACATGAGATCATGCAGTTGAATCAGTTAATTGTTCATTGTTAAATTAATATCAGGTGTCAACGATCCTCTTTTGAAGGATTTGAAGGAGTAGGAGAGACTATCATCACCTTTGTATTCTTAACACCATCCTTGCCTGATAGGTGAAAAGCTCAGTGCAGTTTTTTAATGTGGATAAACACTTGCAAAGTTCCTACTGAGACAGTTTTTCACAGAGGGGAAGGGAGGCAACTCAACCATTTTTTTTCTTTCTTTCTTTTTTTTTTTTTTTTTTTTTGAGACAGAGTTTCACTCTTGTTGCCCAGGCTGGAGTACAATGGCGTGATCTTGGCTCACTGCAACCTCCGCCTCCTGGGTTTAAGCGATTCTCCTGCCTCAGCCTCCCAAGTAGCTGGGATTATAGGCATGCGCCATCACAACCTGCTAATTTTGTATTTTTAGTAGAGACAGGGTTTCTCCTTCTCCATGCTAGTCAGGCTGGTCTCGAACTCCCGACCTCAGGTGATCCGCCCGCCTCAGCCTCCCAAAGTGCTGGGATTACAGGCATGAGCCACCGCGCCCAGCCAAGTTGATCATTTTTAATCAGTTTGTGTTTAATCTGAAAACTTCTCCAACTATCTTCCATCAGTGTCAGGTTCTCCCTTTTCCTCATTCTCCTCCCTCCCACTCTCCTCCTTTTTCCTTCTCCCATCCCCCACTTCCCTTCCTCTTCCTTTCCTTTCCCTCACCTTCTCCCTTTTCCCTCATTCCCTTTCCCCATCCTTCTCCTCCCCTAAAACCAACCCACAGGCTGGGAAGGAGGTAGAAGCTCAATATCCGGCCCCCCTGACTGAAGCCCAAAGCTCAGGCTGTCACCTGGGTCCTTGTATCCACACCCCTAATATTAAGGACTCTAGGAACAAATATCCTCCTTGGAGGGGTGGGAGGAGATAACTAGGCACTGTATTGACTCCCAGATGTCTGAAATTCCACTGATAACTTGCAAGCTTCATTCCTTTGGCTTTAGGCTTTAAACTGTTTAAGTACCAAATATATGTTTGTATTTAAAAAGACAGTAAAATGTCAGGGATTTAGCAGCTCATAGTAAATATGGTCTTCTTCTTCTGAAGACTCTCATAAAAGGAGTGGACTGGAGAGGTTCTGGGGTTGGGCTGGGTGTGGGATTGGGAAAGCAAATGGCAGAGGAACTTCACTAGTTCGTGACAAGGGAGGCTAGGGGGAGCTGATCGGAGAGGACAGGTGGTGCCATTAGCTTCCAGGTGCTCCCTCCGTCTAGAATTCTTTTCCCTCCCTCTGTGTGGTAAAAACATGCCTGTCTCTCCAGAACTACCTCCATCCTTACTCACTGCAGTCTTCCTTAATTGCTCGTCAGGAATGACCTTCTCTACAATATTATCAATTTTCTTAGGTGTGCTAAGATGGCTGTTGTTGTGAGGAATAACATGCTTATTTTTAGGAGATGTGCACTGCAACATTTAGACTTAGTGTCATGCCATCCACAACTTGATTTCAACTGGTACAACAAAAAAAAAATAGGAGAGAGCACACAAAAGCGAGCAAATATAGCCAAATGCTAACAGTGATGAAGCAAAATGACTTCCAAACTTTTCACAATCCTGGTTTGTCCATGTGGTATGTTTTCTGGTTTTCCCTGTCTTTCAAAATGCAACACGGTGGTGGCCCATGCCTGTGATCCCAGCACTTTCAGAGGCCGAGGCGGGAGGACTGCTTGAGCTCAGGAGCCTGAGGCCAGCCTGGGCAACATAGTGAAACCCTGTTTCTGAAAAAAAAAAAAAAAAAAATTTAGGTCAGGTGCGGTGGCTCGCACCTGTAATCCCAGCACTTTGGGAGGCTGAAGTGGGAGGATCACCTGAGGTCAGGACTTTGAGACCAGCCTGGCCAACACGGTGAAAGCCCATCTCTACTAAAAATACGAAAATTTGCCAGATGTGGTGGCATGCGCCTATAATCCCAGCTATTCACAAGGCTGAGGCAGGAGAATCGCTTGAACCCAGGAGGCCGAGGTTTCGGTGAGCTGAGATCACGCCACTGCACTCCAGCCTGGGTGACAGAGTGAGACTCCGTCTAAATTAAAAAAAAAAAATTTCATTAGCCAGGCATGGTGGTGAAAGCCTATAGTCCCAGCTACTTGGGAGGCTGAGGTGGGAGGATCACTTGAGCCCAGGGAGTTCAGGCTGCAGTGAGTTATGATTGTGCCACTGCACTCCAGCCTGGCAGAAAGAGCATCTGAGACCCTGTCTCAAAAAAAAAAAATGCAGCAAGTACAATTATTATTATTATTATTTTTTTTTTTTTTTGAGACGGAGTCTCGCTCTGTCGCCCAGGCTGGAGTGCAGTGGCTCAATCCGGCTCACTGCAAGCTCCGCCTCCCGGGTTCACACCATTCTCCTGCCTCAGCCTCCCGAGTAGCTGGGACTACAGGCGCCCACCACCTCGCCGGGCTAATTTTTTGTATTTTTAGTAGAGACGGGGTTTCACTGTGTTAGCCAGGATGGTCTCGATCTCCTGACCTCGTGATCCGCCCACCTCGACCTCCCAACGTGCTGGGATTACAGGCGTGAGCCACTGCACCCAGCCACAAGTACAATTATTAATAGTAGTTGCCATTTGCTGAGTGTGTGCTACATACCATGCGCCAGTGCTAGACACTTTCATGCATCATATGTAATGCTTACAATAACTTCCAAAGTTGATGTTTTTATTTTCCTTTTACGGAAAAGTAAACAACTTGGAGCAATCAGGGAATTAATTGGTCTTACAGCCACTACTCAAGTCCAGACCTCTCAGACTCCAAAGCTCATCCTCTTTCTATTGCATCATGCTGTGTCTTGAACTGCATACAGTGTTCCATAAACAATCTGGAAGGCAGGCACGTGCGCGCGCGCGCGCGCACACACACACACACACACACACACACACACACACACACACACCTCCTACAGAATTATATATGTAGCTGGGGTGAAGGGAAAACTTCCCGTCTGCCCGCTGAAGGTTCATTGAAAAGCACTGACAAGAGGCAGATTAATAGGAGAAAAGGCATACAAATTTAATAAACTGTTCAAGAGTGTCCAATCTTTTTGCTTCCCTGAGCCACACTGGAAGAAGAAGAATTATCTTGGGCCACACATAAAATACACTAACAACAGCTGATGAGCTAAAAAAAAAAATAGAATAAAATCACAATAAAATCTCATAATAGCAGGGCATGGTGGCTCACAGCTGTAATTCCAGCACTTCAGAAGTCTGAGGTGGGTGGATCACTGAGGTCAGGAGTTCGAGACCAGCCTGGCCAACATGGTGAAACCCCGTCTCTACTAAAAATACAAAAATTAGCCAGGCGTGGTGGCGTGGGCCTGTAATCCCAGCTACTCGGGAGGCTGAGGCACAAGAATCGCTGGAACCCGGGAGGCGGAGGTTGCAGTGAGCTGAGATTGCGCTACTGTACTCCAGCCTGGGTGACAGAGCAAGATTGTCTCAAAAAAAAAAAAACAAAAAACAAACAAACAAAAACCACAGTTCCTCCTGCCCATCTCTTTGAAGGGGGTCTTAAGGTTCAGGAGAATCTATGAGAAAATGTAAATACGGCTTGGCACAGTGGCTCACACCTATAATCCCAGCACTTTGGGAGTCCAAGATAGGCAGATCACCTGAGGTCAGGAGTTTGAGACAAACCTGACAAACGTGGCAAAACCCTGTCTCTACTAAAAATACAAAATTAACCAGGTGTGGTGGCGCATGCCTGTAATCCCAGCTATTCACGTGGCTGAGGCAGGAGAATCGCTTGAACCCAGGAGGCGGAGGTTGTGGTGAGCCAAGATTGTGCCACTGCACTCCAGCCTGGGCGACAGAGCAAGACTCCATCTCAAAAAAAAAGAAAGAAAGAAAAGAAGAAAGAAAGAGAGAGAGAGGAAGGAAGGAAGGAAGGAAGGGAGGGAGGGAGGGAGGGAGGGAGGGAGGGAAGGGAAGGAAATAAATGTAAATACCTTTTAGAGGATAAAACTTTAAACTACTCTTAATTGAGTGTAGGCAGCAGTCATGTGAGAAAAAGTCCCTTCTAGCAGAGATGAGCAGGGGAAGAGAACTAACATTTTAATGGGAGACTCCTATGTGCTTTCACAATGCTAGCTGCTTTCCTCAGTGTCTTCTTTAATTCCCATTTTGCGGATGGAAACACTAAGGCTCAGAAGGTAATTTTCTCAAGCTCCCAGAGGTCCTTTGATAAGTGCCTGAGGTGCATGCAAAAGCTCCCACTTAGGGAGAGCTTGCGGCTTCCCTGAAGGCATTCTGCCTGTGCCTAAGGAGGCAGTCCTTACCACTGCCACCACTCAGCACCTCTTCCCATAGGTAAATGCTGCAACAGAATCCTAGCAGAGACTATTCCCTTACTTGCAATTCTGCCACTAATTAGTTTTGTGACGTGACATCTCAATTCTCTGGGGTGCAATCTCCTCATAAGTTAAACTGATGATCTCTAAAGTCTTTCCTAACAAAGATGAATCTTCCAGTGCCCACGCAATCCAAGGCTAGCCACAGGATGGTCAGACTGCCCCTTTCCTCTCACCCATCAGATGGCAGACAAGCTCAGCAGCCCCCATGAGCACTGCTAAGCCTTGGAGTTAAAGACAGAGGCCGGACGCGGTGGCTCACACCTGTAATCCCAGCACTTTGGGAGGCTGAGGCGGGTGGATCATAAGGGGTCAGGAATTCGAGACGAGCCTGGCCAACATGGTGAAACCCCGTCTCTACTAAAGATACAAAAAATTAGCTGAGCATGGTGGCGCCTGCCTGTAATCCCAGCTACTTGAAAGGCTGAGGCAGGAGAATCGTTTGAACCTGGGAGGCGGAGGTTACAGCGAGCTGAGATGACGCCATTGCATTCCAGCCTGAGCAACAGGGCGAGACTCCGTCTGGGGAAAAAAAAAATAGAACCCAGGACCGGGCGCGGTGGCTCATGCCTGTAATCCTAGACTTTGGGAGGCTGAGGCGGGCAGATCACTTGAGGCCAGGAGTTTGAGACCAGCCTGGTCAACATGGAGAAACCCCATCTCTACTAAAAAAAATAGCTCGGTGGGTGGTGCAACCCTGTAATCCCAGTTACTCATGAACCCGAGATCACAGCACTGCACTCCAGCCTGGGCTACAGAGGGAGAATCTGGATTAAAAAAAAAAAAAAAAAAAAAAAAAGCCAGGCATGGTGGCTCAGGCCTGTAATCCCAGCACTTTGGGAGGCCGAGGCGGGCTGATCACCTGAGGTCAGGAGTTTGAAACCAGCTTGGCCAACGCAGTGAAATCCCGTCTCTACTAAAAATACAAAAATTAGCCAGGCATGGTGGTGCATGCCTGTAATCCCCGCTACTCAGGAGGCTGAGGCACAACAATCACTTTAACCTGGGAGGCAGAGGTTGCAGTGAGCCGAGATTGCGCGACTGCACTCTAGCCTGGGCAACAGAGTGACACTCTGTCTCAAAAAAAAAAAAAAAGAGACAGAACCCAGGCCCCTCTCTGCTTAGGTGGGTTTAAAAAAGAAAAGAAAAAAAAGTACAGAAGACCCTTTGAGCAATGTAAAAAAATGTAAAAGCTTTAATGTAAAAAAAAAGAAAGAAAGAAAGAAAAAAAAAGGGACAGAAGGAGAAGGACCTTAGAAATCTGTAGAAATCTCAGTGGCCTCCTGGAGTCTAACGAACTGAAGTTCAAGGAAGACTAGAAGTGTATGCGCCCTGATCTCATGGCTCCCTGCCTTGATGAAGCCATTTGTATTCACAGAGGGGCTCCTCCCTGCACTGCTGTATTTAATTCTGGATATGGTATAAATAGGACTTGGCTGACTGTCAAAGCACACCACCCGCCACAATGTTCCAGTTTTTTGGGGACATCAGACGAATCTGAGCCTTTGATTCCCTCTAGTGGCTTAAATTGGCAACTTTCATAGCTGGCTCTTGGCATTTGTTATTGAATGTTTAAGTATCTATTGTATGCACTAAATTGGTGCTGGGTTCTCTAGCTCTGCCTGGAATGTAGGGCACTGGTTTCATTTGAGCATTTTTGTGTCCGGTGGAAAGTGATCAGGGTTAAGCCAGAGCTCCTTCTTACAAAGCTCCTTCTTAACAAAGCTTAGCTTAGTACAGTGCAAACCAGTGAATTTCCCAGCTATTCTAAAGCTGCTTTATAGTAATTCTGGGAGGATGGGTTATTATATGGGTTATTTCTGCCGCTAAATGAGTTGTAGGACCTTGGGCTGTCTCTTTTACCCCTGGGTCTTAGTTTGCTCATTGGTAAAAATGAGCGTGTGGGTTACACTCAGATAAATTCAACAAATATTAATTGAACACCTGCAGTGTGAGACCCTGGGCTGAGTACTATGAGAAGGCAGCAATGAATGGTACTTGATGTCAAAGAGCTTACAGGATAATGGGAGAACCAGACATCCTGGAAGCCACATAAAATTGGGCAGGAGGAGGCTGGGCGTGGTAGCTCACACCTGTAATTCCAGCACTTTGGGAGGCTGAGGCGGGTGGATCACTTGAGGCCAAGAGTTCGAGACCAGCCTGACCAACATGGTGAAATCCTGTCTCTACTAAAAATACAAAAAAAAAAAAAAAAAAAAAGCTACTCGGGAGGCTGAGGCAGGAGAATCACTGGAACCTGGGAGGCGGAGGTTGCAGTGAGAGGAGATCGAGCCACTGCACTCCAGCCTGGGTGACAGAGCAAGACTATCTCAAAAAAAAAAAAAACCTGGCTGGGCACGGTGGCTGTCACCTGTAATCCCATCACTTTGGGAGGCCGAGGTGGGCGGATCACGAGGTCAGGAGATTGAGACCATCTTGGCCAACGTGGTGAAACCCTGTCTCTACTAAAAATACAAAAATTAGCTGGGTGTGGTGGCACATGCCTGTAGTCCCAGCTACTCAGGAGGCTGAGGCAGGAGAATCACTTGAACCGGGGAGTCGGAGGTTGCACTGAGCCAAGATTGTGCCACTGCACTCCAGCCTGGCGACAGAGAGACACTCCATCTCAAAAAAAAAAAAAAAAAAAACCTGGAAAGATAGCTCAAAGGGCCAATCTTAGGTTCTACAATAGTGTTATTTGCAGGAATAACTAGGGAAGTTGCATATCTTATTTTTTTTTTTTAGAGACAGGGTCTTACTCTGTCACCCATGCTGGAGTGCAGTGGTGCAATCATGGCTCACAACAGCCTCGACTTTCCAAGCTCAGGTGATCCTCCCACCTCAGCCCCCCAAGTAGCTGGGACTACAGGCTGGGCCGCCATGCCTGGCTAATTTTTGCATTTTTAGTGGAGATAGGGTTTGGCCATGTTGCCCAGGCTGGTCTCAAAACTCCTGGACTCAAGCAGTCCACCCACTCTGGCCTCCCAAAGTGCTGGGATTACAGGCATGAGCCACCGCACCCGGCCTGGAAGTTGCATATCTTATAACCTTGGAGTAATGGCTGACAATGGCTTATGCCTGTGCCTTACCAGGATTTAGTCTCTCCTTCCCAGCCTGATGGCCTCCCATTAGCTTTGCAAAAGCGGTTGAGTTTTGGGCAAGGCCTGTTATCATTTAAACTGTAACCTAAATGTCTTCCAAAGTTAGCTTGGCCCAATAGCCCAGGAATAATTAAGGGAAAGGGAAGATCCAGGGAGGGTTAGTTTAGCTTACTGTTATAATTTTCCCACTGATATAACACTTGCCAAGGCCGTTTCAGATGCCTCTGAGGGCTCCTCCCCAGCAGTCTCAGCCCAAGCAGCCTTGCTGCAGAATGAAGCACAATCTCCCCTGCTCCATTCTTCTTCATCTCATTTCCCTGAAAGCAAGAATACCGGAAGCCATTTTCCTTCCCACAGATTGGCTGCTAATCAATTTTGGTAAATAAACAGGGAATTAGAGAATTAGAAAATAAACAGGGAGGCCGGGTTTGGTGGCTCATGCCTGTAATCCCAGCACTTTGGGAGGCCGAGGCAGGCGGATCACCTGAGGTCAGAAGTTTGAGACCAGCCTGGCTAACATGGTGAAGCCCCGTCTCTATTAAAAATACAGAAAAATCAGCCGGTGTGGCACACGCCTATAATCCCAGCTACTCCAGAGACTGAGACAGGAGAATGCCTTGAACCCAGGAGGCAGAGGTCGCAGTGAGCTGAGATCGCGCCACTGCACTCCAGCCTGGGTGACAGAGCGAGACTCCATCTCAAAAGAAAAGAAAAAGGCTGTTTCATATTTTGAAACCATCTGACAGGAAACTACAGAGAATGGAAGATAGAACTTGGGGGGATACAAGAATAGGTGTCTCTAAGGGAGGCAGGAACTCCTTGTAAGAGCCCACTTGTTCCCCAAGGTATTTCTGCACTCACAGAGAGGTCGGGGGCAGGCGGTGGGGGAGGAGGGTAGTAACCTGTCTCTAGGAAGGCTCTAAGGAGCAACCTGGAACCCAGCCCGTGACCTGGTATTGAAGCCTGTTTTGGGGAGGATGCCAAGCCCTGACTTCCTGTCTCAGTGGGAGGAAAAAAAAAGTGTTTTTGGGAAAAAGCAGAGAAATTAAGGGACCTGAGACAGTTTAGCCCAGGCACAATGGATGGAACAGAAGTGTTTCCAAGAGCTTCATTTAGAGGCACAAGAGAAATGAAAAATAAAGAAATAAAGCAAAGCAGGGCTGTGACTTCCTCTAACACAACAACTGAGGGTGGACACTATTTGCAGAGCTGTGTGAGCATCAGCAGTGGAAAGGGAGGCGCCGCCTGGGGAAAGAACACAGGGATGCCTGTTGGACAGATGCCTGCATCACAATGGACTTGAATCTAAACTCAGTGCCTACCCTCCCCAGCTCACCCCCAAATAAAACACATCGTACTCCTGGCTTCCCCATCACTGCTACTGCGATCACCATCCTACCAGTCATGCAAGCTTGAAAACAATCTTTGGTTTTTTTTTTTTTTTCTGAGAGGGAGTCTCGCTCTGTCACCCAGGCTGGAGTGCAATGGTGCGATCTCGGCTCACTGCAACCTCTGCCTCCTGGGTTCAAGCGATTCTCCAGCCTCAGCCTCTGGAGTAGCTGGGATTACAGGCACCCACACACAGGCCCAGCTAAATGTTGTATTTTTAGTAGAGATGGGGTTTCACCATGTTGGCCATGGTTGGCCAGGCTGGTCTCAAACTCCTGACCTCAGTTGATCTGCCCTCCTCAGCCTCCCAAAGTGCTGGGATTACAGGCGTGAGCCACCGTGCCGGGCCCAGTCTTCGCTTTTGAATCCTTTTTCTTTCTCCTCTTAGATCCAGTCAGTTACTATATTCCGTAGTTTTGACTATCACATTACCTCGCAAATCCATCATTTGCTTTTTACTGCCTTCACCACTATCCTAGAGCAGTATCTCTTACTTGGAAAAATCTAATAGCATTTTCACAAATGTATGTCTCAATATTTCCCTTTTCCTGTGCATTCAACACACAACTCCTAAATTATCTCTTCCTTAAGCAAGAGATCATGTCACTGTGCTCACTGCGGCAAGAAAGGACTTTTATCCCATCAACTGCTTCACTTTTCCCGCATAATTTGTTTTATTTTTCCACATTTCTTCTTCACACCAGCCAAGCTGAACTATTACCATTCACTGAATATCTGCCCCCCACCGCCTCTCCCATCCTGTGCTTTTGATCCCATCATCTCCCCCAACATCTCAACACCTTTCCTCCTCCTCTATTCTATCCACATGAATTCCATTTTCCAAGCTCCATATCAAATGTCACCTTCTCCATAATAAAATAAATTGCCTTTTATTCAGAGCCACTCAGTGCTAAACACTATGCTAGATGATTTACATACTCTGTTTCTAATATTTACAAAACCCTGGAAGGATTTCAGCTTTTCCTGAACCCTATAATTAATTGCCTATAATTTCTCTCCTCTAAATTTGCATAGCCCTTTGATCATAAATAATTTCCCTTTATACTACAGTATTTGTGTAATTGTCTTTTCATCCTTCTAAATACATGCTACTGGTCAGCAACAACTGTTACTAGACTTAAAGAAAGTAAGAAGGTTCATCTCTAAGGTTTTCTCCAGCTTCAAATGACTATGACTCTATAACTTAAGAACATGAGTTTCTGGGCAACTTAGTGCAGTTTCCATGAGTATCATCTTCTTGGAAGCCTCTGCTAATAGAAGACAGAAAGATCAAAAACACAGTTGTTTCCAGGCACGGTGGCTCATGCCTGCAATTCTAGCACTTTGTGAGGCCAAGGTTGGAGAATCGCTTCAGCCCAGAAGTAACCTGGGACCTGGCATAATAACAGAGCAAGACCCTGTCTCTACAAAAAATTAGCCAGCACGGCCGGACGCGGTGGCTCACGCCTGCAATCCCAGCACTTTGGGAGGCTGAGGAGGGTGGATGGTGAGGTCAAGAGTTCAAGACTAGCCTGGCCAAGATGGTGAAACCCCGTCTCTACTAAAAAGTACAAAAATTACAGCGTGCCTGTAATCCCAGCTACTTGGGAGGCTGAGGCACGAGAATCGCTTGAACCTGGGGGACGGAGGTTGCAGTGAGCCGAGATCGCACCACTGCACTCCAGCCTGGGTGACAGAGCGAGACTCTATCTCAAAAAAAAAAAAAAAAAAAAAAATTAGCCAGGATGGTGGCATGTGCCTATAGTCTTAGCTTCTCTGGAGCCTGAGGTGGGAGGATCTCTTGAATTGGTGAGGTCGAGGGTGCAATGAGCCATGATTGCACCACTGAACTCCAGCCTGGTCATCAGAGAGACACTCAATCTCTCTAAAAACAAACAAACAAACAAACAGGCCGGGCACAGTGGCTCATGCTTATAATACCAGCACTTTGGGAGACCAAGGCGGGTGGATCACCTGAAGTTAGGAGTTCGAGACCAGCCTGGCCAACATGGTGAAACCCTGTCTCTACTAAAAATACAAAAATTAGCTGGGTGTGGTGGCATGCGCCTGTAGTTCCAGCTACTCACGAGGCTAAGGCAGGAGAATCACTTGAACTCAGGAGGCAGAGGTTGCAGTGAGCCGAGATCATGCCATTGCACTCCAGCCTGGGCGACAAGAGCAAAACTCCATCTCAAAAAAAAAAAGTTAACATGAGCAATTTCATTGTTCATAAAGACCAAGTAAGGTAAGAAAGACAGGCACTAGTAGGATGTAATTTGGGGTGGTTAAAGAAGATGTGATGAATTCAGTTAACGGAGGAGCCAGTGTGAGACCAGGACTTCTAGTACACCTGGTCTAGGACTCTTGCAACCCCTCCACATGCACTTGCCCACGGGAACATCCCATAATTCTTTGTTGTCATATTTGCTCCCCACACATTGCCATCCAGTCTCTGCATTACTCATTAAAGATTTTCCTCTTCCAGTTTCCTACTATGTTGGAACCTTGGGGACTCACACTGAGATCAAGAGAGTGGCAGAGGAAAAGGTCACTTTGCCCTGCCACCATCAACTGGGGCTTCCAGAAAAAGACACTCTGGATATTGAATGGCTGCTCACCGATAATGAAGGGAACCAAAAAGTGGTAAGTAGACACCTGGCTGGAGTCCCTCCTCCTTCTTGTCCTCCTGCATTTGCCTTTCTTCAGTCTTCCAGTCTTTCTTTCTGGCTCTGAAAGAGCTGGAGTTCCTTTTTCATCTGGCTTCTACTTGAAAGACTTTAGATACAAAACTATAGAGAAGAAAGAGTATTGCTGGGTGTGGTGGCTCACACCTATAATCTCAGCATTTTGGGAGGCCAAGGTGGGTGGATCACCTGAGGTCAGGAGTTCGAGACCAGCCTGGCCAACATGGTGAAACCTTGTCTCTACTAATAATAGCCGGGTGTGGTGGCCTATGCCTGTAAACCTAGCTACTTGGGAGGCTGAGGCAGGAGAATTGCTTAAACCCCAGAGGTGGAGGTTGCAGTGAGCTGAGATCATGCCACTGCACTCCAGCCTGGGTGACACAGCAAGACTCCATCTCAAAAAAAAAGAAAGAAAGAAAAATTAGCCAGATGTGGTGGCACATATCTGTAGTGTCAGCCACTTGGGAGGCTGAGGTGGGAGGATCACTTGAGCCCAGGAGTGCCAGGCTGCAGTGAGCTATGATCACACCTGTAAATAGCCACTGCACTTGAGCCTGGGCAATACAGCAAGACCCTGTCTCTAAATAAATAAGAAGTTGTCAGGCCGGGTGCAGTGACTCACACCTGCAATCCCAACACTTTGGGAGCCTGAGGGGGGTGAACTGCTTGAGCCCAGGAGTTCAAGACCAGCCTGGGCAACAAAGTGAGACTCCCTCTGTACCAAAAAAATTTTTTTAATTAGCCAGATGTGATGCCACATGCCCATAGTCCCAGCTTCTCACGAGGCTGAAGCAGGAGGATCGCTTGAGTGCAGGAGGATCGCCTGAGTGCAGAAGGATCGCTTGAGCCCAGGAGGTCAAGGCTGCAGTGAGCTGAGATCACACCACTGTACTCCAGCCTGGGCAACAGACCCAGACACTGTTTCTAAAAAAACAAAAACAAAACAAAAGCAAAAGAAAGAAAAAAGTTGTCCTTTCCTCTTCTCTGTCTACACCACTAATTTTATAACATGGTTTATGTTGGGAAGAGCTAAGGTTTTCACTGAAAACAGATTTCAGGATCACTATTATAGTGTAACTTGCTTAAATAGCTGTCTACATCACCTCATTATATTGATATTGCTTGTCATTTTGTTCTCATACAGCAACATCCTAAGATACTATCTGTTCTCTGTAGAGCGAGGTCACTTTAACCTGAGTAGGTTTATTGATTTATTTATTTTTTTATTTTGGGACAGAGTCTCACTTTGTTGTCCAGGCTGGAGTGCAATGGCTCAATCTTAGCTCACTGCAACCTCCACTCACAGGGTTCAAGCGATTCTCCCGCTTCAGCCTCTTGAGCAGCTGGGATTACAGACGTGCACCACCACGCCTGGCTGATTTTTGTTGTTGTTGTTGTTTGAGATGAAGTCTCACTCTGTCGCCCAGGCTGGAGTGCTGTGGTGCCATCTCAGCTCACTGCCACCTCCGCCTCCTGGGTTCAAGCGATTCTCATGCCTCCAACTCCTGAGTAGCTGGGATTACAGGCATCCACCACCACGCCCAGCTAATTTTTGTTTTTTTAGTAGAGATTGAGTGTCGCCATGCTGGTCTCGAACTCCTGACCTCAGGTGTTCGGCCTGCCTCGGCCTCCCAAAGTGCTGGGATTACAGGCGTGAGCCACTGTGCCAGACCTCTGAGTATGTTTATTTTAACAGCTTCTTGGTCAGCCTAGATTTGATACTCTCAGTTCTGAATGAAGTGATGTTCATGTTTATTACAGCCCATGTTCCTGTAATAAAAATCCAAGAATGACTCTGATAGATTCTCTTCTTTGATCACACTTGAGGCAGGTTCTTGCGGTCTTTCTGACTAGAGCTAATCTTGGACTTCCCTCTCTGCCCTCGTAGAATACATTTTGAGCAAGAATGCTGCTAAGTCAGGTTAGTGAAAATGCTCCACTCTTGGTATCTTATTACCCTATCCTGCCTACAATAATAATCCTATCAAGCAGGTTCAATCAGAAACCCCCTCATCTCTGATGTTCCCTCTTAGTAATTTCATGACCCTCACCCTGCTCCTTGGTTGTAAACTCCCCTTGTACTTGCTGGAATCAGAGTCAAGCCCAATCTCTGACTCACAGGTCTTCATACCTATTACCATGGCGCCTCTTGAATAGTCTGTTTTACTATCTTTAACAAGTTTTGGCCAGGTGCGGTGGCTCACACCTGTAATCCCAGCACTTTGGGAGGCCAAGGTGGGTGGATAACCTGAGGTTAGGAGTTCAAGATCAGGCTGGGCAACATGGTGAAACTCTGTCTCTACTAAAAATACAAAAAATAAGCCAAGCCTGGTGGCATCTGCCCGTAATCCCAGCTACTCAGGAGGCCAAGGCAGGAGAATAGCTTGGAGCTGAGATCGAGCCATTGCACTCCAGCCTGGGCAACAGAGCAAGACTGTCTCAAAAAAAAAAAAGTTTCACTGGATAATTTTCTCATTAGCAATTTCACACATCTAACTTTCACCCAAGTATTTTCATTTGAATTAAAGAAAAAAAGACTTGCTTGGTTATATAGCCAAGTGAATATAAGGATTAGGATGTTAATTATTGATTTCAAAAAGCCCTTGATATGGCTTTAAGCAGTCACAATTCCCTGCTTGTCTTCAGTTGATACTGTGAAGCAAGGATGTCCATTTATTCAATCATTCAGATTACACAAACTTATTTAGCACTTACTGTATGCCATGCTAGGTACCAGGATACAATAGTGAAGAAGACATCATAGTCCTTGCCTTCTTAGAGGTTATAGTGAGAAGACATTTAATAATTTTTTACAAAGAGCCTGGCACAGTGGCTAGTGTCTGCAATCTCAGCTACTCAGGAGGCTGAGGTGGGTAGATTGCTTGAACCCAGGAGTTTGAGACCAGCCTGGGTGACACAGTGAGATTCTATCTCTTAAATAATTTTTCTTTTAAGAAAGGAGGGGAAGGGGTAGTTAGAAAGGTAGGAACAAAGAAACCAATAAATATGCCAGGTGCAAATCTGTTTAGCACGTATTATCTCATGTTATTTAATATGTGCCAGTTGCAGTAGCTTGTGCCTGTAGTCCCAGCTACTCGGGAGGTTGAGGTGGGAGGACTACTTGAGGCCAGGAGTTCCAGATGGCCTGAGCAACAGAGTGAGAACTCCCATTTCTAAAACAATTTTTAAAATTTGTTAATGTAATACTGATAACTAGGATTAATGGGCCCATTTTACAAATAAGGAGCTGAGGTATGCCCACATGTGTGTAAACACACAAACATAGTGAACAAATTGCCTAAGGTCACCTAATTTGCATTTTCAAATTAGGCACCCTGGGCTGGGCCGGGCGGGCACAGTGGCTCATGCCTGTAATCCCAGCAGTTTGGGAGGCCCAGGCAGGAGGTCCACTTGAGCTCAGGAGTTCAAGACCAGCCTGGGCAACATGGTGAAACCCCACCTCTACTAAAATTACAAAAATTAGCTGGGCATGGTGGCGCAGGCCTATAATCTCAGCCACTTATGAGGCTAAGGTGGGAGAATGGCTGAGCATGGGAAGTCGAGGCTGCAGTGAGCAGAGATGGCGCCACTGCACTCCAGCCTGGGTGACAGGAGACCATTTCAAAACAACACAAATGAACAAAAAACAAATTAGGCACCCTGACCTCAGTGCCTGGTCTGAGAACCACTAGCTGTATTACCTTCATAAATAATGTGAAAGTGTAATATGTGCTATGTAGGCTGCTTCTCTGAGAAAACACCAAATGGCGGAAAAATCCTGATCTAAAACATCAAGAGAGATCTGCATCCATCTCCATTCAGAGCAGTTTTACGACTGCTCTGCAGGCGATGGCACAGCAGAATGACTGCCAGAAAGTTGAGCTGCTCCATCTGTTCTATATAAGTCCTAACAAATTGTTCCAGGTCCACCAGGAATGACAAACAGCCCCAAACCACTGAAATTCATATTTTTAATTTTTTTATTTGTTTGCAAAAGGACTAAATTGATGTTCATTTTTCTCCCATCACACCCTGATGAACTGCTTAGTCTCAACACTACACTTCTTAGGATAAAAAACAAAATAGGCTGGGCACAGTGGCTCACACCTGTAATCCTAGCACTTTGGGAGGCCCAAAGTATAATACTAGCACTTTGGGTGGGCAGATCATTTGAGGTCAAGAGTTTGAAACCAGCCTGCCCAACATGGTGAAACCCTCTCTCGACTAAAAACACAAAAAATTAGCCAGGCATGGTGGTAGGCACCTGTAATCCCAGCTACTTGGGAGACTGAGGCAGGAGAATTGCTTGAACCTGTGAGGCGGAGGTCACAGTGAGCCGAGATCGCACCACTGCACTCCAGTCTGGGTGACAGAGTGAGACTCCATCCCCACCCCGCAAAAAATAGTATCTTGCAATTGTATAATTTCACCTTTCCAAAGATGTCAGATGCTTGCCTGCATGTTATCCCTTTTTTCTTCATTAAATATTGAGACAGTCTTGGCCTGGGCAACACAGTGAGACCTGTCTCTTAAAAGTAGGTGTGTGATGGCCGGGCGTGGTGGTTCACACCTGTAATTCCAGCACTTTGGGAGGCTGAGGCCAGTGGATCACAAGGTCAGGAGTTTGAGACCAACCTGACCAACATGGTGAAACCCCGTCTCTACTAAAAATACAAAAATTAGCCAGGAGTGATGGCGGGTGCCTGTAGTCCCAGTTACTCAGGAGGCTGAGGCAGGAGAATCGCTTGAACCTGGGATGAGGAGGTTGCAGTGAGCAGAGATCATACCGCTGCACTCCAGCCTGGGCGACAGCATGAGACAACATCTCAAAAAAAAAAAAAAAAAAGTGTGTGTCAGGCCAGGCACAGTGGCTCACACCTGTAATCTCAGCACTTTGGGAGGCCGAGGTGGGCAGATCACGAGGTCAGGAGCTCAAGGGCAGCTTGACCAATATGGTGAAACCCCATCTCTACTAAAAATACAAAAAAATTAGCCGGGCATGGTGGCACACACATGTAGTTCCAGCTACTTGGGAGGCTGAGGCAGAAGAATCACTTGAACCCAGGAGGCGAAGGTTGCAGGGAGCTGAGATTGCATCACTGTACTCCAGCCTGGGCAAAAGAGAGAGTCTCTGTCTCAAAAAAGAAAAGAAAAATGTGGCCAGGCACAGTGGCTCACGCCTGTAATCCCAGCACTTTGGGAGGCCAAGGCGGGTGGATCACAAGGTCAAGAGTTCAAGACCAACCTGGCCAATATGGTGACACCCAGTCTCTACTAAAAATACAAAAATTAGCCGGGCGTGGTGGTGTGTGCCTGTAGTCCCAGCTACTCGAGAGGCTGAGGCAGAAGAATCGCTTGAACCCGGGAGGTGGAGGTTGCAGTGGGCCAAGATTGTGCCACTGCACTCCAACCTGGGCGACAGAGCTAGGCTCCGTCTCAAAAAGAAAAAAAAGTGTGTGTCTTTGTGTGTGTGTGTGTGTGTGTGGAGACAAGATTTTAGGGAAAGCGAGGAAAAGCAGATGGAGTCAGACCTACCTGAACGTACTGTGCACTATGGTAGCAGTATGCCCCAAACACCACAGGTTGAAGCAGGGAGTCACCATTCTAACTGGGGAGTCGAGAAAGGCTATATACAGAAAGTGGTCCTTGAGCTTGATCTTGAGGCCTTATATAGGTGTTGTTGAGGCAAAAATAGAAGAGGAAAAGGCATTTCAGAAAGAAAAAACTGTGTAATCAAAGCCGAGATCTATCAGAAGACACTATTCAGAATCAAGAAACATCAGGTTTGGGGACAACGAGATTCAGAGATGTGAGGGCAGGAGTCAAAAATGAGGCATGGTCCAGACTGCGCTGGCATAGGTGTAACCTTCAGAAGCCAAGCCTTCATCAGTGTGCACAGGTGATGGGAAACAGATTTTCAGCCAGGTGAGCTTTGCTACACAAACGTGTGGAATTGTAGCAGGCTGTTTCTCCCTAACAATCACACAGATGGGCCTGCATGACAGTCACACAGACAGGCCTGCACAGCACTCCAGTTACACAGACAAATTTCCACAGCACTGCCTTAACACTGAGCAAATAATTAAACCTAGGGAAATCGGTGCCCAGACATCAAAGCTAGAAATATAAACATATGGTCAGTAGGAGACGTGCATAGGCTTCTCCCTATCCTGGAGCAAGTCAAAATAACGGAGACAGTCTCACATTCCTAGTGCCAGGACCTGTCTTGGGTTGTCGAAATCTGAGACAGTCAAGGTAACAGAGGCAGTTGTTTGAATAGATTTATTGGAAAGTCTAAGCAGCTCTTCAGACCAAGCTGTACATGAGATAAGATAGGAATAATCACTCCGGATGGGCACGGTGGCTCATGCCTGTAATCCCAGCACTTTGGGAGACTGAGGTGGGCAGGTCGCTTAAGGTCAGGGGTTTGAGACCAGCTTGGCCAAACTGGTGAAACCCCATCTCTACTAAAACTACAAAAATTAGCTGGACGTGGTGGCATGCGCCTGTGGTCCCAGCTACACGGGAGGCTGAGGCAGGAGAATCGCTTGAACGCAGGAGGCAAAGGTTGCAGTGAGCCAAGATTGTGGCACTGCACTCCAGCCTGGGTGACAGAATGAAACTCTGTCTCAAAAAAGAAAGAAAGGAAACAAAGAAAGAGAGAGAGAGAGAAAGAAAGAAGGAAAAGAATCACTCCAGTACCACAGTAGATAGGCCTTGAAGATACTGGGACCCTCGCAGTTTAATCAGACTTAGCAAGCATTTTTTGGCCTCTGACCTTCTAGTTGAAACAAAATAGTTACTTATAGACTTAGGCAAATGCTATACTGCACATAGGCACATAACCACAACCTATATAAGCACTAAGAAAATTGTACACTTTTGAGTTGGTCTGGTGGAATTATCTTCAACCTTCTCCCTGTATCCAGTTACAGTGATAAATTCCCTTCTTTCCCAGTTTGTCTGCTTCTCGTTATTGGGCCATGAGAAAATGCAACCGGACCCAGCTCTTTCTGGGAACAGAATGATTAGTATTCTTTGCGTATTGGGCTGAACAATTTTTAAAACCTTAGGGGCCTTCTTGAACCCAGAACCAGGCTAATAAAAATGATAATGCTAACACTTGAGTGCTTACTATCTCATTCCCACAAAAACCCTATGAAGTAACGCAGCCCCCTTTTATAGTTCAGGATCTTAAGGCTTAGAAAGAATAAGTGATCAGAGACAGGCACACAGCTGTCAGTGGAGAGGCTTCCGTTTGGAGATCATTTGACTTCCCAGCCAGCAATCCCAATCACTGCGGCCTGGCACAGTGTTTTTTCTTTTTTTTTTTGAGACAGAGTCTCGCTCTGTTGCCAGGTTGGAGTGCAGTGACACAATCTCGGCTCACCGCAACCTCCACCTCCTGAGTACCTGGGAGTACAGGTGCATGCCACCACGCCCAGCTATTTTTTTTTTTTTTTTGTATTTTAGTGGAGATGGGGGTTTCGCAATGTTGGCCAGGCTGGTCTCAATCTCCTGACCTCGTGATCCACCCACCTTGGCCTCCCAAAGTGCTGAGATTAGAGGTGTAAGCCACCATGCCCAGCCTAGCGTTTTTTCAAAATCTGTATCACAACCAGTTAGTGGATCCTAAATGATAAGAAATTTTTTTTTTTTTCTTTGAGACAGAGTTTCACTCTTGTTGCCCAGGCTGGAGTGCAATGGCGTGATCTTGGATCACTGCAACCTCCGCCTCCCAGGTTCTCCTGCCTAAGCCTCCCGAGTAGCTGGGATTACAGGCATGCACCACCACGCCCAGCTAATTTTGTATTTTCAATAAAGATGGGTTTCTCCATGTTGGTCAAGCTGGTCTCGAACTCCCGACCTCGGGTGATCTGCCCGCCTTGGTCTCCCAAAATGCTGAGATTACAGGTGTGAGCCACCGCGCCCAGCCTTGTTTTGTTTCTTTTTCTTTTTCTTTTTTTTTTTTTTTTTGAGATGGAGACTCGCTCTGTCGCCCAGGCTGGAGTGCAGTGGTGCGATCTTGGCTCACTGCAAGCTCCGCCTCCTGGGTTCATGCCATTCTCCTGCCTCAGCCTCCCGAGTAGCTGGAACTACGGGCGCCCGCCACCACACCCAGCTAATATTTTGGCTAATTTTTTGTATTTTTAGTAGAGACGGGGTTTCACCGTGTTAGCCAGGATGGTCTTGATCTCCTGACCTTGTGATCCGCCCGCCTCGGCCTCCCAAAGTGCTGGGATTACAGGCATGAGCCACTGCACCTGGTCATTTTGTTTTCTTTTAACATAGACTAGACAATATCAGAGCATACTGCACATATACTCATGAAACTTATGTTTCAGTATATATGTGTATGCTGTGTCATGAAGAAAAATGTGTTTCTTTTTTTTTTGACTGAAGTGCAGTGGCATGATCTCGGCTCACTGCAAACTTCGTCTCCTGGGCTCAAGCAATTCTCCTGCCTCAGCCACCTGAGTAGCTGGGACTACAGGCATGCGCCACCATGCCCGGCTAATTTTTGTAATTTTAGTAGAGATGGGGTTTCACCACGTTGGCCAAGCTCGTCTGGAACTCCTGGCTTCAAGTGATCTGCCTGCCTTGGCCTCCCAAAGTGCTGGGATTACAGGCATGAGCCCCGGGCGAGAAAAATGTATTTCTTAATGTGAGTCTGTTGAAAACAGTTTGAAAGTGCTTGCTGTACTGTTCTAGCGTCCAAAGCAGCCTGACTCTACTTTGGACCACAGCTACTAAGATTCTTCAAATTCAAATATATATTTCAAGACGAAGGCATCTCTGGATGCTAACCCAAATACTAAAATAAACAAGCAGCTGGGCGCCATGGCTCACGCCTGGAATCCCAGCACTTTGGGAAGCTAAGGCGGGTGGATCACCTGAGGTCAGGAGTTCGAGACCAGCCTGACCAACATGGTAAAACCCCGTCTCTACTAAAAATACAAAATTAGCTGGTGTGGTGGTGAATGCCTGTAATCCCGGCTACTTGAGAGGCTGAGACAGGAGAATCGCTTGAACCCAGGAGGCGGAGGTTGCAATGAGTGGAGATTACGCCACTGCACTCCAGCCTGGGCAACAAGAGTGAAACTCCATCTCAAAAATAAATAAATAAAATAAACAAGAAAGAAATTCCAAAGCTCTCAGGCCAAAAAGGTCACCCACCTGTCAAAGCCCACAAAACCCCAAAGTTCCTAAAAATTACCCAGTGCTTCACTGTCTTGTAGGTTTTGCCTCTCTTCATTCTCCTAGAAAGTACAAACTGACTTCATTGTAGGTGATTATGCATCTGGGGGAAATATGGACAAATCAGAAAGAAAGAGAAACATTAACAGAGCACCTAGTAAGTGTTCCAAGCTTACCTGCCTTATCTCCAGGTGTAAGGCCCCCTTACTTTCAGTCTTTGAATGGAGACAAACTCTACAGCTTCCAGTTTTTTCCTGTTGTGAACGCATTTCCTTCTTTTCCAACTATCCCAGCAATTTTGCATTACTAAGTCAGCTCTATCACCTGCCAAGAAACCTACCCTTCCAGCTGGGCATGGTGGCTCACACCTGTAATCCCAGCACTTTGGGAGGCCGAGGCGGGCAGATCACCTGAAGTCAGGAGTTCGAGACCAGCCTGACCAACGTGGAGAAACCCCATCTCTTCTAAAAATACAAAATTAGCTGGGCCTGGTGGCACATGCCTGTAATCCCAGCTACTCAGGAGGCTGAGGCAGGAGAATCACTTGAACCCGGGAGGCGGAGGTTGTGGTGAGCCAAGATCATGCCATTGCACCCCAGCCTGGGCAAAAAGAGTGAAACTCCGTCTCAAAGAAAAAAAAAAAAGAAACAAAACGAAACCTACCCTACAGAGTACAACAGGATGTGGGGCCAACAACACCCTACAAACATTTTTCTGTTTTGTTTTGTCTTGTTTTGAGGCAGAGTCTCACTCTGTCCCTAGGCTGGAGTGCAGTGGCATGATCTTGGCTCACTGGAACCTCTGCCTCCTGGGTTCCAGCGATTCTTCTGCCTCAGCCTCTTTAGTAGCTGGGACTACAGGCATATGCCACCACACCCAGCTAATTTTTGTATTTTTAGTAGAGACAGGGTTTCACCATATTGGCCAGGATGGTCTCGATCTCTTGACCTCGTGATCCACCCGCCTCGGCATCCCAAAGTACTGGGATTACAGGCATGAGCCACTGCACCGAGCCGCAAATATTTATTTATTTCATTTTATTTTTTTGAGACAGAATCTTGTTATGTTGCCCAGGCTGGAGTGCAGTGGCATAATCTCCACTCACTGCAATCTCTGCCTCCCAGGTTCAAGTGATTCTGCTGCCTCAGCCTCCTGAGTAGCTGGGTTTACAGGCGCACACCACCACACCTAGTTTTTTCTTTCTTTCTTTTTTTTTTTGAGACGGAGTTTCGCTCTTGTTGCTCAGACTGCAGTGCAATGCCGTGATCTTGGCTCATTGCAACCTCCGCCTCCCGGGTTCAAGCAATTCTCCTGCCTCAGCCTCCCGAGTAGCTGGGATTATAGGCATGCGCCATCACGCCCGGCTAATTTTGTATTTTTAGTAGAGACGGGGTTTCACCATGTTGGTCAGGCTGGTCTTGAACTCCCAACCTCAGGTGATCTGCCCACCTCGGCCTCCCAAAGGACTGGGATTATAGGCGTGAGCCACCACGTCAGGCCACCTGTCTAATTTTTGTATTTTTTAGTAGAGACAGGGTTTCACCATGTTGGCCAGGCTGGTCTCAAACTCCTGACTTCAAGTGATCTGCTTGCCTTGGCGTCCCAAAATGCTGGGATTACAGTTGTGAGCCACCGCACCCAGTTACATTTTTTTCTTTTTTTAAATTTTATTTGTTGAGACAGGGTCTCACTCTGTCACCCAGGCTGGAGTACAGTGGCGCAGTCTTGGCTCACTATAGCCTCAACCTCCTGGGCTCAAGCAAACCACCAGCCTTGGTCTCCCAAAGTGCTTGGATTACAGGCGTGAACCACCACGCATCTGGCCCCCACAAATATTTAGAACAAACAAGTACCACATCCAGGAGAAGGGCTGTGATCCTAGCTCTTCCCCATCTGTGCCTAAAGCAGAGGGCTTTCCCTTGAGTGCTAGGAACCCCATGGAATTATCTGCAAAATAATATGTGAGTTTTTTCTGGGTCAGAGTTCATAGGTTTTATCTGATTGAGAGAACCTTCTCAGGAAAGGCTCTGAAGAGCTGTGGAGCAACACGTGATCAAAGGCAGGGTTGAGGGCTTGAGTGAAACAATTTGGAACAGCTGCAGCTGAAATGTGCCTGGGAGATGCCCATATGCTTGCATGCCTTTTTTAGTGCCCTTCTGTGTAGCTGGAATGCTCCCTCCAGGCCTTTTCTCCTTGCCTCTCAAAGCCTAGCTCAAATGCCACCAACTTGTCTGGGACACTCTCCTTGATACTATTTCAAATAAATCATTTCTTTTTCTCTGTTTAATAGTCTTTCCTTGTTAATCTCACTTGATTATAAATCACTTGAACCAAAGAAGAGATTTGCCAGGCGCAGTGGCTCACACCTGTAATCCCAGCACTTTGGGAAGCCGAGGAGGGTGGATCACCTGAGGTCAGGACTTTGAGACCAGCCTGGCCAGAATGGTGAAACCCCATCTCTACTAAAATAAAAAATTAGGGCCAGGCGCAGTGGCTCACACCTGTAATCCCAGCACTTTGGGAGGCTGAGGCAGGCAGATCATCTGAGGTCAGGAGTTCAAGACCAGCCTGGCCAACATGGAGAAACCCCAGCTCTACTAAAAATACAAAAATGAGCGAGTCATGGTGGCATGCATCTGTAATCCCAGCTACTCAGGAGACTGAGGCAGAAGAATTGCTTGAACCCAGGAGACAGAGGTTGCAGTGAGCCAGGATCGCACCATTGTACTCCAGACCGGGCGACAAGAGTGAGACTCTATCTCAAAAAAAAAACAAAAAAAAAAAAACATAAAAAATTAGTTCGGCTTAGTGAAATAGGGCAAAGGAAGCAATCAGATATGCATTTATCTCATGTGTGCAGAGGGGTAACTGTGAGTTCTGTCTGTCCTTTGTCCACAAGCAGTCACCTTGTGGGCAAATTGTGCAGGAGTACTGTAAGCTTTTTTTTTTTTTTTTTTTTTATCTTTGTAGCTATCTTATTTCTTATTCAGGAATAGAATGGAAGGCAGGCCAGGCGTGGTGGCTCATGTCTGTAATCCCAGCACTTTGGGAGGCCAAGGAGGGTGGATCACCTGAGGCCAAGAGTTCAAGACCAGCCTGGCCAACATGGCGAAACCCTGTCTCTACCAATAATACAAAAGTTAGCCGGGCATGGTGGTGTACACCTGTAATCCCAGCTACTCAGGAGGCTGAGGCAGGAGAACTGCTTGAACCCAGGAAGCGGAGGTTACAGTGAGCCAAGATTGTGCCACTGCACTTCAGCCTGGGTGACGGAGCGAGACTGTCTCAAAAATAAATAAATAAATAAATAAAACCAAGGAAACAGTCCTGTCTCATAGAAGTCTCTCAAATACTTAAAAAAAAAAAAAAAAAAGAATGGGAGGCAGGTTTGCCGACATCGTTCCAAGCTCGACCTTCCCTTTGGCTTCCCGAGGGGTCCCGAGGTTTCTTTTCCTTTCATAAGTCTATGCTTAATACATGCATAGCTGTACACTTGCATGGTTTCCTCCTTTCCTTGACTTAGCTGTGTGAACTTCAGTATGTAAGTCAAACTTCAAATTCCTTACCTGTAAGATGGAGTGGTTCTGAGCATTTAATATAATACTTTATAACTAAAATGCTACACAAACATGAAGTGTTATTATTTTTGGAAGGAGAGGCAAGGCCTAGGTGCAAATGTACTGTATTTTTAACTTTTATTTAGAACAGAGGTCTCTTGGACTCTCAGCCCCAGGCTTGACTACTTTGTGCCACTGGGAGTACTCCCTTTCCTCTTCTTCACACCATCAGGAAAGGCAGGCTGAGAGTTACGCTGCTTGACTCTGCCTCGGTCTATCCCACAGGTGATCACTTACTCCAGTCGTCATGTCTACAATAACTTGACTGAGGAACAGAAGGGCCGAGTGGCCTTTGCTTCCAATTTCCTGGCAGGAGATGCCTCCTTGCAGATTGAACCTCTGAAGCCCAGTGATGAGGGCCGGTACACCTGTAAGGTTAAGAATTCAGGGCGCTACGTGTGGAGCCATGTCATCTTAAAAGTCTTAGGTAAGATAGGATGCCAAAGTGAATGTCTACAGCTTATTTCTAAGGTATCTAAGAGGGATAGCCATATGCATCACGGTGGTACAAAACATCATGTTCAGTACTTTGGATTACACATTCAGAGGTCACCTCGTCCAGTTCCCTGGAAAGAAATGTGTATCTTCTGTATTATAGCCATAATAAAAAATGAAAATATAAGAGCAATTTTCCATAGTTGTCCATTACAAAACATATTCTCTAATATTTAAGTGGGATCTTCATATTTAAGTCTCTCAGATATGATTCAAATTCATTTCTGTTTTTTGACAGCAAGAGCTACCAAGTTCTACTTAATTGCTTCCAAATTAATACACTTCTGTATCAGTAAAACCATGCTCAACTTTCCTAAAATGTCCAATAATAATGTGTCTTCTTTGAGAAGTAATGAGGCAGCCTCTGCCCCAAAAATTAAAACAGCACCACTGGAGTTGCGGGTATGTGTGCTTAGGGGATGGAGGTGGATGTTTTGGTGGGGGTAGTGTAAAGCAAGGCTAGTTGAATCCCCACTCAAAAGTTGACCAAAACAGATGGCTGGAGAAGCAACTCAATAGGACATAATTTTTCCATTGAATCTGGTGTTTGGGGATCTTTGAATCACTACACTTTTGCTTGTTGTTGCTGTTGCCAGTGAGACCATCCAAGCCCAAGTGTGAGTTGGAAGGAGAGCTGACAGAAGGAAGTGACCTGACTTTGCAGTGTGAGTCATCCTCTGGCACAGAGCCCATTGTGTATTACTGGCAGCGAATCCGAGAGAAAGAGGGAGAGGATGAACGTCTGCCTCCCAAATCTAGGATTGGTAAGTCATCTTCCTACCAATCTATTGAGCCAACAAAATAGTCCTCTATCCGTGAGCTCTAAATCAGCTTTCTCAGCAACTCACTATGTGACCTGAAATACCCTGCTGAACCTCCTGAACTGCCATTTTTAAAATCCATTAACTAGAACAGAAAATCTGTCTTTCCTTTCCTCAAATGACATGTAAAAGTAGTAAAAGAGATTGGAAGAAATGTACTACATAAATCCACTATATCTAAATATTATGTTTAGTATCCCTTAAATGTTCACAATCTTTTGTAACTTTTGAGGATGTGCTACAACTTAAAAAAAATGTTTACCTTTCTTCTCATGTTCCCAAAGGATATCTTTTCCATCATTTCATTCTTATCAAATAGCATTACGGAATCTCAGCTCAGTGATACAATAAAGTAAACAATAAATATAGATACCATCACTAAAGGGATTTACAGTCATTCTTTCTGCTTGTGCAGACTACAACCACCCTGGACGAGTTCTGCTGCAGAATCTTACCATGTCCTACTCTGGACTGTACCAGTGCACAGCAGGCAACGAAGCTGGGAAGGAAAGCTGTGTGGTGCGAGTAACTGTACAGTGTAAGCATCCAAAGAGGTTTTAGTTTCATTTTTCTGTTTGTTTTTGCATTGTAGATCAATGTTAAGACATTCTAATCATAAGTAAGAGTAAGGTTAAGGTCAAAATCTTTATCTCCAGAAGGATATGGCTATCACCAAAATAAATTCAGTAGTTGCAAAGACCACTCAACAATTGACTGGCCAGGCACAGTGGCTCACACCTGTAATCCCAGCACTTTGGGAGGGCCAGGTGGGCAGATCAGTTGAGGTCAGGAGTTTGAGACCAGCCTGGCTAACATGGTGAAACCCCGTTTCTACTAAAATACAAAAATTAGCTGGGTGTGGTGGGCGCCTGTAATCTCAGCTACTCAGGAAGCTGAGGCAGGAAAATCTCCTGAACCTGGGAGGCGGAGGTTGCAGTGAGCCAAGATCACGCCACTGCACTCCAGTCTGGGTGACAGACTGAGACTCCCTCTCAAAAAAAAAAACACACACAAAAAAAACCAGCCCAGCGTGGCGGCTCATGCCTGTAATCCCAGCACTTCGGGAGGCCGAGGCAGGCAGATCACGAGGTCAGGAGTTCAGCCTGACCAACATGGTGAAACCCCATCTCTACTAAAAGACAAAAAATGAGCCAGGTGTGCTGATGCGTGCCTGTAATCCCAGCTACTCAGGAGGCTGAGGCAGAAGAATTGCTTTAACCTGAGACACGGAGGTTGCAGTGAGCCGAGATGGTGCCATTGCACTCCAGCCTGGACAACAGGGCGAGACTCCAACCAAAAAAAACAAAAACACACCAGTTGACTCTGTATTTACAAACATGTGAATTAGCCAGCCCCCTAAAGAAATTCACTATATCCAGGGGAGTACTAAATAAACACCATTCCTAAAAACAAAAACAAACAAAACCGTGCAGCTAGTTAGTTATATGCCACTACCATTCTAGGCAAGTAGATGAGATTTCTCCCCTCCACAGAGTGTTTGTGAGTGTGTATGTGCATGTGCTCATGCACACACACGTGTGTACATGTGTTATAATCAAGAATTTGATTTGCTTCAAGTACAGATGAGAGACAGTAGTAGGCGACTAAGAGCATCAGCCGTGGAGTCAGATAACTGCCTGGATTTCAATCACAGCTACCACTAACTCTGTAGTACCTTAGGCATATTTCCCAATCTATAAAGGAGAATAATAGTTAACTGTCTCATAGAGTTTTTCTTTTTTTCCTTTTTTTTTTTTTTTCTGGACAGGGTCTTGCTCTGTCACCCAGGCTGGAGTGCAGTGGTGTGATCTTGGCTTACTGCAGCCTCTGCCTCCCGGGTTCAAGCGACTCTCCTGCCTCAGCCTCCTGAGTAGCTGGAATTACAGGCACATGCCGTCACACCTGGCTAATTTTTGTAGAGACAGGGTTTTGCCACATTGGCCAGGCTGGTCTTGAACTCCTGGACTTAGGCGATCCACCCTTCTTCACCTCCCAGAGTGCTGCGATTACCGGCATGCGCAACGCCACCTGGCCTCTTAGAGTTTTTCTGAAAAGTTAGTAAATGAACACATTTACTTACAACTGCCTAGGAACAGGGCTTGACATACAGTGGGTGTTCAGTAACATTAGCTATTATTATTATTTCTCCTTAATCAATTTAGTAACTTCAGACTTTTGACCAAATCCTATATCCACAAGCCATGTTTGCAGTGTTAAAATTTATTTGGTGCAATAAATAGTATGCCAGGCTTATAATCTAGAGATTGAGTCTTGAAAAAAGACAGGATAAACCAAGTTGAAAGACAAAAGGAAGCAGGGCATGGATATTAATCTTTGTTACATTGTCTCCATAACATCTTTGTTAAATTGTCTCTAATTTCTCAAATGCTCTTTGGACCACTTTTAACATTTTCCTAACCCCCACCCTGTTTTTTTTTGTTGTTGGTTTTTTTTTGTTTTTTGTTTTTTTGAGACAGAGTCTCACTCTGTCACCCAGGCTGCAGTGCAATGGCGTGGTCTTGGCTCATTGCCACCTCCACCTCCCAGGTTCAAGCGATTCTCCCGCTTCAGCCTCCCGAGTAGCGAGTAGCTGGGACTACAGGTGTGTGCCACCACACCTGGCTAATTCTTGTATTTTTAGTAGTAGAGACGGGGTTTCACTATGTTGGCCGGGCTGGTCTCAAACTACTGACCTCGTGATCCGCCCACCTCGGCCTCCCAAAGTGCTGGGATCACAGGTGTGAGCCACCACACCCAGCGCCCCCTTATTAATAAGTTAAATAAAACCTTTAATTTGTCGGAATCAGTATTTTACTTTTTTCAAAGTTATACTTCAACATTCTGTGCCTATTTTGGTTTAGCTGTTTTCCCACTGATTTGAAAGAGTTCTTTATTATGTATTTATATACTCTACTTATTAGAATTTGCATTCTGGTGGTTTTAAAAATATGTCCAAGTAATGATTTGCTACTTCTCCCTTCAAGAGATATACCTTTGTCGAGGCGCAGTGGCTCACACCTGTAATCCCAACACTTTGGGAGGCCAAGGCGGGCAGATCACTTGAAGTTGGGAGTTCGAGACCAGCCTGACCAACAGGGTGAAACCCCATCTCTACTAAAAATAGAAAATTAGCTGGGCGTGGTGGCACATGCCCGTAATCCCAGCTACTTGGGAGGCCAAGGCAGGAGAATCACTTGAACCCGGGAGGTGGAAGTTGTAGTGAGCCTAGATTGTGCCACTCACTCCAGCCTGGGCAACAAGAGCGAAACTCCATCTCCAAAAAAAAAAAAAAAAAAGTACACCTTCATTCTCCTCTTTTTGAGTGTGATCTGAACTTAGTGACTCACTTCTGATGAGTATAATACAGCAGAAGTGATGGTATGTTGCATCTGCAAAAGCACTGCAGTTTGCTTTCTTAGATGTTAGATCTCTTAGATCTCAGATCACTCAGATCCTCTCTCTCTTAGATCACTCACTTTATGGGAAGCCAGCTGCTTTAAGAGCCTTATATAGAGGCCCATGTTTTATGTTTTATTTTAAGTGAGGAAACTGAGGCCTCCAGCCAACAGCCATGTGAATGAGCCATTTCAGAGGCAGATCATCCAACACCAGTCAAGCCTAGGAACAGGGCTTCACACATGGTGGGTGTTCAGTAACACTAGCTATTATTACTATTAACAGATTGCTGGATTTGACATCGAGCTACGAAGTCGCAGACTAATTCCTGGGGTCATCTGTTTAACTGGTGGATAAATTATTTCCATCTCTACTAGACAGAGGTCTACAAGTTGCCCCTACAGAGTTGTAAATTGCCAAGTTCTGTAGTTCTTTTGTCTATTTCCAAGTTTAGATAATTTTTCTTAAAAACACAACAGTCAGGCCGGGTGCAGTGGCTCACGCCTGTAATCCCAGCACTTTGGGAGGTCGAGGCGGGCGGATCACGAGGTCAGGAGTTTGAGACCAGCCTGGCCAGCATGGTGAAACCCCGTCTCTACTAAAAACACACAAAAAATTAGCTGGGCATGCCTGTAATCCCAGCTACTCGGGAGGTTAAGGTAGGAGAATCGCTTGACCCTGGGAGGTGGAGGTTGCAGTAAGCTGAGATCAGGCCACTGCACTCCAGCCTGGGTGACAGAGAGAGACTCCGTCTCAAAAACAAAACAAAACAAAACAAAAAAAGTAACAGGCAGTTTTCAGGAAAAGAAATAAAAAATGGTGAATAAACATGAATAAAGAGGCCCCCAAAAATCCTTTTTTCCCCACTAGGTTGAGAAAAAAAAATCACCCTTTTAATTTTAAGCTATCAGTTTAGTAAATATAAAAACTGTAGAATCTATATTAGAAAGGTTATGAGGAAACAGGTGCTTTTACATTTTTGACTAACATATACATTAGTAGCACAATTTAGATTTATCTATAGATTTCTGAGGGGTAAATATATTAAAGTAAAACTTATACAAAGAAGAAGGATAAGTGTACAACTTGATAGATTTTCAAAAGTGAAGATAACTGTGTAACCAGTATCATGATTAAGAACCTGTTTCTGGCCAGGCACGGTGGCTCATGCCTGTAATCCCAGCACTCTGGGAGGCCAAGCTGGGCGCATCACCTGAGGTCAGGAGTTTGAGACCAGCCTGACCAACATGCCAAAACCCCAGCTCTACTAAAAATATAAAACTTGCCGGGCACGGTGACTCACGCCTATAATCCCAGCACTTTGGGAGGCCGAGGCAGGTGGATCACGAGGTCAAGAGATCGAGACCATCCTGGCTAACATGGTGAAACGCCATCTCTACTAAAAATACAAAAAATTAGCTGGGCGTGGTGGCAGGCACCTGTAGTCCCAGCTACTCGGGAGGCTGAGGCAGGAGAATGGTGTGAACCCGGGAGGTGGAGCTTGCAGTGAGCCGAGATCCCGCCACTGCACTCCAGCCTAGGCGACAGAGCAGGACTCTGTCTCAAAAAAAAAAAAAACAAAAAAAACCAAAAAAAACACAAAAAAACAAAACTTAGCTGGGCATGGTGGTGCACACCTCTAATCCCAGCTACTCGGGAGGCTGAGGTAGGAAAATCACTTGAACCTGGGAGACAGAAGTTGCAGTGAGCCGAGATTGTGCCACTGCACTCCAGCCTGGGCAACAGAGTGAGACTCTGGCTCAAAAAAAAGAACCTGTTTCTGACTCCTGCTACCTCTCCATAATCCAGGTTTCTAACTTTATGGATTACTTTTCCTGTCTCAAAACTTTAAATAAACAGAATCATTCCATTTTGTCTGGTTTCTTTAATTCCCCATTATATTTTTGAGACTCATCATTGTTGTTGCTTATAGCTAGAGTATGTCATTTTTCATTGTTTTATAGTATTTCATTATATAACTATACAATTATTCATTTTATTTCAGATGCAAAATTGCATTCCATTTTATCCAGTAATATTTCTGTGAATTTATCTTTTAGAGACATGCCCCAAGTGTCCAAATACATATGGAAAATAATGATTTTTTTTTCTTTTTTTTTGAGACAGAGTTTCACTCTTGTTGCACAGGCTGGAGTGCAATGGTGCGATCTCGGCTCACTGCAACCTCCGCCTCCCAGGTTCAAGCACTTCTCCTGCCTCAGCTTCCTGAGGAGCTAGGATTACAGGCCTGCACACCACACCCAGCTGATTTTTGCATTTTTAGTAGAGACGGGGTCTTACCATGTTGGCCAGGCTGGTCTCGAACTCCTGGCATCAAGTGATCCACCTGCCTCACCTTCCCGAAGTGCTGAGATTACAGGCGTGAGCCACAGCACTGAGATATATTATTTTCCATTGTGAAAAATTGAAAGTGACCTAAATTTCCATTAACAGACAATCCATCTAGATTATGTGTCCTGGAGCTGGGGCAGTGGGGAAAACAGCATCCTCTATTTGAAATTACTCAGGTAAAATAACTCCATTCCTTTGAGACCTTAAATAAAAATATCCAAAGTCCAATTTCTTTAAAAAATGAAATTTTGGCTGGGCATGTGGCTCACACCTGTAACCCCAACACTTTGATGGAGGTGGGCGGATCACTTGAGGTCAGGAGTTTGAGACCAGCCTGACCAACATGAGAAATCCCATCTCTACTAAAAATACAAAATTAGCCAGGAGTGGTGGCGCATGCCTGTAATCCCAGCTACTCAGGAAGTTGAGGCAGGAGAATCACTTGAACCCGGGAGGCAGAGGTTGCGGTAAGCCAAGATCGCACCATTGCATTCCAGCCTGGGCAACAAGAGCAAAACTCTGTCTTAAAAATAAATAAATAATTGTATCATTTTGTTTTTATAAGAATAAATAGGCTGGGTGCAGTGGCTCACGCCTGAAATCCCAGCACTTTGGGAGGCCAAGGCGGGGGGTAGATCACCTGAGGTCAGGAGTTCGAAACCAGCCTGGCTGACATGGTGAAACCCTGTCTCTACTAAAAATACAATAATTAGCTGGCCATGGTGGTGCACGCCGGTAATCCCAGCTACTTAGGAAACTGAGGCAGGAGAATCACTTGAACCCGGGACGCGGAGGTTGCAGTGAGCTGAGATCGCGCCATTGCACTCCAGCCTGGGCAACAAGAGCGAAACTCCATCTCAAAAAAAAAAAAAAAAAAAAAAAAGAATAAATAGCAAATTCTGTTGATTAGACTTCCAAAATATAGGCAATATCCATGTACTTGTTTCTATATACATTACTTTCATCCTAGCCTAATCCATCATGATCTCCAGCCTGCACTATTATACGCCTCCTAGCCAATGTCCCTGCTTTCTTTCCTACTTCTCCACTATTTATTTTCCCTAGAGCAGCCATGGTGTACTGTCTCAGATATAATTCAGATTGTGTTACTCTTTTATTGCTCTCACATTAAAATTTTTGCCATGGCCTATGTGGGCTGGTCCTTTCCTGTCTCTGTGACCTCATCTCCCTCTACTCTCCCTTGCTCACTATGCTCCAGACCCACTCACATTAATTGTACTTGCTGTTTTCTGCCTGGAATGCTCTGTTCCTAGATAATCACAAGATCGTCCTTTATATCATATATGCCTCAACTCAAATGTCACCTCCTCAAAGTCTTAATCACCCAAACTTAAGTGGTATCCCTCCATTACCCCTCTAAAATTCACTCATCCAATTTTGCCTTCATGGAATTTATCCATTATCTGAAATTATCTTTATTTACTTGTTTATTATCTGTTTCCCTTCTGGAATGAAAACTCAACAAAAGCAGAAAACTTGCTGGTCTTCAACAGTGCCTATAACTGCCTGGCTCAGGGTAGGCACTGAAATAAATATTTGGTATATGAAAAAGGGTGTATTGCTAAACTACAAATTGTATTTACCTTAACTTCTTAAATTCTAGGATCCAATGTCAAATTCCACAGAGTCTAACATTATAGGTTATATTCCATTTTTAAAAATCAACTTTTATTCTACTCAAAATTTTTTTTTTTTGAGACAGAGTCTTGATGGAGTGCAGTAGCATGATGTCGGCTCACTACAACCTCTGCCTCCCAGGTTCAAGTGATTCTCCTGCCTTAACCTCCCGAGTAGCTGGGATTATAGGCGTGTGCCACCATGCCCAGATAACTTTTGTATTTTTAGTAGAGACGGGGTTTTGCCATGTTGGCCAGGCCGGTCTCGAACTCCTGACCTCAAGTGATCCGCCCACGTCAGCCTCCCAAAGTGCTGGGATTACAGGCCTGAGGCACTGTGCCCAGCCAAAAAAATTTTCTTACATTCCCTTTTATATGACTGGTGGGAGAAGAGAGATGTTAGAGAAAACAGGGAAGTCGGCAGAGCCAGAGGAATGCCCAAATGTTATCCTATTAAGGCAGACAAATCTTCAGACATGCTATGATTTCTCTCCCAGCCCAGTTTTACCATCTGAACCCACCCAGACTTATTCACTAAAACATAACCACTTGGTTGCGCGCGGTGGCTCACTCCTGTAATCCCAGCACTTTGGGAGAACGAGGAGGGCGGATCACGAGGTCAGGAGGTCAAGACCATCCTGGCTAACACGGTGAAACCCCGTCTCTACTAAAAATACAAAAAAACTAGCCGGGCGTGGTGGCGGGCGTCTGTAGTCCCAGCTACTCGGGAGGCTGAGGCAGGAGAATGGCGTGAATCCGGGAGGCGGAGCTTGCAGTGAGCCGAGATCGCGTCACTGCACTCCAGTCTGGGGGACACAGCGAGACTCCCTCTCAAAACAAACAAACAAACAAACAAAAACCCTGGCCACTTGCTGGCGAAGTCTGTGATTCAGTAACTACAACTGCAAATATATCAAGAGGGTTGGTCATACAATAAGAGAGAGTAATGCAGTACTACTCAGGAAGATAGATATAAAGACCTGGAGGTCGGCGCGGTGGCTCCCGCCTGTAATCCCAGCACTTTCGGAGGCTGAGTCTGGTGGATCACCTGAGGTCGGGAGTTTGCGACCAGCCTGACCAACATAGAGAATACCGTTTCTACTAAAAATACAAAATTAGCCGGGCGTGGTGGTGCACGCCTGTGATCCCAGCTACTCAAGAGGTTGAGGCAGGAGAATCACTTGAACCCAGGAGGTGGAGGTTGCGATGAGCCGAGATCATGCCACTGCACCCCAGCCTGGGCAACAAGAGTGAAACTCCGTCTCAAAAAAAAAAAAACAAAACAAACAAACCTGCAAATACTCATTCTGTCCAGAGCTTATGTTTTTTGAGTTAATAACATATTTCCTAGCTTACGTTTGGTTTTACTTGTGCTTTTGCTTCTGAGAAAATAGATGTACAAAGCATCGGCATGGTTGCAGGAGCAGTGACAGGCATAGTGGCTGGAGCCCTGCTGATTTTCCTCTTGGTGTGGCTGCTAATCCGAAGGAAAGACAAAGAAAGATATGAGGAAGAAGAGAGACCTAATGAAATTCGGTAAACCTCCCACATCCCTACTTTTACGGGGCTTCTGTTTTAGGGCCAGCACTATAGTGACCAGCCAACATAAATGTTCCCAGTTTTCTCTTAACCATGAATCTGTTAAAAGGATTATCCTGGTAGGTAGGAAGTTCCAGCCTAGGGACAGAGGGTATGGTTTACCTGGACTTTATTGTGAAACTATCTTATCCTCAACAAACACTTAAAAGTTAAATTAGGCTGGGCGTGGTAGGTCATGCCTGTAATCCCAGCACTTTGGGAGGCCGAGGCGGGAGGATTACTTGAGGCCAGGAGTTTGAAACCAGCCTTGTCAACATAGTTAGACTCCATCTTTACAAAAGAAAAATAAATAAATAAATAACCAGGCATGGTAGCCCATGCCTGTAGTCCCAGCTACTCAGGAGGCTGAGACAGGAGGATGACTTTAGCCCAGGAGTTTAAGACTACAGTGAGCCATGATTGCACCTCTGTACTCCAGCCTGGGTGACAGAGAAAGAGCATGTCTCAAAAAAAAAAAAAAAAAAAGTATGTACATATGTATATACATAAAACAGTTCAATTTACATTACTTCTGATTCACTTCTACCCATAATGGGCATACAATGAAGAATGGACATAGCCTATAGGTCATGAAAGGGTTTATGCAGACAAACCCTAAATCAGGAGGTGTGCTGTCTAGACCATCTCAATGGTAAGGTCCTATCCTCCCAGTATAATAGAGTTGACCTGTGGGCTAACAAAATATACATTTGTGTGAGCCAAGCATTAAGTCTTAAGATACGAGGAAGCACCTATGACCCTAAATGGTTGCCTTCCGATGGTATTATCTGAGGTTCACAGCTTCGGAAACCTCAGAAGGAAGCAATCATACTGGAAGCAATCACAGATCTGCCAGTGTTAATCTTTGCTGTTTTTTCTCTTCAGAGAAGATGCTGAAGCTCCAAAAGCCCGTCTTGTGAAACCCAGCTCCTCTTCCTCAGGCTCTCGGAGCTCACGCTCTGGTTCTTCCTCCACTCGCTCCACAGCAAATAGTGCCTCACGCAGCCAGCGGACACTGTCAACTGACGCAGCACCCCAGCCAGGGCTGGCCACCCAGGCATACAGCCTAGTGGGGCCAGAGGTGAGAGGTTCTGAACCAAAGAAAGTCCACCATGCTAATCTGACCAAAGCAGAAACCACACCCAGCATGATCCCCAGCCAGAGCAGAGCCTTCCAAACGGTCTGAATTACAATGGACTTGACTCCCACGCTTTCCTAGGAGTCAGGGTCTTTGGACTCTTCTCGTCATTGGAGCTCAAGTCACCAGCCACACAACCAGATGAGAGGTCATCTAAGTAGCAGTGAGCATTGCACGGAACAGATTCAGATGAGCATTTTCCTTATACAATACCAAACAAGCAAAAGGATGTAAGCTGATTCATCTGTAAAAAGGCATCTTATTGTGCCTTTAGACCAGAGTAAGGGAAAGCAGGAGTCCAAATCTATTTGTTGACCAGGACCTGTGGTGAGAAGGTTGGGGAAAGGTGAGGTGAATATACCTAAAACTTTTAATGTGGGATATTTTGTATCAGTGCTTTGATTCACAATTTTCAAGAGGAAATGGGATGCTGTTTGTAAATTTTCTATGCATTTCTGCAAACTTATTGGATTATTAGTTATTCAGACAGTCAAGCAGAACCCACAGCCTTATTACACCTGTCTACACCATGTACTGAGCTAACCACTTCTAAGAAACTCCAAAAAAGGAAACATGTGTCTTCTATTCTGACTTAACTTCATTTGTCATAAGGTTTGGATATTAATTTCAAGGGGAGTTGAAATAGTGGGAGATGGAGAAGAGTGAATGAGTTTCTCCCACTCTATACTAATCTCACTATTTGTATTGAGCCCAAAATAACTATGAAAGGAGACAAAAATTTGTGACAAAGGATTGTGAAGAGCTTTCCATCTTCATGATGTTATGAGGATTGTTGACAAACATTAGAAATATATAATGGAGCAATTGTGGATTTCCCCTCAAATCAGATGCCTCTAAGGACTTTCCTGCTAGATATTTCTGGAAGGAGAAAATACAACATGTCATTTATCAACGTCCTTAGAAAGAATTCTTCTAGAGAAAAAGGGATCTAGGAATGCTGAAAGATTACCCAACATACCATTATAGTCTCTTCTTTCTGAGAAAATGTGAAACCAGAATTGCAAGACTGGGTGGACTAGAAAGGGAGATTAGATCAGTTTTCTCTTAATATGTCAAGGAAGGTAGCCGGGCATGGTGCCAGGCACCTGTAGGAAAATCCAGCAGGTGGAGGTTGCAGTGAGCCAAGATTATGCCATTGCACTCCAGCCTGGGTGACAAAGCAAGACTCCATCTCAAAAAAAAAAAAAAATCAAGGAAGGATAAAAGGAAGTTCAGTATTGTACCACACTTGGAACTTCCTCCATTTCTTCCATTTTAGAAGGATATGAACCTGGAACTTTTGATGATTCTAAGCCTTAAACTATCAAAAAGATCAGGGATTGCCAATGCTTCTAATGGCACTGCAAGTATATGCCATAACCGTTCCCTCCTAAAAGTGAAAAATGAGAGAAATTCAGTATTTTCCCAGGCTCAGCATCCAGAAGTCTAGCTCTGGGCTGGAAGAAAAGGGTACTAATATTTAGGGAAGAGATGAGAATAAGTAGTGGGTGGCAGGAGAGGGCTGAGCTAGTGCCTGCTAACATTTTAGTTGTATCTTGGAAAGATTTAGCAAAAATAACTCACCAGGATAGCTGCTGAAGAGTTGATGAATGGGAGAAGAAAGATGTTTGAGAAATAAAGAAAACAGCAGCCTGCAATACAATAACTTGCCTTTTTAATAGTTTTGATTACTCTTGATACCTACAGCACAAATGCTGGACCTGAATCAGCTCTTCAAGGACCCTAGCACAAATGTCAACTGATCACCTCTGGGAGAGTAGAAAACTTTTTTTTTTTTGAGACGAAGTCTCGCTCTGTTGCCCAGGCTGGAGTGCAGTGGCACCATCTCAGCTCACTGCAGCGTCCGCCTCTTGGGTTCAAGTGATTCTCCTGCCTTGTCCTCCTGAGTCGCTGGTATTACAGGTGCCTGCCATCACACCCAGCTAATTTTTGGAGTTCTGATAGAGACAGGGTTTCTCCATGTTGGCCAGGCTTGTCTCAAGCTCCTGACCTCAAGTGACCTACCCACCCTTGGCCTCCCACAGTGCTGGAAGCCACTGCACCTGGCTCAGAATACTTTTTTTTTTGAGATGCAGTCTTGCTCTCATCACGCAGGCTGGAGTGCAGTGGCGTATCTCGGCTCACTGCGACCTCCACCTCCCGAGTTCAAGCGATTCTCCTTCCTCAGTCCCCCAAGTAGCTTGGATTATAGGTGTGCGCCACCACGTACAGCTAATTTTTGTATTTTTAGTAGAGATGGGGTTTCGCCATGTTGACCAGGCTGGTCTCAAAACGCCTGACCTCAGGTGATCCACCCACCTCGGCCCCACAAAGTGCTAGGATTACAGGTGTGAGCCACCATGCCCGGCCCAGAATACTTTTTAAAAGAAGAGCAGGTTAGAGGAAAGAAAAAAATTGATGCTGAATGTGGTGATGAAAGCATGTTTCTAAAATGGGAAGCAGATGCTTAAAGAGGAAAGACTAATCTGGGATTTTGCCCCATTTCTCTGGTTTTTCACTCCTATATTTAATTCTCACAATCGTGTCGTCACATAGTGCAAAAAACAAAATTCTTGTAAAGTCCCCAGGAGTTTATGCTTGGGTGAAAGTTTTAGCCTGAGTATTTTCTTCCTCTAAAAAAGGTGGGAAATGAGACATTGAGGAATTAACATATAAATGTCTGCTATGGGTTTAAGAGAACTGGCGTATTTGGAATGCTTCTTACACTAACACTGTCTCATTGTAAAATATAAAACCCCTTACTCTAACTACATTTTTATTCCTCTGGTAGTGTGGTATCCAGGCAACATATCACTTCTGCTATGTAATTCTAAGAATTCTCATTTCTAGAGTACCTGAGCCAAACAAATACACAACGGAAGCTGCAGCTGTATCATCACTAGCAATTTGCTCATCATTATTTACTACCTTTGAACCTAAGGTTTCCTGCCTATGCTTTTGAAAGCAAAAATCAGTCTCCTTTGCATGAAAAAGAGCCTTAGATTTTTAAACATGTTAGTTACCAGAATGCTAAAATACCAGTTGATTACCCAAATTATTTTGGAAATCTATCCATAATGGAAGTCTACAACAAACACATAAAACAGATTACACTAAGAGCTGAGAAATTCAAAGGAACTGAAGATTCTGAGAGATAAACTGTTCAAGTCTTAGCAATGATACTGCACTTCTCTTTGACAGGTTCTGGGCTTAAGTTAGAGGCCCTACTGGTTCCAAACCATATTCCACTGACTTTGCAAGTAAAATAAATTTGATTCTGAAATAGGAAACAAAAAAAGGAGAAATAACCGAATAGTAGAAGAAAAACTGTTTGTAGGAAGACGATGCAGATGGAATGATGTGGACATTGAGTAACCATGTCAATAAAATATATAAACCAAACTTAAATTTGTGAAATAAGGAAGTTGGTACCTTTGTTGTTACAGTGTATAAAAACAATTTCGGAACTGCTGTTGCAAAAAGACATATATAGTTTTGCTTCCTTCTGGTGTTAAGCTGTTTATATTTCAGTTTCAGTTTTAACTTCTAAGTTGCCTTGTAATTGGGACTGTGTTTCAGCATCACAAAAACCAAATATTTATTATGGATGCATCTGTATCAGCAATTAAAAAATAAACAAGTAAAAGTGATACTGTAGGAGAAGCTGAAGCTCATATAACCTGGAATGGAAATTTGTTTATCAGCTTGCTGCCAACAGAAGAACAGAAGAACTCAGACTGAATACGATCTATTATTTATCAATTTCAGTCACGAATTTACCAATTACTTTTTTCTCTCACAAGGCAAGATGCTAGGTATAAGTTGCACAGGGGATACCAAGAGTTGCTGTCCTTAAGGATTTATCAAAATTAATGAAATAATAATTACTAAGTAAGTATTTTGTGCCTAGGTGAAGTGCCAACAGAGAAGCACACACTAAGGGGTTCAAATAAATCTGAAAAGTATGCACTAAGAGATTCAAATACATCTGGAAAAAACTTCACAGAGGTCATTGCAAAATAGCAGCAATAATAGTAATCATCACTTACTGAGCCATCACGTGCCAGTCACACTAAGTACATTATACATTTTGTCTCAATGTCATACTCACATCAACCCTATAAGGAAATATTTGTATTCACATTCTACAAGTGAGAAATGTAAGGCTCAAAGAGGTTAAGTCAGTAGTAGAGCCAGCATTTATTTTCACTTTTATTTTTATTTTGAGACCGAGTCTAGCTTTGTCGCCCAGGCTGGAGTGCAGTGGCACAATCTCAGCTCACTGCAAGCTCCGCCTCCCGGGTTCACGCCATTCTCCTGCCTCAGCCACCCGAGTACCTGGGACAACAGGCGCCTGCCACCACGCCTGGCTAATTTTTTGTATTTTTAGTAGCGACGGGTTTCACCGTTAGCCAGGATGGTCTCAATCTCCTGACTTCATGATCCGCCCATCTCAGCCTTCCAGTGCTGGGATTACAGGCATGAGCCACTGTGCCCGGCCCTGGAGCCAGGATTTAAACCCAGCCACTGTTAGTATATTCCATCAGAACTGACAGATCCTGATTCATCATCATCTTCCCTCCTGAAATCCTCAAACTTTTACACTCAGCTATAGGCTTTCTCTCCTCTTTGCTTTCTTCCTTGACCTAAAGCTGTTCACCATACTTGGGACACACTTAGCTCACTCACACAAGTCCAAATCCTTTAGTTTTCCCTTGTTCTGCAAAACAAGATACAATTCCCAATTTTATAATTGCCTGATTTGTCTTTACATGGTAATGATGGGCTTAGATCATGTAATTTTTGTTGAATGTTAAGCACAGAGTATCTTGAGCACATCAAGATTAAATCTGTCCAATCTTCTGAGAGGCAAAAAGATAAGGTACATTAAAACTACAAAATAATAGGTACAGTTGATTCTTCAAAGATGATACAGTCATATCAATTTATTTAAAATGTAGGCTGGGGGCCATGGCTCACGCCTGTAATTCCAACACTTTGGGAGGCTGAGGTAGGTGGATCACTTGAGGTCAAGAGTTCAAGACCAGCCTGGCCACGATGGTGAAACTCCATCTCTACTAAAAATACAAAAACTAGCTGGGCGTGGTGGCACATGCCTGTGGTCCCAACTACTCGGGAGGCTGAGGCAGGTCAATCACTTGAACCCGGGAGGTGGAGGTTGCAGTGAGCGGAGATCGTACCACTCCACTCCAGCCTGGGTGACAGAGCAAGACTCTCAAAAAAAAAAAAAAATTATACAGTTCAAGGACCCCATGTTTAGTAATTATGTTTACAATTATTTACTTCTTTTTTTTTTTTTTTTTTTTTTGAGACGCAGTCTCACTCTGTTGCCCAGGCTGGAGTGCAGTGGTGTGATCTTGGCTCACTGCTGCAACCTCCGCCTCCTGGGTTCAAGCGATTCTCCTGCCTCAGCCTCCCGAGTAGCTGGGACTACAGGCGCACACCATCACGCCTGGCTAATTTTTGTATTTTTAGCAGAGATGGGCTTTCACCATGTAAGCCAGGCTGGTCTCCAACTCCTGACCTCAGGTGATCCGCCAGCCTCCCAAAGTGCTGGGATTACAGGCGTGAGCCACTGTACCCAGCCCTCTGTCATCTTTTATATCATATGTTTTTGTTACCACTTGTGGATGGAAAAGTAAGTTATAAAAAAGGAAAACTCAATGAGTTTGGCTACTTGTAAGCAGCTCTGCTAAAGATTTCAATTAGTAAAACAATTTAAAAATTAGGGCCAGCCACAGTGGCTCTTGCCTGTAAACCTAGCACTTTGGAAGGCCAAAGCAGGAGGATTGCTCGAGTCCAGGAGTTTGAGACCAGCTTGGGCAACACAGTAAGACCCCATCTCTGCAAAAGGAAAACAAACAAACAAAAAAAAAAACTTTTTTTTTTTTTTTTTTTTTGAGACGGAGTCTTGCTCTGTTGCCAGGCTGGAATGCAGTGGTGTGATCTTGACTCACTGTAGCCTCCACCTCCTGGGTTCAAGTGATTCTCCTCCCTCAGCCTCCTGAGAAGCTGGGACTAGAGGTGCGTGCCACCATGCCCAGCTAATTTTTGTATTTTTAGTAGAAACAGCGTTTCAGCATGTTGGCCAGGATAGTCTCGATCTCTTGACCTTGTGATCCTCCTGCCTTGGCCTCCCAAAGTGCTGGGATGACAGGCGTGAGCCACCGCGCCCAGCCAAAAAAAAATCTTAAAAATTAGCCGGGTGCAGTGGCTCACGCCTGTCATCCCAGCACTTTGGGAGGCTGAGGCGGGTGGATCACCTGAGGTCAGGAGTTCGAGACCAGCCTGACCAACATGGAGAAACCCCATCCCTACTAAAAATAGAAAAAATTAGCTGGGCATGGTAGCACATGCCTGTAATCCCAGCTACTTGGGAGGCTGAGGCAGGAGAATTGCTTAAACCTGGGAGGCGGAGGTTGCAGTGAGCTGAGATTGCGCCATCGCACTCCAGCCTGGGCGACAAAAGTGAAACTCCATCTCAAAAAATAAATAAATAAATAAATAAATAAATATTAAAAATTAAGCTGCTCTGAAAAAAATTTTAAATTAAAATAGGCGGGGCGCAGTGGCTCACGCCTGAGTCCCAGCACTTTGGGAGGCCGAGGCGGGTGGATCATGAGGTCAGGAGTTCGAGACCAGACTGACCAACATGGCGAAAACCCCTCTCTACTAAAAATGCTAAAAAAATTAGCCGGGCATGGTGGTGTGCGCCTGTAATCCCATCTACTCAGGAGGCTGAGGCAGGAGAACTGCTTGAACCCAGGAGGGGGAGGCTGCAGTGAGCTGAGATTGCACCATTGCACTCCAGACTGGGTGACAGTGAGACTCCATCTCAGATTAAAAAAAAAAAATTAAAATAATAAGGAGCACCTTTTTTTTCTTTAAGAGACAGGTTCTCACTCTGTCGCCCAGGCTGGAGCTCAGTGGCACAATCACGGCTCACTGCAGCCTCAACCTCCCAGGCTCAAACCATCTTCCCACCTCAGCCTCCCGAGTACCTGGGACTACAGGCACATGCCAACACGCCCAGCTAATTTTTGTATTTTTTGTAGAGATGGGGTCTCCTTATGTTGCCCAGGCTGGCCTTGAACTCCTGGGCTCAAGCCATCTACCAGCTTTGGCCTCCCAAAATGCTGGGATTACAGTGCCTGGCCAAGAGCGCATTTTATACCGCACCTCCTCTCCATAGTGCAGGGGCTAAACAAGATGACTAAGAGTTTGAAAGTAGAAAGCAACCTAGCCTGAGTTAGAAGCATAAGCTGTAGAATAAAATCTGATTTTGAAAAATTCAGGGTCAGCTAGAGATCTTAAGCAAATTATTTGACCTATTTGAACCTCAATTTCTTTACCTGAAAATGCGGACAATATGATCTGCCAAAAATAGTTGTGAGGGTCATGTAAGAGAATATATGTCAAATGCTTAGCATGGTGCCCTGCATAAAGCACTGAATAAAACATCAATGGCAAGGGCTCTACTACCAGAAATACAATAGGCATGAGAATGTTCTAAAGCGTATAATCTGGTTTAGGAAGGTAAAGCATAATGCAGGAAAAAGATATTGGGGCTATGTTTATGTATGCTGTTCTCCAGTTGCAATAATTTATACATGGCTGCAGTTAGAAATCAAAATATTAATAACAGCTTACATCATTCTGGTTTCAAATTTCCCTGATGCAATGCAGTACATACACTCCAGTATTTGGGCAATCAGGGCATACATATATTGCATCTTTTAGTCATGTCACCGGGTCACAGGAGGATTGTTTTTAATATCTGAGTTTTTAAAGCAAGGGACTGTAAGTTTACTATTCTTTAATACTAATTTTTTAAAAATGCATACTTAGTAACAGTACACCACATAATCCTAACACAAATTATCCAATTAAATTCTAAACCTTAAATTTTTTTCATTTTTTTTTGTTTTTTGAGACAGGGTTTTGCTCCGTCACTCAGGCTGGAGTGCAGGGGCACAACCATGGCTCACTGCATTCTCCACCTCTTGAGCTCAAGCGATCCTCCCATCTCATTTTTTCAGAGATGGGGGTCTCACTATTTTGCCTAGGCTGGTTGAGACTTTTCAACAGAAGCAACTGATACCACAAAACTATTAAATAATTTCTTCATAAACTGAGGCCAGCACGGCGGCTCACTCCTGTAATCCCAGCACTTTGGGAGGCCGAGGTGGGAAGATTACTTGAGGCCTGAGACCAGTCTGACCAACATGGTGAAACCCCGTCCCTACTAAAAATAACAAAAATTAGCGGGGCGTGGTGGTGGTGCGGGCCTCTAATCTCAGCTACTTGGGAGGCTGAGGCAGGAGAATTGCTTGAACCCAGGAGGCGGAGGTTGCAGTGAGCCAAGATCACAGCACTGCACTCCAGCCTGGATGACAGTTATAGACTCCACATAAAAAAAAAAAACAAAAAAAACAGGCCAGGCGTGGTAGCTCATGCCTGTAATCCCAGCACTTTGGGAGGCCGAGGCAGGCGGATTACCTGAGGACAGGAGTTTGAGACCAGCCTGGCCAATATGGTGAAACCCCGTCTACTAAAATAGAAAAATTAGCCGGGCGTGGTGGCATGCACCTGTAGTCTCAGCTACTCGCGAGGCTGAGGCAGGGGAATCACTTGAACCTGGGAGGCGGAGGTCGCAGTGAGCCAAGTTCCTGCCACTGCACTCCAGCCTGGGGGACAGAGCGAGACTCCATCTTTTCTGGGAGACTCCATTGGGAGACTGTCTTTTTTGGGAGACGGAGTCGTGCCTTAGTTTCCCCATTTACAAAATGACGATCATAATAGTTGCTACCGCTTAGATTTACGGTGAGAATTAAATGAGGTTAAGGCTGGCATGTGGTAGGCACACAAAAATGTTAAATCATTATCCTTTTATCCAGTCAGAAGTCCTAGGCTCTAGGCTCCACTGCAGTCCCATGCAACCAAACTTTAATTTTAGATCTTAACTGTGTCATTTGAAACCCTGTGCGTTTGAAGTGGTGGAGACAGGACCTTTATCATATTCTGAGCTTTAAATATATAAACGGTAAATCATTCCATTTAATAAGACATAGCCCAAGTCCCAGAACGCGTTTTGAGAGTAACCAGAAACAGAGGTTATTTGTTCTGCTTTCTTTTATCACTGCTATTGGATGGGATATCCCAAACAAGTGGATGTGCGCCCCAATTCTATTTTCCACTATTCAATGATTAAAATAATTACAAAAACGCAAAATACAGCACAGGGTGTAGTTTAAAATTTGTGCTTGTTAAACTCTAGGCACTGGGGTGTGAAAAGAAAGATTCCAGATAACATTACTAGCAGTTAGCGTGGGGGACTGGGGGTTCCAAATACCAAAGGAAACTGAAAACAGTGGCTCACAGTACATATCTTAACTCTTTCTGGAGTTGAGTTCAATTTATTTCCAGGAAGGAAATTACACTGTAGCGTAACTAACAAAAAACATAAAACAAATCTTGAACCAAAAAAAAGCTAGATTTGATTCTAGCTTACCCAGCTGCTTATCTTCCCACAAATGATTATCTCTGAGCTGCATTTTTCCCCTGATATGGGGATGAATAATACACACCTTAGAGAATTGTGTTGATGATTAAATGACAAATGAAAGCATTTTGTATGTAGTGAAAGCATTGTATAAAATTAAATTCTTGGGACGTGGGAGAGGCTAAGAATATATCTCCATGAACTCTAAGCCAACATTCCTCCCCAAAAGGAAAATATGAAAAGGAAATTCTTCATATGTTTGAGTCTGTCTCTACCCTTTACTGGCTTTGACAAGGACAAGATGTCCTCGCTCTTCTGACAGCCTTTTTCGCAGTCTAGAGACCTTCTAATTCCAGCCCTGCTACTAAAAGTTCTTTTGGTGTAGCCTTAAAAAATCTTTTCCCCCATCGGTGCCTATTTATCTACTAAATAGGAATAACAGCTACCTCGCCTGCTTGAAAGGATACAGGGAGTGTTCAAGGTACCTGAGACAGGCTCTTGGAACCACAAGGCCCCACATATCCGCGGCCATGCACAACATTGCACAATTCAAAATTCTAGGCACCATTGTTTTGTGCACCAGCTCAGTCACGTTTTCAAAGCGTCGGTATGGTCTGTCGTTTAATTTTTGATGAAAGTCAAACCAGGAAAGATATCACCTCATGTTACTGAAAATACAAACGTTCAGAAAGTCTAAATCAAGGACGCACGGCTACTGGAACCTATGATTCCTAATGCCTGGTTCACCTAACCAAGAACACACTCGCCACCATTTAAACCTGTTTATTTTATAAACAACGGGGAAATGTAGGGCTTGGGCTAGTTGGGGAAGGACTGAGCCAAGAAGCCGAATCTGTTCTAGACGGAGGTGGGAAGGGGCCTAACGGTCAGGGCTCAGAGAAGCGGTTTCGCCTTCTTTTCCGCGGAGGGATCCAGACACGACCGCGTCCTGAGGCGGTTCTGAAAAGCCGGGCCCCTTAAACCTCTGCGTCGGGGGCTGCCTCCCGACAGTTGCCGTAGGGAAATGCAGGTGCTGGGAGGCCTGCCGAGCTAACCCGCCCCACCCCGCGGCGGCCTGGCGGCTCCCTCCAATCCCAATCCTGGGGGGCCGTGAGCGAGCAGCCCTAGTGGCACCCTGAAGCCGGAACCTTCGCCCCAGCCCCTCGGGGTCAGCCCTTGTCCAAAGCCACGCTATGAAATACAGATTCGCGAAACCCGGGGCACTTAGAGGCCCGTCTGGAACACGAAGGTGGGGCATGGAAAGGAGGATTCGGACGTGGGTGGGGGAGGGGAGCAACAACCTTCGCAGCCATTTTGTCCTCGCTCCACTTCCGTCTTCTCCTGCCCGGCTCCCGCGCCCAAACCCCTCCCTTCAGGCCCCGCGCGATTCCGCCCCCAGTTCTGTGCCGGCCAAGATCCCGGCTAGCGCCGCTATCATTGGTTAGTTCCAAGTTTGCCCGCCCCTCTTCCTCCTCCTTTTTCCGCCCCCTCCCTCCCGCGGAAGCTGGGGGCGCATGCGTAGAGGTGGACGCTCCCCTCCCCCGCCCGGGGTAACTGAGGACTCCCGCGCGCGGACTCGCTGCGCCCCACCCTCCCTTTCCCCGGGGCCGTCCGGAGAGCGGGGGCGAGCTTGAAAGTTCCAGAACGCTGCGGTGAGTGCGTTATCGTGAGGCGGAGCGCGGTGGGGTGGGTGCGGAAGGGGGCGAGGCCCGAGGAGTGGAGCCGGGCTTGTGATTGGGTCTTGTAAGGGCAGCCGGGCGTCTATTGGCCGGGGAAGCCGTAATGGCAGGCAGCAGGGGCGGGCCCCTTCTGGAAGGTTCTAAGATAGGGTATAAGAGGCAGGGTGGCGGGCGGAAACCGGTCTCATTGAACTCGCCTGCAGCTCTTGGGTTTTTTGTGGCTTCCTTCGTTATTGGAGCCAGGCCTACACCCCAGGTAAAACCTCTGCTCAAGAGTTGGGTTGTGGGTCTGGGAGCGTGCAGCCTCCACACAGGCCTGTTGGGCTTGCTGAGGCTTGGGGGTTCTGAGAATCTCGTCGAGGCGAGTGTGCGGCTCCTTCTACCGGCTTAAAGGGCCTCAGTTTTCGGTGGGATGGCAGCGGTATTTGGTTGCAGCCGGCAGGACGGAAATGTAGGGAGTGGGCCGCAGTGGCCCCAGGGGAGGCTGGGAGACGCCCGGCGGCCGCGTGGCGGGGGAGGGTTGCTGCATCGGTTTGCCTGGCGCGCGGGGAAGTGGAGCCAGCGTTTTCTTTCACCCAGTTCCCTGCTTAGTCCAGTCCCACCGTGGTTCTTCAGAGCTGTTCTTGGCGTGCTTCCAGTATGGGGGTACATTCCGGAGTAGTTAAAAGCCCGTTGACTCCCGGGGGCACTGGCACCTGGCGAGGGAGGGGAACAGACAGTGCTCAGTTCGGGGTAAGACCACGTGTTGAGCAACGCCCCACGCCGTCTGGGTAGATGGGTCCTTCATCTAGGGCGTGCTCTGCTGCGGTTGGCACGGCAACCTGGACTGCAGCACTAGTTCTGGACCTCGCGCGTGCTTAGACAGGAGGTGATGGGCACTATTACCTCTTGGCAGTGGCCATACGTTTTTCCTGGTTAAGTGTTCTGTTAAGGGATGAGGGAAATATTTTGATTAATTGAATTTTTAAACCAGATTTTTCTTTTTTTCAGCAACCATGTCCAAGGGACCTGCAGTTGGTATTGATCTTGGCACCACCTACTCTTGTGTGGGTGTTTTCCAGCACGGAAAAGTCGAGATAATTGCCAATGATCAGGGAAACCGAACCACTCCAAGCTATGTCGCCTTTACGGACACTGAACGGTTGATCGGTGATGCCGCAAAGAATCAAGTTGCAATGAACCCCACCAACACAGTTTTTGGTGAGTTCCTAATTTTAAATGACAGAACAAATATAACAGGGCTAGGAAGCACAAAAGTTTATGAAACGTGAGGAGGGAACTTTTTGATTTTAGAAAAACTGAGCTGAGAGACTTGTTATCAAGTCTGTTATAAAACAGGTTGTAGAAACCTTTCAGGCTGAAATCTGGATAACGTAGGAGGTTGAAGTTTGAACCTTTGCTACCTATATGGTAGTTGAATTCACCTACCTATGAACTGTTAGGTATTTGAGTAATCATGGACTTGAGTTTTATCAGAAGAGCTATGAAATTGAAAGTGTTTTCATTTGACACCTTTTACAGATGCCAAACGTCTGATTGGACGCAGATTTGATGATGCTGTTGTCCAGTCTGATATGAAACATTGGCCCTTTATGGTGGTGAATGATGCTGGCAGGCCCAAGGTCCAAGTAGAATACAAGGGAGAGACCAAAAGCTTCTATCCAGAGGAGGTGTCTTCTATGGTTCTGACAAAGATGAAGGAAATTGCAGAAGCCTACCTTGGGAAGGTGAGGTTGGTTTTTCAGTATGGGGTGCATTCCGGAGTAGTTAAAAGCCCGATGACTCCCGGGGGCACTGGCACCTGGCGAGGGAGGGGAACAGATGGGGCTCAGCTCAGGGTTAAGACCACGTGCCCAACAGTGCCCTAGGCTCTCTAGGTAGATGGGTCTGTCAACACCAGAAACCAGTGAATCTTGACAATTACACAGTAATTTACATTTTGGTGGGGGGGGTGCTCCAGCTGTTCTTTCACCAGCATTAATCCATTTGCTGGAGTTTGCATATATGTAAGTATAATAGTTACCAATCTGTGGTCTTTTCCTTATTCCTAGACTGTTACCAATGCTGTGGTCACAGTGCCAGCTTACTTTAATGACTCTCAGCGTCAGGCTACCAAAGATGCTGGAACTATTGCTGGTCTCAATGTACTTAGAATTATTAATGAGCCAACTGCTGCTGCTATTGCTTACGGCTTAGACAAAAAGGTATGTACCATTTGTGATGCAAGTTCGGATTATTTTAAGATTAATTTGATCCATCGTAAATTTAAATGAGATTGTTTTTAACGGCAGGTTGGAGCAGAAAGAAACGTGCTCATCTTTGACCTGGGAGGTGGCACTTTTGATGTGTCAATCCTCACTATTGAGGATGGAATCTTTGAGGTCAAGTCTACAGCTGGAGACACCCACTTGGGTGGAGAAGATTTTGACAACCGAATGGTCAACCATTTTATTGCTGAGTTTAAGCGCAAGCATAAGAAGGACATCAGTGAGAACAAGAGAGCTGTAAGACGCCTCCGTACTGCTTGTGAACGTGCTAAGCGTACCCTCTCTTCCAGCACCCAGGCCAGTATTGAGATCGATTCTCTCTATGAAGGAATCGACTTCTATACCTCCATTACCCGTGCCCGATTTGAAGAACTGAATGCTGACCTGTTCCGTGGCACCCTGGACCCAGTAGAGAAAGCCCTTCGAGATGCCAAACTAGACAAGTCACAGATTCATGATATTGTCCTGGTTGGTGGTTCTACTCGTATCCCCAAGATTCAGAAGCTTCTCCAAGACTTCTTCAATGGAAAAGAACTGAATAAGAGCATCAACCCTGATGAAGCTGTTGCTTATGGTGCAGGTAACAATGGTATCTCAATTAACCCTAAAGGCAGGCAGGCCCAAGGTGACTCGCTGTGATGAGTGATTGTTAAACATTCGTAGTTTCCACCAAAAGCTTGGCTAATGATGGCAACACCTTCCTTGGATGTCTGAGCGAGTGATAGTTAAAACAGGAGCTATGTACTGGGTTTTCTTTTAACTTCTTTTAACGTTAACTTTTTGTTTGCTAGCTGTCCAGGCAGCCATCTTGTCTGGAGACAAGTCTGAGAATGTTCAAGATTTGCTGCTCTTGGATGTCACTCCTCTTTCCCTTGGTATTGAAACTGCTGGTGGAGTCATGACTGTCCTCATCAAGCGTAATACCACCATTCCTACCAAGCAGACACAGACCTTCACTACCTATTCTGACAACCAGCCTGGTGTGCTTATTCAGGTATGTTTCTGTACTTCTCTTGTTTGGCTTACTGATAACAGATAAAGGGAAGTCTTGACTGACTCGCTATGATGATGGATTCCAAAACCATTCGTAGTTTCCACCAGAAAGTCTTATGTTGGCCAGTTCCTTCCTTGGATGTTTGAGCGACCATTCTTCCTTAGCAGGACCCTAGCACTGTCACAGACCTGGAGTCCATTGTAGTAATTTGTTTTATTTCCTACCAAGGTTTATGAAGGCGAGCGTGCCATGACAAAGGATAACAACCTGCTTGGCAAGTTTGAACTCACAGGCATACCTCCTGCACCCCGAGGTGTTCCTCAGATTGAAGTCACTTTTGACATTGATGCCAATGGTATACTCAATGTCTCTGCTGTGGACAAGAGTACGGGAAAAGAGAACAAGATTACTATCACTAATGACAAGGGTAAGGAGGCACTGTCATCTGGTCTTGACAGGGATAATGGTATTTCAATTGAGTTACTGGTGCCTAAGGGCGTCTAGCTAAGAGAAACTAGAGTTACACATACACAGGTAATTTAAGGCTTTTACTTAGAGTTAATTTCTTTCCTAGGCCGTTTGAGCAAGGAAGACATTGAACGTATGGTCCAGGAAGCTGAGAAGTACAAAGCTGAAGATGAGAAGCAGAGGGACAAGGTGTCATCCAAGAATTCACTTGAGTCCTATGCCTTCAACATGAAAGCAACTGTTGAAGATGAGAAACTTCAAGGCAAGATTAACGATGAGGACAAACAGAAGATTCTGGACAAGTGTAATGAAATTATCAACTGGCTTGATAAGAATCAGGTTTGTGTTTTTTTTTTTTTTTTTTCCTCCCCCACTCAATGGAGGGGAAGGGGATGGTAAACCAAGCTTGAGCTGGATTTCAGTGTAGGGTCACAATGATGAATGGTCCAAAACATTCGCGGTTTCCACCAGAATTCAAGGTGTTGGCAACTACCTTCCTTGGATGTCTGAGTGACCCAAGATGTTAAGGAAGAATAAGGCCCTATTTTAATGTTGGTAGTGGCCCTCTTGTAAGAGTTTGCGCCAGACTTTTAGTATCAGATTGCGTCAGGGAGAAAGAAGGGTTATTAACATTAAAAGAACTTGCAGTAATTCCTTTTTCTCTTCCTCAGACTGCTGAGAAGGAAGAATTTGAACATCAACAGAAAGAGCTGGAGAAAGTTTGCAACCCCATCATCACCAAGCTGTACCAGAGTGCAGGAGGCATGCCAGGAGGAATGCCTGGGGGATTTCCTGGTGGTGGAGCTCCTCCCTCTGGTGGTGCTTCCTCAGGGCCCACCATTGAAGAGGTTGATTAAGCCAACCAAGTGTAGATGTAGCATTGTTCCACACATTTAAAACATTTGAAGGACCTAAATTCGTAGCAAATTCTGTGGCAGTTTTAAAAAGTTAAGCTGCTATAGTAAGTTACTGGGCATTCTCAATACTTGAATATGGAACATATGCACAGGGGAAGGAAATAACATTGCACTTTATAAACACTGTATTGTAAGTGGAAAATGCAATGTCTTAAATAAAACTATTTAAAATTGGCACCATACAATTGCTTTGAGTCTTTAAATAATCTCCCAGGCCAGCTGGTGGGAGAAGTAGGCTTAGGTGATTATGTGACTCTTACTTTCTCCTTCCTCTTAAGCTTGAGTTAACAAGGGCTGGGTGGCAAGTTGCCCTTCAGAGCATTGTGGATGGTACATTTTGGAATTCAGAGCTTTGAGAAGGGGAGCATAAGAAATTGGATCTGGATCAAACTAACCTTAGTCCTTAGGCTGGAGAGGCAGAAAGCTGACTTAATGGTGTTTTCTAAACTTATTCTGTGTGTAAGCCTGCCTAGGAGCAGAGGCTTTCCTGGAGGGTTGTGCTAGATGAGTAAGAATTTAGAGATCAGAATCAAATAATGGGCAGTGAATATTAAGCTACATGGCAGAGGTATCTGAATGTCAATCCCTTATATGAGCCACTGCCCTGTGGGCTTCCATTTCTTCCTGAGTTAAGATTATTCAGAAGGTCGGGGATGGAGCTAAGCTGCCACCTGGTTAATTAAGGTCCCAACAGTGAGTTGTGATAGCCTAGGGGAGCAGGCTGTTACCTGTCATTACGTACGTGACAGATTTCAGTGGACTAGCTAATCTTAGCATATGCCAAAAAGCTAATTCATGGAGGAGCTGCAGTTTTTCTCTTTGGTACTGAAGGGCTACTAATGTCTGGGTATCTCAGTGGGAATTTGTAGCACGATTTGATATACTTCTCATTCCATATTTTCTCCAAGGTTACAAAAAATGACAAGTAGTACACACTTCTTTTTTTGAAGGGTTTTACTCTTGTTGCCCAGGCTGTAGTGCAATAGCACGATCTCATTGCAATGGTGCAAACCCTGTCTCCTGGGTTCAAGGGATTCTCCTGCCTCAGCCTCCCAAGTAGCTGGGATTACAGCCATGCGCCACCATTCCTGGCTAATTTGTATTTTTTAGTAGAGATGAGGTTTCTCCATGTTGGTCAGGCTGATCTCCCTACCTCAGGTGGTGCACCCGCCTCGGCCTCCCAAAATGCTGGGATTACAGGTGTGAGTCACTGCACCTGACAGCAATGCACGTTTTTGGCATGTTTCTTTTGTTTGGGTGAGAATCTTACCTGGGCTTCAGTTTTCCATAGGGGTGTGTTATCACTTGTGCAGGCTGGACTGGAACTCCTGGGTCCAAGTGGTCACCCAGCCTTAGTTCCAAGTAGCTGGCTCTACAGGTGTATGTCACTGCACATGGCCATACCATGTATTTGAGATGCTACAAACTTTTTTGATGCCTTGACTCAACGAGACTAAAGGGTAAATATACTTTGATCTCGTTTCATGTGGAATCTTAAAAATATGTGGAAGGTTTTCAGTGGTAGCTGTTACTGTAAATTTTTGAACTTCAGGTTAATGTTAGCTTAATGTTCATTAGCAAAACACAAAATTAGAGGAGTAAATATGGCAATGTTTCCCCTATACAGATAATAACTTGTTGGACATGTGTAATGTATAGCAAGGAATTGGGGCCTGGGAAGGTGGGAATTAATATTTGCTAGGTTTTCTCAGTTATTCGTATTATACTTTCATCTATTTATAAACCAGAATGTGTTTATAGATGATACTGAGGCTCAGGTGGACACTTAATGTCATCACATAGTCTAATCTGGGGAAATGGATTTTTTTTTTTTTTTGAGAGCCTCCAGCCTCCCTTACCTAGGCTGGAGTGCAGTGGTGCGATCTCACTGCAGACATTGCCTCCCACTTTTGCATCCTCCCACCTTTGCATTCTCCCACCTGACTAGCTGGGACACCATGCCCAGCTAATTTTCATATTTTCTATAGAGCGGGAGTTTTGCCATGTTGCCAGGCTGGTCTTGAATTTTTGACCTCAAAATGGTTTGCCCCACCTTGACCTCCCAAAGTGCCGAGATTACAGGTGTGAGCCACTGTGCCTGGCCTATTGTTTGTAATTAGGGTTCTGCTGTGGGCTAGTAGTTTAAAAAACCAGTAAAGATGTTTAAACCCTATAAATGTCTAATTAGCTGTTAGGTAAGGCTTAGAGAAAGAGAAGGTAACCATAGGGACAGCAGTGTCTACCACTTCCCATTGAATTTCGAGTTAATGGCAATTGCTTCTCCCCTTATTTGATTCTCCAAATAACCTTACAATGGAGGGATGTTTGGATGCTCTGGCTGTGCATGCACAAATCTACACGGTGGCAAAATTTGCTTTTGCAAGTTACTGTAAGGAGGTTTGAGTTTATAAGAGGAAACTCCATGACCTAGATGGTTCTGTCCCTGCTGCACAGGGCGCTACTGGATTGGGAAGACAGGCCAAAAAACTTAATCTCTAGGTCCAGTTTAGGAGTTACATGCAGGTTTCTGGTGAACTTGGCAATATGGTTATATTCTAAAATGTATTTTTATTACTATAGCTCTCTCAGTTTCTACTTGACCTTATTAGACATTTTTCTTTTTTTTTTTTTTTTTTGGAGATGGGAGTCTTGCTCTGTTTCCCAGGCTGGAGTGCAGTGGTGTGATCTCAGCTTGCTGCAGCCTCCACCTCCCGGGCTCAAGCAATTCTGCCTAAGTCTCCTGAGTAGCTGGGACTACAGGTGCACGCTGCCACACCCAGCTAATGTTTTGTGTTTTAGTAGAGATGGGGTTTCATCGTGTACCGAGGCTCAGTATCCTGAGCTCAGGCAATCTGCCCGCCTCCCAAAGTGCTGGGATTACAAGCATGAGCCACCACGCCTGGCCCTTAATAGACTTAAACTTCTAAGGCAATAGTATAAAGCCACAATAATAAAATTATCCAACAATATTACTACAATATTTGTTACATATAAAATTAAAAAATGACAATGCCCGTGAAAAATCCTTTGTCCAAACTATATTGAGTACTTACAATGTTCCAGGCTTTAGGCTTTCAAAGGAAAAGTGGTCTTTTGGATTCCATTAAGGTGGGATGAAGTGGTTGCAGGACATAAATAGAAACGCTGAGAGTTTCCGTATCTGTGGGTCTACGTACTGATGTAGTCATCTTTGTCCACTAGATGGCAGTAGCTATTTATAAAACTATCAGAGTACCCCGGGGGAAGCTGCTGTAGCATTGTCTGTGCTGTTTGTTGTGCTTTCTAGCTGGAAGCACAGCAAATAATGAAGAAGGAAAAGGAAGTCAGCTCTAAATATCCACAATTACCTTCCAGGCAAAGCATTCTTTTTCTCCTTTTTTTTTTTTTTTTTTTGAGATGGAATTTCGCTCTTGTTGCCCAGGCTGGAGTGCGATGATGAGATCTCAGCTCACTGCAACCTCCACCTCCCGGGCTCAAGCAATTCTCCTGCCTCAGCTTCCCGAGTAGCTGGGATTACAGCCATGCGCCACCATGCCCGGCTAATTTTGTGGTTTTGGTAGAGACAGGGTTTCTCCATGTTGGTCAGGCTGGTCTCGAGCTCCCGAGCTCGGGTGATCCACCCGCTTCAGCCTCCCAAAGTGCTGGGATTACAGGTGTGAGCCACTGCGCCCGGCCCAGCATTCTCAACTGAGCAAGTGCCCTGCTTAGGTGGGAGTAATGGCTTGAGTTGAGATCTCAGGATACTTGGGCAATGGGTATGGAGGGATGGGTAATACAGACAGGTTTAGAATACAGAGGGTGAGGTGAAGAAAAAGCTCAGAGAATATAGCCTTTCCGGAGCCACACTGGCTAGTTTAAGTCCCCATATTATTTCCCTCATCCCCCTGAACTGCTTCTGGGTTTCTCAACACACTTTGGTGAAATGCTTAAATTCCTCAGGAAGCTCACCCAAGAATGGAGAAGCACCTGTGTGCACACCTGTGTTCCCAGTGTCTGGCACATAAGCAACATATATTTGTCAAGTGAATGAATAAAAAGGGGTGGGTGGAGCAGGTACCCAAGAGGGTAGAATGTGCTCCCTTTGTGCTTTATAATAGTCTGCTCATGATCATCTCTCTTGGAAGAGTGGGAGGGTGGTTGCTGGATGAGCTCAGACTCACTCTCTGTTCCTTGCAGGGTGGGGAGCCAACATTAGAGTTGCATGTGATGAGAAGAAAGTGATCAAACCTGGAGCAGATTTGGGTAAAGGAAAGTTGGCAATAACAGAATTGCCAAGATCTTGACCGGAATAAAGGTCTTTACATTGCCCCTGAGATCTGGGCACTATGTGGAGTCAGTGGGATGAACAGAGACAGTGTAGCTAGTCTGCAGTATAAGACTGTCAGGGCCTGCCTGGAGCAATGGGGCCTGTCCTAGAACACTGGGCCACAGCACAGAACATTCAGAGCATGCAGCCAGCTCAATTTTTTATTTATTTTATTTTATTATTATTATTATTTAGACAGGGTCTTGCTCTGTCACTCAAGCTGGGATGCAGTTTCATGATCACAGCTCACTGCAGCCTCCGCCTCCTGGGCTCAAGTGATCCTCTTACTGAGTAACTGGAACCACAAGCGCATGCCACCACGGCCAGCTAATTTTGTACTTTTTTGTGTAGAGATGGGGTTTTGCCATGTTGCCAAGATAAAGACACCATCAAGAAAGTGAAAGGCAAACCCATAAAACTAGATAAAATATAAATCATATATCTGATAAGGGACTGTTATCCCGAATATATGAAAAACACTCATAACTCAAAAAGACAACCCATTTTTTAAAATGGGCAAAATGTCTGAATAGACACTTCTTCAATGAAGATAAACAAATAGCTAATAAGCACATGAAAAGATGCTCAACATTAGCCACCAGTGAAATGCAAGTTATCACAGAGATAGAATTTCTCGTACATTAGGAATTTCTCGTATAATCAAGCTGGCAAGGATGTAGAGAACTTAGGACCCTCATACACTGTTGGTGGTATAGCCATTTTGGAAAACACTGATGGGGCTGGGCGCTGTGGCTCACACCTGTAATCCCAGCACTTTGAGAGGCCGAGGAGGAGGGCGGATCACCTGCGGTCGGGAGTTCAAGACCAGCCTGGGCAACGTGGTGAAACCCCATCTCTACTAAAAATACAAAAATTAGCCGGATATGGTGGTGTGTGCCTGTAATCCCAGCTACTCCGGAGGCTGAAGCAAAAGAATCGCTTGAACCCGGGAAGCAGAGGTTGCAGTGAGCTGAGATCACACCACTGCACTCCAGCCTGGGCAACAGAGTGAGACTTTGTCTCAAATAAAAAAAAAAAAAGGAATTGAGTACTGATATGTGGTACAACATAGATTAGCCTTAAAAACATTATGGTAAGTGAAAGAACCCAGTCATAAAAAAACACATATGATTCTATTGATATGAAATGTGCAGAATAGGAAATCTTTTAAGACAAAAAAGATTGATGGTTGCATAGGCTGAGGGGAAAAACGGGGAGAAATACAGAGTGATAAAGGGTATGGGATATTTGTTTTGGGGTGATCAGATTGTTCTAAATTAATTGTGATGATTGCACAATTCTGTAAACTAAAAATATTGAATTACACACTTTAGATGGGTGAATTGTATGATCTCAATAAATACATATATTAACTGAAAAAGAAAGAGGCGTAGGGCTGGTTTCCCCTGCAAGGAGAAAAGAGAAAGCGAGACAGAGACAGAGACAAAGGCCTACCATTGTAATTGGGAACATGGATGAGGAAGAACAATATTGCTCAGCTGAAGGCTGAGGTGGGTGGATTGCTTGAGGCCAGGAATTCAAGAGCAGCCTGGGCAACATGGCAAAATCTCATCTCTACTAAAACACAAAAATTAGCTGGGCATGGTGGCGTATGCCTGTGGTCCTAGCTGCTTGGGAGGCTGAGATGGGAGGATGGCTTGAACCTGGGAGGCAGAGGTTGCAGTGAGCTGAGATGGTGCCACTGCACTCCATCCTGGGCGATGGAGTGAGACTCTGTCCGCCCCCCCACTCCACAAAAAAGAAGGAAAAAGAAAAAAAAAATAAGATTCTTACTCTCAAAGAATGGAATAATCATGGCTGTGCTGGGTTTACTGGGCTTTTTTTTTTTTGGTAGTTTTATACTTTTATTTTATAATCAACAGTTAGCGCTCATCCATGTTGACGGTCTATACATTTTTGAAAGTGGTAACAGGTACATAGGTACAGCGCTGTTTTTGGTGAATCTTCATCCTCATGTTTTCTGTGCACATGGATATGGATATAGTATGGGACATTCCTTATTCCTTTGGCCCAGACAGTTTTGTTAAGCCTGATATCAATGTGTACATCTGGAGTCCGCATCTCCATGGCCAATTTCCGGATCTCTCTGAGTGCCCAAGGGGCACCCTTTTTGAAGCCCACTTCACGGGTACGCATGTAAATGTTGATGGTGGAGTCTCAGATGATCACCTCCGCTGATGGCAGAATGGTCCTTCTCACCGCCCTTCTCTGCAAGAGCCATTCTGCTGGGTCCAGACCTTTTCGTTTTTGTTTTTGTTTTTGTTTTTTTGAGACAGAGTTTCACTCTGTTGCCGAGGCTGGAATGCAGTGGCGCCATCTCGGCTCACTGCAACCTCCACTGCCCGAGTTCAAAGGATTGTCGGCTTCAGCTTCAGGAGTAGCTGGGATTACAGGCATGCGCCACCATGCCTGGCTAAATTTTTTGTATTTTTAGTAGCGACAGGGTTTCACCATGTTGGCCAGGCTGGTCTCGAACTCCTGGCCTCAAGCGGTCCACCCATCTTGGCCTCCCACAGTGCTGGGATTACAGGCGTGAGCCACTGTGCTGGCCTGTTTTTTATTTTTTTAAAAATTTCTACACTTTCATTTGAGACATTGTGGTCACTCAAACCAAGTGGATACAGGTCCCCTTAGGAGCTGGGAAAAGATTAGATTGTACTGAAAAGAAGGTGGGTTGTGGCCTTATGGGCGCGGTGGCTCACGCCTGTAATCTCAGCACTGTGGGAAACTGAGGCAGGCAGATCACCTGAGGTCAGGAGTTCAAGACCAGCCTGGCCAACATGGTGAAACCCCAACTCTACTAAAAATACAAAAATTAGCCAGGTGTGGCGGCACATGCCTGTAATCCCAGCTACTCAGGAGGCTGAGGCAGGAGAATCATTGGAACGAGGGAGGCGGAGGTTCCAGTGAGCCAAGATTGCGCCACTGCACTCCAGCCTGGGCGACAGAGCGAGACTCCATGTCAAAAAGAGAAAGAAAGAAAGGAAAGAAGGAACAACGGTCTTGCCAAGAAGGGCTTCGGTCACGTGCAGTCTATTCACTGCAAGAACTGTGCCCGATGCGTGCCCAAGGATAAGGCCATTGAGAAATTCATCATTTGGCCAGGCGCGGTGGCTCACACCTGTAATCCCAGCACTTTGGGAGGCCAAGGTGGGCAGATCACGAGGTCAAGAGATTGAGACCATCCTGGCCAACATGGTGAAAGCCCGTCCCTACTAAAAATACAAAAATTAGCTGGGCATGGTGGCAAGCGCCTGTAGTCCCAGCTATTCGGGAAGCTGAGGCAGGAGAATCGCTTGAACTAGGGAGGCAGAGGTTGCAGTGAGGCAAGATCGTGCCACTGCACTCAGCCCTGGTGACAGAGTGAGACTCTGTCTCAAAAAAAATAAAAAAAATTTGTCATTTGAAACATAGTGGAGGCTGCAGCAATCAGGGACATTTCTGAAGCAAGCGTCTTCGATACCTATGTGCTTCCCAAGCTGAATGTGAAGCTACATTACTGTGTGAGTTGTGCAATTCACAGCAAAGTAGTCAGGAATTAATCTCATGACACCAGCAAGGTCCATTTATACCCGTGGGTGCTGCCCCATGACCCCCACCAAAGCCCATGTAAGGAGCTGAGTCCTTAAAGACTGAAGACGAGCCGGGCACTGTGGCTCACGCCTGTAATCCCAGTACTTTGAGAGGCTGAAGCAGGTGGATCACGAGGTCAGGAGATTGAGACCATCCTGGCTAACACGGTGAAACCCTGTCTCTACTAAAAAAATACAAAAAAAAAAAAAAAAAAAAATCAGCCGGGCATGGTGGCAGGCGCCTGTAATCCCAGCTACTCAGGAGGCTGAGGCAGGAGAATGGCGTGAACCCGGGAGGCGGAGCTTGCAGTGAGCCGAGATCGTGCCACTGTACTCCAGCCTGGACAACAGAGCAAGACTCCGTCTCAAAAAAAAAAAAAAAAAGACTGAAGATGGATTATTCTCTGGAGAAAAATAAAATAGAAATTGTACATAAAAAAAATTAAAATTGTCTGGGCACGGTGGCTCACGCCTGTAATCCCAGCACTTTGGGAGGCTGAGGCAACTCCCAACCTCACCTGAGGTCGGGAATTCAAGACCAGCCTGACCAACATGGAGAAACCCCGTGTCTACTAAAAATACAAAATTAGCCGGGTGTGGTGGTGCATGCCTGTAATCCCAGCTTCTTGGGAGGCTGAGGCAGGAGAATCGCTTGAACCTGGGAGGCGGAGGTCGGTGAGCGGAGATGGCACCACTGCACTCCAGCCTGGGCAACAAGAGTGAAACTGTCTAAAAAAAAAAAAGTAAAAAAGAAATGGGGGTTATAATACTCAACCATTATTTTGTTATGAGGATGAAATTAGCCAGTCTTTGCCAGACTCTCAGAGATGCTCAATAAATGGGGGCTATTATCACTATTAGATTGTAATAATTAGTATTGTTTCCTAAGGTTGCTGTAGCAAAGTTCCAACAACTGTGTAGCTTAAAACAACAGAAATCTACTGGCGGCTAGAGGCCTGACATCAAGGTGTCAGTAGGGCCATGCTTCCTTTAAAGGAGGGAACTGTCCAATGCCTCTCTATGAGCTTCTAGTAGCTTCAGGTGTTTCTTGCATCACTCCAGTCACATGGCTGTCTTCTTTCTGTGTGTCTTCACATCATCTCTCTGTACCTGTCTGTCTCTGTGTCCAGATTCCCACCACTCCCCTCCCCTCTTTTTTTGAGACAGGGTCTCACTCTGTTGCCCAGGCTGGAGTGCAGTGGCACAGTCTCGGCTGACTGCAACCTCTGCTTCCCAGGCTCAAGCAATTCTCCAGTCTCAGCCCCCTAAGTAGCTGGGACTATAGACGTGAGACACCTCACTTGGCTAATTTAAAACATTTTTTTTTTGTAGACACTGGGTTTCTTCATATTGCTCAGGCTGGTCTCAAACTCCTGAGCTCAAAGCGATCTGCCTGCCTCGGCCTCCCAAAGTGCTGGGATTACAGGCATGAGCCACCATGCCCAGCCCAAATTTCCCCTTTCTATAGGAACACATGTCCTACTGCACCTCATTATAACTTGATTACCTCTGTAAGAGACCCCCATTTCCAAATAAGGAAGGTCACATTCTGAGGTTCTGGGGATTAGGACTTCAACATATTTGGGTGGACCGCAGGGAGAAAGGACACAATTTGACCCACAGCAGTTATATTCCCTGTTATCACTGAAGAGAAATTCCCTTCCCAGCTTTTGCACAAAAATAGAAAGTACGTAAGCCCTAGACAAGATCCAAATACCTGTCCTTTAGTGGGACCAACAAAAAGGCCTTTTAATTGCCATCTCTTTCCCTGAAGCTGCTCCCACAGCAGGCCACCAGCTATAGGTCCTGCTCCCCGACATCCTTCCTCGTCCCTCCAGCGTCCCTCCGGATTCCCAAACAATGCCTAATTCTATTATTTCCAGTGATTTCCCCGTGGGCAGCAGTTTATTCCTGTCATCAAGTCTCTGATGAAATCTTTAGCTATGAAATGTTTAGTCCAATCCCAACAAATCGTGTATAGTGTTAACATGTCACAAGCTGCCCGCGGCCTGCATTATGTTGTAATTTGGAAGCGAGAGAAGTGATAATCTAGGGTCGGGCTTCTTTTGTGAGCTTGCATTAATGCTGTAGCCAGTGATGTCAATTGACAGCCCATCGATTTGGGCTAATAGTGCACAGAGGGGGCAGAATTGGGGCGAGATAGGGAATAAAGGATATCGACGGCCAGTCGCCAGGATCCTGGCAGCTTTTAATCTATTATTGCCCTCTTTTAATGCAACTTCCGTGTCAACTGCATTTACTTCCACCAGCTCTGCCTGCTGCGCTGAACTGTGCAGCCAGTGGGGTGCCACCCCCAGAGTGGTTCAAAGTTCCCCAGTATTGATTCTCAGATGCTCTGGGGTGTGAATTATAATTATTTCATTAAGCCCTTTAATGGGTATCAACTATGAACCTTCCCCAGCTTAGGCTGGGGAGGCCAGGGCGAGGTCTGCATCATTAATCTGTGTTCATCTCGTTGCCACCAATTGTCCTACTCTCGACCCTTATTTTTTTTTCTCCTATTATCAGGTCTGTGGTTTTAGTGGGAAGCAGGTCAGTCTACTCCCAGAGAGGAACTGGAAAGAGGAGTTGGCTGATTTGGGGAGATTGGAGGGGAGGCCATGGTTGAGCAGATTGCAGTGTTGGCTACTCCCACTAAGGAACTACTAATCACACCATCAGATGTGCTTTGCCCAGCTCTGGTTTGCCTGTGCAGGGAGGTGACGCAGGAGACCTTGGGACAAAGTGAGAGATCTTGCAGCTGCTTCCTTGTGAGGCTTTGAGTCCTGACATAGCTCAGGAATATTCCATCCTCTTGCTTAAATCATCCATCACCTTTACTAGGGCGCTATGGATACAAAGGAGTACAAAATACTCCCTTGTGCCCCCAAGGAGCTTACACTTTAGAAAGAGGAAAAGGGATGAACACGTAAATACGCAGCAATGAGACAGACACCAGTGAGCATTGAGAAAGGGCAGAGGACAGGGAGTTATGAAATCCAGTGGAAGAAGCTCTTGACCCAGGATTGAGGATGGAGGGAGGCTTTCTGGAGGAGCAAATGCCTAAGCTGAGCCTAAAGAATGAGCAGGAGATGGCCAGATGAGAGAGAAGAAGAGCAGCCCAGTCAGTGGGAACAGCATGTTCCAAAGGCACGGAAGCAAAGGCCAGATGGCAGAATCTCATCCAGTCAAGTAAGGCTCAGACTTTATATGAGGTGGGGAAAAGTTCCAGCCCTCACTCAGGTTTCTTGCCTTCTCATGCACCTCCCACTGTGGCTAAATCTCACCTGGAGCCTTAAGAAAGCTAAAAAAGAGTCTCAGATGCATTTCCCACCATTTTACCAGGTCCCTTCTTGTTTGGACCAAAATTTCATTTAGGCCAAGAGTGATTTTTATTTCAGGCTCTTCACTTCTTTGGTTCCCAGGGTGGTTTAAAAATATGTCTGCCTTTTTTTTTTCTTTTTTTTTGAGATGGAGTCTTGCTCTGTTGCCCAGGCTAGAGTGCAATGGTGCAATCTCAGCTCACTACAACCTCCGCCTCCTGGGTTCAAGCAATTCTCCTGCCTCAGCCTTCCAACTAGCTGGGACTATAGGCATGCATCACCATGCCTAGCTAATTTTTGTATTTTTAGTAAAGACAGGTTTTGCCAGGCTGGTCTTGAACTCCTGACCTCAGGTGATCCACCAGCGTTGGACTCCCAAAGTGCTGGGGTTATAGGCGTGAGCCACTGCACCTGGCCTTTTTTTTTGAGACGTAGTCTCACTGTGTCACTCAGGCTGGAGTGCAGTGGCATGTTGGCTCACTGCAACCTCCACCTCCCAGGTTCAAGCTATTCTCTTGCCTCAGCCTCCCAAGCAGCTGGAACTACAGGCACCTGCCACCACACTCAGCTACTTTTTTTTTTTTTTTTTTGAGACGGAGTCTCGCTCTGTCGCCCAGTCTGGAGTGCAGTGGCGCGATCTTGGCTCACTACAAACTCCACCTCCCGGGTTCATGCCATTCTCCTGCCTCGGCCTCCCGAGCAGCTGGGACTACAGGCACCCGCCACCATACCCGGCTAATTTTTTGTGTTTTTTTTAGTAGAGACGGGGTTTCACCATGTTAGCCAGGATGGTCTCGATCTCCTGACCTTGTGATCCACCCACCTCGGCCTCCCAAAGTGCTGGGATTACAGACGTGAGCCACCGTGCTTTTTTTTTTTTTTTTTTTTTTAATGTACAGAGTCTAATTCCTCTGCCTTTGAATATGGGCTGTCCTCAGGCACTGACTTCTAATGGATAGAATGAGGAGAAAGTGACGCTGGTTAACTTCCAAGTCTAGATTATTAAAGCCATGTTATTTCCACCTGGCTCTCTGGATGTTCATTGTTCCTACAGCTGCCTTGTAGGATGTCTGGTCCCCTTGAGGTCCATATTTGGAAAGGTTACATAGAGAGAGAGGAGGGGCCTCAGCTCTTCCAGCCCCCAGCTGTTTGAGTGGGTCCTGGCTTGGGTGCCAGACATGTGAGTGAGGATGCCTTGGAGATGACTCCAGTCCCAGCCACCAGCTGACTGCATCTTCATGGCAGAACCCAAGTGAGAACTGTTCAGCTGAGCCCAGTCAGCCCCCAGGTTCATGAGCAAAATAAATGTTATTGAGTTTTGTTTGTTTGAGACAGAGTCTCCCTCTGTCACCCGGGCTGGAGTACAGTGGTGATCATAGCTCACTGCAGCCTCAAACTCCTGGGCTCAAGCAATCCTCTGGCCTCAGCCTCGCAAGTAGTTGGGGCTATAGGCATGCACCACCACTCCCGGCTATTTATTTGTTAGTTTGTATTTGGTAGAGATCGGGTCTTGCTATATTGCCCAGGCTGGTCTTGAACTCCTGGCCTTAAGCAATCCTCCCACCTTCACCTCCTAAGTGCTAAGTGCTAGGATTACAGGCATGAGCCACTGTGCCTGGCCATGTTATTGTTTTTAAGCCACTATTTTAGGATAGTTTGTTACACAATAATAAATAACTAGAACAGTTAGATTTGGTAATATTTGTGTTTAAGCTTGATTATTAAGCTTTATAGTAAGTCTTAAAGTCAGGTAATGAATTCTCCAACTTTGGTGTGTTTTTTGTTGTTGTTGTTTGAGATGGAGTCTTGCTCTGTCACCCGGGCTGGAGTGCAGTGGCACAAATCTTGGCTCACTGCAACCTCTGCTTCCTGGGTTCAAGTGATTCTCCTGCCTCAGCCTCCCGAGTAGCTGGGATTACAGGCACCTCCCACCATGCCCAGCTAATTTTTGTATTTTTAGTATAGACAGGGTTTCACCATGTTGGCCAGGCCAGTTTTGAACTGCTGACATCAAATAATATGCCTGCCTTGGCCTCCCAAACTGCTGGAATTACAGGCATGAGCTGCTGTGCCCAGCTGTTTTGCTTTTTCAAGACTGCTTTTGTTCTTCTAGATCTTTGCTTTTTCACATAATTCTTAAAAATCAACTCAATTTCCACAAAAATAACCGATTTGACTTATTCTTAGGATTTTAATGACTCTATTCGATCAAATTGAGTTTACCTCTTAACAAAATTGAGTCTGAATCCACAAAAATGGCATATCTCTCCTTTTATTTAGGCCTTTTAAAATTTCTGTCAGCAGTGTTTTGTAGTTTAAAATGAAGAAATCATATCTTTATTTATTTTATTTTATTTTATTTTATTTTATTTTATTTTTTTGAGACACGGTCTCACTCTGTCACCCAGGCTGGAGTGCGGTTGTGTGATCTCAGCTCACTGCAACCTCTACCTCCTAGGCTCCAAGTGATCTTCCCACCTCAGCCTTCTGAATAGCTGGGACTATAGGTGTGTACCACCACACCTGGCTGAATTTTTTTTTTTTTTTTTTTGGTATTTTTTTGTAGAGACAGGTATGTTGCCCAGGCTGGTCTTGAACTCCTGAGCTCAAGCAATCCACCTGCCTCGGCCTCCCAAATTGCTGGGATTACAGGCGTGAGCCACTGTGCCCGACCCTCTTTTCTTTTTTTTAGAGACAAGAGCTCACTCTGTCATCCAGGCAGAAGGACGGTGGTGTCATTGATCATAGCTCACTGTAGCCTCAAATTCCTAGACTCAAGCAATCTTCTTGCCTCAGCCTCCCAAGTAGTTGGGACTACAGGTGTGTGCCACTACACTTGGCTAAGTTTTTAATTAATGTTTTTTGTAGAGACATGGTCTCACTATGTTGTCTAGGCTGGTCACCTCAAACTTCTGGCCTTAAGCAATCCTCCCACCTTGGCCTCCAAAAGTGTTGGGGTTATAGATGTGAGCCATCGTGCCTGGCCATCATATTATATTTATTCACCATATAAGTTAAAAAGCTCTCTAGGGTCTACACAGCACCTGACACATAGTGAATACTCAATACATATTTAAAGAAAGACAGTATATAATTACTGTTAGTAGTATTAATAAAAAATAGCAGCAGCAACTAATTTATAGACAACTTAAAAAAATTTTTAAGAGTAAAAAAATTTAACTGTGGTAGAACACACATAACATATAATTTACCATCTTAATCATTGGTAAGTGTACAGTTCAGTAGTGTTAAGTATATTTACATCATTGTGCAACTCATCTCCAGAACTTTTTCATCTTGCAGAATGAACCCATTCAACAGATTATCAGTTTCCCCACCCCCAAGTCCCTGGCAATTACTGTGATACTTTTTGTTTCTATGAATTTGACTATTTTAAATACCTTATATAATATACAGAACCTTTTTATGAAAAACTGACTTTATATTTTGTGGTTTTTTTTTTTTTTTTTTTTTGAGACAGAATCTTGCTCTGTCACCCAGGCTAGAGTGCAATGGCATGATCTTAGCTCACTGCAACCTCTTCCTCCCGGGTTCAAGTGATTCTCCTGCCTCAGCCTCCCAAGTAGCTGGGACTACAGGTGCGCACCATCATGCCCAGCTAATTTTTGTATTTTTAGTAGAGACAGGATTTCACCATGTTGGCCAGGCTGATCTCGAACTCCTGACATCAGGTAATCCACCTGCCTCGGCCTCCCGAAGTGTTGGGATTACAGGTGTGAGCCACCACGCCTGGCTTGATTTTACATTTCTAATCTTATTTGATTGCAACAATAATGTCACAAGGAGGCAAGGACAGAACCTCTTAGACAGAAACCTGGAATATTTACATTTTTTTAGGCTCTTAGGATATTAAGAAATGTCAAACCAAGATTATAAAAATTGTGATATATTTAAAACTTTATATTTAATGAGTGAATGCTTTTATTTTATTTACTTATTTATTTTTCTTTCTTTTTTTCTCACATTTCTCTGAAGAGTGAATGCTTTTTAAAATGCAATGCTGGGCTGGGCGTGGTGGCTCACACCTGTAATCCCAGCACTTTGGGAGGCCGAGGCGGGCAGATCACGAGGTCAGGCGATCGAGACCATCCTGGCTAACACGGTAAAACCCTGTCTCTACTAAAAATACAAAAAATTAGCCGGGCGTGGTGGTGGGCGCCTGTGGTCCCAGCTACTCGAGAGGCTGAGGCAGGACAGTGGCGTGAACCGGGGGGAGGCCAAGATCTGGCCACTGCACTCCAGTCTGGGTGACAGAGCGAGACTCCATCTCAAAAAAAAAAAAATGCAATGCTGGCCAGGTATGGTGGTCCATGCCTGTAATCTCAGCAATTTAGGAGGAAGAGGCAGGAGGATCACTTGAAGTCAGGAGTTTGAGACCAGCCTGGGCAGAAAACCAGATCCCATCTCTACAAAAAAATTTTTAAAAAGTAAACAAAAACGCAATGCTGGCCAAGTATGGTGTCTCCTGCCTGTAATCCCAGCATTTTGAGAGGCCCAGGCAGGAGGATCACTTGAGCCCAGGAGTTCAACATAGTGGGAGCCCATCTCTACAAAAAGTTTAAAAAATTAGCCAAATGTGGTGGCATGTGCCTGTAGTCCCAGCTACTCGGGAGGCTGAGGTGAAAGGATGGCTTGAGCCCAGGAGGTCAAGGCCACAGTGAGCTGTGATTGTACCACTGCACTCCAGCCTGGATGACAGAGTGAGACGCTGTCTTAAAACAAACAAACAAACTACCTAAAAAATGCAATGCTAAATACTCGTCCTAGACAAAAATGTATTTTAAAAATCCCATTAGTGTGTGCTGCAGAAGGGGTGGCCCAAAAATGACTCATACATTTCCAACGAGGAACATCTCCTATTTTTTTTTTTAATTGAGATGGGGTTTTGACATGTGGCTTAGGTTGGTCTGGAACTCTTGGGCCCAAGCAAGCCACTGGTCTCAGCCTCCCAAAGTGCTTGGATTATAGGCATGAGCCACTGCTCCTGGGTGATCATTTCCTTTTAGTCTTATCAGTATTTCTCTTTGGCTGAGTGTGTGTGTGTGTGTGTGTGCGTGTGTGTGTGTGTGTGCGTGTGTGTGTGTGTGTGTGTGTGTGAGAGAGACAGTCTCACCTTATCGCCCAGGCTAGAGTGCAATGGCACAATCTCGGCTCACTGCAAGTCCACCTCCCGGGTTCAAGCGATTCGTGTGCCTCAGCCTCCTGAGTAACTGGGATTACAAGCGCGTGCCACCACACCCGGCTAATTTTTTGTATTTTTAGTAGAGACAATTTCACCATGTTTGGCCAGGCTGATCTTGAACTTCTGACCAGCCTCCCAAACATGGGAGGATTTTGGGAACTTTGACCTCCCAAAGTACTGGGATTACAGGTGTGAGCCACCGTGCTTGGCCTGAATGTGTATTTATTTTAAGATAATGTCAAAATCTAAACTTAAGGCCCCAAATTAATGTGAGGTTCAGGTGAAATGACCAGTTCTCTCTTTCCACCAGCACTTGCCATTGTGAAAAGCCATGGTGCAAATGTCATTCCCATTTTTACAAACGAAGAAGGCGTCTCAGCAAAGGTATTGTTTCTGCCTGAAGGCTGCAGAGCAAATGTGGTAGTGGAACTTGATCGGGAGGCGGAGGTTGCAGTGAGCCGAGATCGCACCATTGCACTCCAGGCTGGGCGACAGAGTGAGACTCCTTCTCAAAAATAAATAAATATAAAAATAATAAATAAATAAATAATAGACAACTTAAAATTTATAAATAAATAAATAAAAGACTGGAACTTGGGTTTTGGCTGTAAGCCTAAACACTCGAGACACCAAGCCTAACTGAGGGGGCTATTCATTTTGGACAGTGAGTGCCGAATATACCTCTGGGATCTGCCAAGGAAAGTGGGCTGCCACGGAGGTAGTGAGATACCAGGCTCCAGGAGCCACCAACAAGAGGTCTGACTAAAATGATTTGGGCTTGCTGCAGAGGATATTCAAGAATGGGGTGTCAGGGTGCGAGGAGGAGGGAGCTGCGTTAGATTACTTCCAGCTTCCTTTCAGACACCCCCCAGCATAGGGGCCAAGCCCAAACCGACAGCACAGCTCCACTCTCCGGGGGAGGCGGGCTGGGCTGTGCATTCATTTCCCCACCTTTTCATTCGTGGCAGCCTGCCACCGGTTGTTGGGCATCCATAGCTTAATTTGAACAAGTGGGCTCTGGTTTCCTGAGGCGAACTGTCCGGGCGCCTCAGCCATCCATCAGTATTCTCTTCAGTCCCCTGGCAGCTGCTCACTCCGGGCTGGCTCAACCTGCACTGACCTCATCTTCCCACACAGAGCAGAGGAGGATTTGGAAAAAATTAGTTATATTAGTGACTCCCCGAAACACTCCGTTTACTTGTGATATGACAAATATTTCAGCCATTAGGATCTCTCCGTCTCTTATCATCTTAAATGCACTCACTTACATTCCAAATCACTACTTAATTTAAAAGCCTATTTGTTGAGATTGTGACAGGCCCAGGGAAAAGGAGAGACAGACACTCACTCAGCTCTGGCTGGAATAGAATCAGATTTGGAACTTTGATTGAATCTTTCTCCCCAGGACTTATGCTCAGTCAGGTATCATCTAAACACTTAGGGCACGAGAGACTTCCAGGGCACCCACACTGTGGAGATTTATAAGGTCTGCTTCGAAGTAGCCATGTGGCATGGTGACCTTGGGCAAATGACTTCATTCCTGGGTGTCCTTATGCTTTCTGACCCCCGGATACGGTGACGCATTTGGTGAATTTCTTTTTTTTTTCTTTTTCTTTTTTTTTTTTTTTTGAGACAGAGTCTCGCTCTGTCGCCCAGGCTGGAATGCAGTGGCATGATCTCCCCTCACTGCAACCTCTGCCTCCAAGGTTCAAGTGATTCTCCTGCCCCAACCTCCTGTGTAGCTGGGATTACAGGCGCATGCCACTATGCCCAGCTAATTTTTTTTTTCTTTGTATTTTTAGTAGAGACAGGGTTTCACCATGTTGGCCAGGCTGGTCTCAAACTCCTGACCTCAAGTGATCCATCTGCCTTGGCCTCCCAAAGTGCTGGGATTACAGGCGTAAGCCACCGTGCCTGGCCTGGTGAACATTTATTGAACCCCTAATAGGTGCTAGGCAACATGATAGATTCTGAGGGTACAAAGGTGAACTTCCTGCAAAAAAATTGTTCTTAGTTTCTTATTAATAACCAGCATTTATAAAACACTATTTGCCAACTATGTGAAATACTCCACATGCCTTCTTTCATGTAATCCTTGCCATAATCCTATGAGGTAAGCTACATTGTATTCCCATTAACAAATGAGGAGACTATTCTGTCTGACTCTTCAATCCATAATGTTAAGCACCATGCAGTACCGTCTCCCTATATAGAACTTACCCTATTGGAATTTGTATGTTTGTTTGTTGTTTTGAGACAGAGTCTCACTCTGTTGCCCAGGCTGGAATGCAGTGGGGCAATATCAGCTCACTGCAGCCTCCGTCTCCAGGGTTCAAGCTGTTCCCCTGCCTCAGCCTCCTGAGCAGCTGGGACTACAGCCATGCGCCACTACACCTGGATATTTTTTTTTTTTTGTATTTTTAGTAGAGATGGGGCTTTGCCATGTTGCCCAGGCTGGTCTCAAACTCCTGACCTCAAGTGATCCACCAGCCTCAGCCTCCCAAAGTGGTGGGATTATAGGTGTGAGCCACTACACCTGGACAGAATTTACCCTATTGGAATTTGTAAATGGGAAGTTCCCAGAACAGACCATGTTCTACAGACTTGTGTATTGTGTGTCAAGGTATTGATGCTCTTTTGGATCCGCAAGAGCAACAAAATTACCCTCAGCATGCCTGGGTGCGGTGGCTCACACCTGTAATCCCAGCACTTTGGGAGGCCAAGGCAGGAGGATCACGAGGTCAAGAGATAGAGACCATCCTGCCCGATATGGTGAAACCCCGTCTCTACTAAAAATACAAAAATTAGCTGGGTGTGGTGGCACGCGCCTGTAGTCCCAGTTCCTTGGGAGGTTGAGGCAGGAGAATCTCTTGAACCTGGGAGGCGGAGGTTGCAGTGAGCTGAGATCGCACCACTGCACTCCAGCCTGGTGACAAAGCGAAACTCCATCTCGAAAAAAAGAATAAATAAATAAATAAATAAATAAATAAATAACCCTCAGCATATAAGAGGTGAGGACTGGCTGGGCGCAGTGGCTCACACCTGTAATCCCAGCACTTTGGGAGGCCAAGGCGGGTGAATCACCCAAGGTCAGGAGTTTGAGACCAGCTTGGCCAACATAGTGAAACCCCTTCTCTAATAAAAATACAAAAATTAGCCAGGCATGGTGGTAGGTGCCTGTAATCTTAGCTTTTTGGGAGGCTGAGGCAGGAGAATCGCTTGAACCCAGGATTCAAGTGGAGGTTGCAGTGCAGATCACGCCACTGCACTCCAGCCTGGGCAACAGAGAGAGACCTGGTCTCAAAAAAAAAAAAAAAAAAGGTTCATCATGCCTGTCATCACAGTCATCACAGCCTAGCTAGCACACAACTGAAACCTTGCTATTTAAATTATTTTATACATTTTCTTTTCCTTTATTTAGGACTCTTGTTCCCTTTGTGATCTTGGCTAACTACCAGCTTCCCCGAACCTCCAAAGCTTCAGCATTTTTCAGCTGTGTTAAAGAGAAACAAGGAAGGAGAAGCATCCTACCTGAGCTTGTTTTTTCTTTAATTAGTATTAATTTTGACAAGTTATAATCTTATGTAATTAAGGGATACACAGTGATGTTATGATCTACGTATACAGTGTGGAATGATTGAATCAAGATAATTAACATACCCATTACCTTAAATATTTATTTATCCCTCCTGTTTAACTGCTACTTGGTACCCTTTGATCAATATCTCCACATTCCTCTCACCTCCCAACCACCGTTCTACTCTCTGGTTTGAGTTTGATTGTTTTAGATCCCACAGATAAATGAAAATATGAGGATTTTGTCCTTCTGCGCTGATTTAACTTAGCTTATTTTTATTTATTTATTTATTCTGAGACAGAGTCTCAGTCTGTCACCCAGACTGGAGTGCAGTGGCCTGATCTCGGCTCACTGCAACCTCCGCCTTCTGGGTTCAAGCAATTCTCCTGCCTCAGCCTTCTGGGTAGCTGGGAGTACAGGCGCCCGCCACCACGCCCAGCTAATTTTTTGTATTTTAGTAGAGACAGTGTCGCTCAGGCTGGTCTCGAACTCCTGAGCTCAGGCAATCCGCCCACCTCAGCCTCCCAAAGTGCTAGGATTATAGGCGTGAGCCACCATGCCCGGCCTCACTTAGCTTATTGTCCTCCAGGTTCATTCATGTTGTCGCAAGTGACAGAATGTTCTTCTTTTTAATGACTGTTTAGTACTCCATTGCTTATATGTACCACAGTTTCTGTATTCATTCATCCCTTGATGAAGCCTTAGGTTGATTTCACATCTTGGCTATTGTGAATAATGCTGTAATGAACATGGAGTGCAGATGGCTCTTTGACATAGTGATTTTTTAAAAAAATTATGACTCCAAATGTCTTCTTTTTTTGTTTTGTTTTGTTTTGTTTTGTTTTGTTTTTTGAGACAGAGTTTCACTCTTGTTGCCCAGGCTGGAGTGCAATGGTGTGATCTTGGCTGACTGCAACCCCCGCCTCCCAGGTTCAATCGATTCTCCTGCCTCAGCCTCCCGAGTAGCTGGGATTACAGGTGCTCACCACCATGCCCAGCTAATTTTTTGTATTTTTAGTAGAGATGGGGTTGGCCCATGTTGGCCAGGCTGGTCTCAAACTCCTGACCTCAGGTGATCCACCCGCCTTGGCCTCCCAAAGTGCTGGGATTGGAGATGTGAGCCACCACGCCTGGCATTTTTTTTTTTTTTTTTTTGAGACAGAGTCTCACTCTGTCACCCAGGCTGGAGTGCAGTGGCATGAACTCACTGCAAACTCTACCTCCTGGGTTCAAGTGATTCTCCTGCCTCAGCCTTCCAAGTAGCTGGGATTACAGGTGCGCACCACCATGCCAGGCTAATTTTTGTATTTTTGGTAGAGACGGGGTTTCATCATGTTGGCCAGGCTGGTCTCGATCTCCTGACCTCAGGTGATCCACCCGGCTTGGCCTCCCAAAGTGCTGAGATTGCAGGCATGAGCCACCACACCCGGCTGTAAGCTTCATTTTTTTATTTAGCTTTCTGACTGTGCTTGTGCCTTCAACACTTTCGCAATGGTTTTCTGCCGCTCGATAAGGAAATCACTCTTGATCCTGTCATGAACACACCTAGAACACACACAACCACCGGAGGCCCTGCTGACATGTTTTTTGTTTGGGGGCAATCTCATAGGAACTTTAGGTCTCACAGCACAAACTTCAAAATGAAGTCTTCCTGGACACATGCCCACATGCGGATTTTGGTGCTTTCCCAACCTTCCTGGTATAAAGGTAAACAATTCTATTACCAGGTATTCGGGACAGCCTAGTTTTGTTAGAGACTGAATTGTAGGAAAGCCTACGGCAGTATGTCAAATGCTGGACCATTCCGAGTGCCTCTAGACCACGTCCCCGGAAGAGCAAACATACTGATTTCAAGTCCTTAGGGTATATACCCAGATGTGGGATTTCTGGATCATATGGCAATTTTATTTTTAGGTTTTTTTTGAGGAAACTTCATACAATTTTCCATAATGGCTGTACTAGTTTACATTCCCACCAAGAGTGGAGAGGGGTTCCCATTAAAAAATGGGCAAAGGAGCTTGAATAGACATTTCTCAAAAGAAAACAGGACAGGTGCAGTGGCTCACGCCTGTAATCCCAGCACTTTGGTAGGGCGAGGCAGGTGGATCACCTGAGGTCAGCAGTTTGAGACCAGCCTGGCCAACATAGTGAAACCCCGTCTCTACTAAAAATCCAAAAAATTAGCTGGACATGGTGGCGCACACCTGTAATCCCAGCTACTTGGGAGGCTGAGGCAGGAGAATCACTTGAACCCAGGAGGCAGAGGTTGCAGTGAGCCGGGATGGCGCCACTGCACTCCAGCCTGGGTGACAGAGCGAGACTCCATTTCAAACAAACAAATACAAACACCAACTAATAGATGAGAAAATATTCAACATCACTAATCATTAGGAGAATAAAAATTAAAACCACAATGAGTTCTTACCTCAAACATGTCAGAATGGCAGTATCAAAAAGATGAAAGATAATATACACGTTGACAAGGATGTGGAGAAATGGGCTAGGGTTTTGAAGATTGAGATCAGAAATAGCAGACTCCTTGGGATGCAGTGTGGAGGTAACAGGAGGTATCAGCTTGGGTGACCCTCAGGACCTCTGTCTGTGCTAAGTGACTCAGCCCCTCACTTTTCTGCCATAGCTGGTTGGTTCAGAAGTAGACTCTTAACCTAAAGTTGGCAATCTTGCAGCCAAGAGGCCAGGGCACCAGACTTAGGAGCAGTTATGTTAATGACAAATTCAGAGAGACTTTGCACAATTCCTGATGCTGAAAGCCCCGGAGGTGGTTATCTACTGCTGTGTGACAAACTACCCCAAAATGTGGTGGCTTGAAACCACAACTTATTGCTTGTGATTCTGTGAGTTGGTTGGGCAGTTCTTCCTCTGGCCTGTTGTGGGCAAACTCATGTAGATACATTCATGCGGTGTTGACTGTAAGCTGAGCTTAGCCGGGAGCCTGGCGTAGCTTTCTTTCCACGTGGTCTTGCATCCTACTGGAGTCTAGACCAGACTTTTTCACACGGCAAAGGCAGTGTTCCAGGAAGGAGAAGATATGGCCTTTCTGGGATGCTGTGGCCCATGTCTTCTCCAGCATATTCTATCATTGAAAACATTTCATAAGGCTGGTCCAGATTCAAGGGGTCTACTTTTTGATGGAAGGAGCTGCCAATCATTGTTACCAGTGACAATCATTGTTTATAGATGGACTGTGGCTGATTAAAAGCAGATAAAAATTATTTGTGGCCTTTCCTATTAAAAGGTGAAGTACGAACACTTGAATCTGGGATGTCCTGATGGTGTTCTTTGGCCAGCAAAGCGTGGTGAGAGCGACGCTGTACGGCTGCCAGGATGGGCCTTGCAGTTCCACTCCTACTCTCTTGGACCATTGTCCACGGTGTGATGGGGAAAAGCCCAGTTTAACCTCCTGGAGGATGAAAGACCACGTGGAGAGAATGGCCCCATCTTCACAGCTTTCCCAGCTGAGTCCTGCCCCAGTCTCTCCACCAGCTGGATGTTGTCACCTGAGTGAGTTTAGAAGAAACCAACGGAAGAACTTCTAGCCAGTCCCTCCACACAATTCTGAGAAACAGGACACTGCTGCTGTATTAATCAGCTGTGTTTTGTGATGCTGGAATAGCTGATTAAAACAGCTCGCAGGGCCCTCCCGCGGCGGGTGATGGTTTGGCACTTCCTTTGATTCTCTGGCTACGCTCCTAACAGGTTGTTTTTCCTAACGAGTCATTTTTTTCCCCTCAAGTCAACGAGTACCTATTTCTGTTGCTTGTAGCTAAGACCATCTAAGAGAGCCCCAAGCCAAAGGAAGAAACTCAGGGTGTTCTGGACCCCTTGGTCCGGCACCCTCCCCATGTGGAGAGTCTCTTTCCAAAAAACAAAAACAAAAACAAAAAGTTAAGTTTTACCACATCATCTCTTTTTATTTGCCAAGATCTTTACTTAACATTTTAAAATTTATCCTTTATGTCTTTTTTCTTACATTGAAAATCTTGGTTCCTGACATTGTTACTACTTACTGCATTAGTCTACAATATGTAAAATAGTTTTGTTTTTCTTTTTTTGAGACAGAGTCTTGCTCTGTCACCAGACTGGAGTGCAGTGGTGCGATCTTGGCTCACTGCAACCTCCGTCTCCTGGGTTCAAGTGATTCCCCTGCCTCAGGTTCCCAAGTAGCTGGGATTACAGGCTTGCACCACCACTCCTGGCTAATTTTTTGTATTTTAGTAGAGTTGGGGCTTCACCATGTTGACCAGGATGGTCTCGATCTCCTGAGCTCGTGATCCACCCACCTCGGCCTCCCAAAGTGCTGGGATTACAGGCAGAAGCCAGCTCGCCTGGCCATAAAATAGTTTTAAAGTAATAAAACAAATATTATGACTACAATTAAGCTACCAAATAAAGTCTAAATTTTTTTTTTTTTTTTTTGAGACAGAGTTTCGCTCTTTTTGCCCAGGCTGGAGTGCAGTGGTGCAATCTCAGCTCACCACAACCTCCACCTCCTGGGTTCAAGCGATTCCCCTGCCTCAGCCTCCTGAGTAGCTGGGATTACAGGTATGTATAACCATGCCCGGCTAATTTTGTATTTTTAGTAGAGACGGAGTTTCTCCATGTTGGTCAGGCTGGTCTCCAACTCCTAACCTCAGGTGATCTGCCTGCCTCGGCCTCCCAAAATGCTGAGATTACAGCCGTGAGCCATAGCACCTGGCCTAAAATTTTTTTTTTAAGAGTCAGGGTCTCATTCTGTTGGCCATGCTGGAGTGCAGTCGTGCAATCACAGCTTACTGCAGCCTCAAACTGTTGGGCTCAAATGATTCTCCCACCTCAGCCACCCTGACTGGCTAATTTATTACTATTATTATTATTATTATTATTATTATTATTTTGTAGAGACTGTGGTCTTGGCTGTTGCCCAGGCTAGTCTTGAACTCCTGGCCTCAGGCAAGTGATCCTCTTGCCTCATTATGAGAAAGGGCTGGGATTACAGGTACAAGTCACCACACCTCGCCTCATTTGTGTTTAGAATATATTCCTCTATTGCTGTGCGCGGTGGCTCACGCCTGTAATCCCAGCGCTTTGGGAGGCCGAGCCCAGCGCTTTGGGAGGCCGAGGCGGGCGGATCACAAGGTCAGGAGATCGAGACCATCCTGGCTAACACGGTGAAACCCTGTCTCTACTAAAAATACAAAAATTAGCCGGGTGCGGTGGCGGGCGCCTGTAGTCCCAGCTACACGGGAGGCTGAGACAGGAGAATGGCGTGAACCCGGGAGGCGGAGCTTGCAGTGAGCCGAGATGGCGCCACTGCACTCCAGCCTGGGCGACAGAGCGAGACTCTGTCTCAAAAAAAAAAAAAAAGCAAAAAGAATATATTCCTCTATTACTGTGATCTAAAGTCACTTGAAATAACTATTTTCCCTGGGGGTTTACATATCCAACTAATTCATAGTAAATTTTTTTTTCATTTTTAATGTTTAGGGATTACTTTTTAAATGTAATACAATTTTCGAACATAGAAAACATTTCTATGTTTCCAAAATCAAATTTATATAAAGTATGTTTAAAGAAATCTTGTGGCCAGTCACGGTGGCTCACACCTATAATCCCAGCACTTTGGGAGGCCAAAGTGGGCAGATCACTTGAGGTCAGGAGTTCGATACCAGCCTGGCCAACATGGTGAAACCCTGTCTCTACTAAAATACAAAATTTAGCTGGATGTGGTGGCACATGCCTGTAATCTCAGCTACTCGGGAGGTTGAGGCAGGAGAATCACGTGAGCCTGGGAGGCGGAGGTTGCAGTGAGCCAAGATTGCGTGGTACTCCAGCCTGGGTGACAGAGTGAGACTCTGTCTCAAAAAAAAAAAAAAAAAAGAAATCTTGCTTTTATGTTCCTGCTGATCCTCCTCAACTTTTATTAGTTTTTAAAAATTTTTCCAACGTTTCTTTTTGCAAATATAAGCAAACACATATGTATATTTACACTTGTTTTCTCTTTTTTACACAAAAGGTATGATTCTGTCTCTCTCTATATATATTCCACATCTTTTTTTCACTTAATATATCCCAGATACCACTCTCCATCAGCATACACAGCTCTATCTCATTACCTTTTACAGCTTCAGAGTATTCCATTGCATCCATGTAACCATATTTTATTCAACTAGTTGTTGATAGACATTTGAATTATTTCCATACATTTGCAATTATAAATAATGGCACAGAGATTTACCGAGCGTATAAGTCATTTTGAATTTTTGCTCCTGTATCTTGGGATAGATTCCTAGATTTCTGGCTCAATGGGTAAATGCATATATAATTTTTTCAGATATTTACAAATTCCACTCTAATAAGGTGATCCTGTTTTGAGTCTTCAACAATGAATGAGTGCCCGTTTCCCCGTCACTTCATCAATAGAATATACTCTCAAATCATGGGATTTTTGCCAGTGACAGATGAAAAGTAGCATCTCAGTATGGTTTTATTTTGCATTGCTCTTATTATGAGTGAAACAGTATATCTTCTCATGTGTTGGATGCCATTTTAATTTTTTTCTGCTGTAAACTGCCTATTCAAATCTTTGGATGTACCTTTAAGTATATTGACACACAACATTTAATCTCAAAACTAGCCAATGAGGGTTAGCATCATTATTCCCCTGTATAAAGATGAGGGAATGGCAGATTAGAAAGTTTAAGCAATTTACCCAAGGTTACACAACTAATATGTGACTGAAGTCAAGCTGCCCAACTGTTAGGCCCTGTGGATTCTCCATAGATCTATTTCCAGGAGTAAAACTTGGAGCTCCTGTGTTTTGCTTTTAATAAAGGGTCAGTGTGTGGATTCCCATCTCTGAGACAGGACTGCTTCAGGAGGTCTGTCATGATTGGGCCTGAGGGTGGTTAGCTGTACTTGTAATGAGGCGGATGGTAACTCATGTGTCACCTAGGAGCACCCAGCAGACTAGGGCATTTTTGAATCTCAATGCAGAGGACAATGGGGAGAGACCTGCAACCTATTTAATTCTGTTAGAGAATCAGTGAGGTGCTTGATGAAGCCATTAACTGGGGTTCGTGTCTCCATTCTACTTATACGACTCCAGGAGGGCAAATGCTGATGGAAATTTATTGATTTCTTTTTCTGCCTTTACCGAATGGGTCAAAAACATGGTATAACGCTGCTGGTTCCAATTAAAATCACCTGTTAGCTTACAAAGGTTGGCCCTCTTCACCCTCCCCTTCCTCCCCCCATTTAAAAAGGGTTTAAAAGATTTTCATTTAATTGATTTGCTGTAAAAATGCCTTTTACAATTACCCAGATAAACTAGGCGTCACCTGTGGAGTAAGAGCCAATTTGAGCTGTTTATCAAGACTTCGCCTCTGGCCACTTCTCACCCTGGGATCTTGAGTCTCTGTATTGATAGCTTACATCTGTCAACATTGGATATTTTTAGTGGGCTGCAGAAAGCTTTTAGGGAGATGGGGATGGTGGGGCTGCATCTTTGAGCAGGTGAAGAAAGCATGATGGGGTTTTTTTGTTTGAAATGAGAATGCCCTATTATGCTGAAAATAAGTTCAGAAAATTAGCCCTGCATCCATATGCCTAAAGGTAATCAGAGTTGACCCCATTTAAATACCAGTGGGCCTCAGGAAATGGAAAAATGGGCAGTGAATAAAATTTGTCCAGTAATAAAATTTGCCCAGTTTCCCTTGGTTTTGTGTCGAGCTGTGCTTAATGTTAGGAAGAAGTTGAGGAGCCTCTGTAAGAGTTGTCTATGAAGTGACATTTGTGTCCTTTCAGCTGATATTACAGGAAGTAACAGGCAGGTGGAAACACAGAAAGAAAGACACAGAGACATTTATTCTAGGTCGTGTGTATTTCTGAAACTGTAAACTCAAATTCACTTGATTATGGAAATGGCGTTAGTTCTAGCTAAAAAAATTGTGGGCAAAATTAGTGCCAGATGGCTGGGTGTGGTGGCTCACGCCGGTAATCCCAGCACTTTGGGAGGCTGAGGCAGGTGGATAACCTGAGGTCAGGAGTTCAAGACCAGCCTGGCCAACATGGCAAAACCCTATCTCTACTAAAAATATGAAAATTAGCTGGGCATGATGGCAGGTGCTTGTAATTCCAGCTACTTGAGAGGCTGAGGCAGGAGAATCACTTGAACCTGGGAGGTGGAAGTTGCAGTGAGCTGAGATCTCGCCATTGCACTCCAGCCCGGGCAACAGAGGGAGACTCCGTCTCAAAAAAAAAAAAAAAAATTAGTGCCAGAAAACAAAAGACAAGTACACATGGGAGGGAAGAAGTAAATTCTAGAAAGTATAGACCAGTATTCTTGAAATTGATCATGGCAAAACTCCAGAATACATTACAAAAACAATGTTTTGTAAGTCTTTGAAAGAGGTTTGTCATTCATTTAGCATGAAGTATAATTTCCATTTTGTCTGTGATCAAACTGGCTCATCAGGGACGTGCTGTAGAAACAAGGTGATTGAAGAGAATAAATGATAGGTCATTTATGAAAGCTCTTGACACACAGCAGAGGCACAGTAATTACCAGTTGCTCTCCTTCAGGCATTCATAATAGTCATCAGAGGATGGGCGTGGTGGCTCACACCTGTAATCCCAGCACTTTGGGAGGCTGAGGCGGGTGGATCACCTGAGGTCAGGAGTTTGAGACCAGCCTGGCCAACATGGTGAAACCCCCGTCTCTACTAAAAATACAAAAATAAGCCAGGTGTGGTGGTGGGTGCCTGTAGTCCCAGCTACTCAGGAGGCTGAGGCAGGGGAATCGCTTGAACCCAGGTGGCAGGCTTCAAAACAAGCATATGAAAAGATGTTTAATATCATTGGCCATAAGGGAATTGCAACCCAAAACAACAATGAAGTACCATTACACACCAATCAAGATGGCTACAGTAAAAAAGACTACTAATAATAAGTGTTAGCAAAGATATTAAACATTTGAACTCCTCATACACTGTTGGTAGGAATGTAAAATAGTGCAGTCGCTTTGCGATTCCTCAAAAAGTTAAACATAGCGTTACCATATGACCTAGAAATTCCACTCCCAGGTATGTACCAAGAGAAATGAAAACACACATCCACACAAAAATGCATACATGAATGTTCATAGCAGTGTTCTTCATAATAGCCAAAAAGTATCAACGCTCCAAATGTCCAACTATTGAATGGATAAATAAAATGTGGCATATCCATATAACGGTATATTAGTCAGCCATAAAGTAATGAAGTACTGATACATGTTGCAACATAGAAGAACCTTGAAAACATTATGCCAAGTGAAAGAAGCCAGTCACAAAAGACCATATTGTATGATTCTATTTCTATGAAATGTCTATAGGCAAATCTATAGAAATAGAAAGCAGACAGGTGGTTGCCTAGGGCTTGGGGGAGGGAGTTTGGGGAGAAATATGGAGTGACTACTAATGGATATGGGATTTTGCCTGGTTGACAGAAATGTTCTAAAATCTATTTTGGCAATGGATGCTCAGCTGTGGATATACTAAACGCTATTCAACTGTACATTTTAAAGGGGTGAATTGTATGGTACGTGCCTAACATCTCAATAAAGCTGTTGAAAAATTCTCTTCTCATAGTGCTCATATCTTAGTGGAAAGCAAAAGGATTCAACCTTCTAAGGATCTTTCCAATCTGTCCACTTCTCTTTGTCCAGCACGTTACCATCTCCTCTTTGGATCACCACAAAAGCCTCCCGCCTCTTCTGGCTCCAGTGTGGCCTGCTGTGAATCTCCTCTATAAATCTCCACTTTGCTGCCTTAGAAATCTTTCTGAAGGGCCATTGAGATGCTCCTCCTGCCTCCATCTCACCACGGCTTCCACAGCCTTAAAGGTGAAGTCCAGGCTCTTTCACTCCACTGAAAAGGCCCTGTATGATCTGGTCCCTACTAATCTCTGACTTCATTTCTCACCACTCATCACTTGGGCCACGAACTCTTTCAGTTTTGCAAATCTCTTTGCCCTGTCTCAATTCCAGGCTTTTGCAAAGCCTGATTGTTCTGCCTTTTGGGTCTCAGCTCACATGCCACTTGTTCTGGAAGCTTTTTTCTTAAATACTCCCCGTCTTCACACAGTAGAGCCCTGCCCCCGCAACAGGTGTGTGCCCATTCATTTCCTAGACTTACTGCGTGCCAGGCACCTTTTTTTGTTTGAGACAGGGTCTCGCTCTGCCACCCAGGCTGGAGTGCAGTGATGTTATCGTGGCTCACTGCAGCCTTGACTTCTCAGGCTCAATTGGTCCCCCAGCCTTAGCCTCCCAGGTAGCTGGGACTATAGTGCATGCCACCATGCTCAGCTAATTTTTTTTTTTTTATTTTACTGTAGAGACATGGTTTTACCATGTTGTCCACGCTGGTCTCAAACTCCTGAGCTCAAGCGATTCACCAGGCACCATTCTAAGTGCAACGTTATAAAATTAACTCCTTTAATTTTCACAACAACCATATGATGTAGATACTATTATTATTCTTATTGTACAGATGAGAAAATTGAGGCATAGAGAGGTTAAGTAACTTTCCCAAAGTCACACAGCTGGTGATGGAGCACGGATTTGAACCCAGACAATATGGCTCTAGAATTTGTGCTAACTGCCATGTTCTGTGGCCTGAAATTGCTTAACACATCTTGGCACTTATTATACACTGTAATTGACTCTTTAATTATATCTCCATGTGACTTTTAGTTTATGGGAGGTAGGAATTATGTCTGGCTTTTTCATTATTGTGTTCCCAGCATGAGGCCTAGCCCATAGTTTTTTAATTAAAAAGAAGAATGAACAAACTAATTAATTAATTAAGATAGAGATATGTGAGATGTACAAGAAGAAAGTTATTGGATTTCTAGCTCATAGAAGGACAATGTTCTGATTAATTGATATTATGTTAAAAGTTCTCTAACGTACAGGATACATATTTCTTGAGAAATTATATTCTGGTTAAAGTGCCTTATACACAGTGGATGGTTCATAATTCTTGCTTAGTTTTTTACAACTTTTTATTGTAAATTATGTAAGATTTACAAAAATAGTACAAAGAATTTCTATATCCTCTTTACCTAACTTCTCCAAATGTTAACATATGATATAATAACAGTACAAAGATAAAATTGGGAAGTTAACATTACTACTTAATTCATTGCTATCTCATTTAATTCTCATTATCTGTTTCAATACTGTCCTTTTGTTTTTTGAGACAGAGTCTTGCTCTGTCGCCCAGGCTGGAGTGCAATGGCACGGTCTCGGCTCACTGCAACCTCCGCCTCCTGGGTTCAAGCAATTCTCCTGCCTCAGCCTCCGGAGTAGCTGGAATTACAGGGGCCCGCCACCATGCCTGGCTAATTTTTGTATTTTTAGTAGAGATGGGGTTTCACCGTGTTGCCACACTGGTCTTGAACTGCTGAATCTTGTGATCCGCCCACCTCGGCCTCCCAAAGTGCTGGGATTACAGGCGTGAGCCACTGCATCTGGACTCAATACTGTCCTTTTTATGATCCATGATCCAAACCAGGATTACACATTGCCTTTATTTATTAGCCTGTTTTAAGCTGGGACGATGTCTCAGTTTTTCTTTATCTTTTCCAACCTTGACACCTTTGAAGAGCAGCTGTCAGTTATTTTGTGGAACATCCCTCCATTTGGGTATGTCTGCATTCCTTGCAGACATTAAATTCAGGTTATGCATTTTTGGTAAGGATACCACATAAGGGATGCCATGTCCTTCTCAGTGCATCATATCAGGAAGCACACAATAAGCTTTAATCTTGGTTAAGGCTATATATGCCACATTTCTACATTGTGAAGTTATGACATTTCTCACTGTAATTAATAGGCATCTCATGGAAAAATACTTAGAGACTAAATAAATATCATGTTTCTGGTAATAATTTCATCCATGAATTTTAGCATCCACTGATACGTTCTTGAAAAACAATTTTTACTGTGATCTTTGCCATTGGTGACTTGCTATTTGCATCACTCCTTCTGCATTTATTAATTGGAGTATTACAGTAAGAAAGAACTTTCCTTTCTTCCTCATTTATTTGTTTATTCAATTTTTTATTTAAATAAGTATGGGCTCATGAATATTGCTTTTAATCTGTGAGTGAACATTATTATCTTTTAAACATTTTTGTTGTTCAGATTGTCCCAGATCTAGGAGTCTTACCAAGTTGGCTTGTGTCATTTCAACATGTGTCCATCATTTTTTGAGCACTTCCTTAGTTACTAGCTCCACAAGATGTCCTAAGTTCATTCTGTTCTTCCCTGCCCCAGCCGTATAATCAGCTATCTGTTTAAGTAGACCGGGTTCCTTTTTACTGGAGAATAATATTTAGAAAGAAAGATCTGCAGTGAAATCCCGTCTCTACTAAACACACACACACACACACACACACACACACACACACACACACACACACATTAGCCGGGCGTGGTGGTGGGTGCCTGTAGTCCCAGCTACTGGAGAGGCTGAGGCAGGAGAATGTCGTGAACCCGGGAGGCGGAGCTTGCAGTGAGCCGAGATCACGCCACTGCACTCCAGCCTGGGCGACAGAGCAAGACTCAGGCTCAAAAAAAAAAAAAAAAAAAAGATCTGGGCACTAGATGCTTACTGCTACTGGGGTGTCATTGTTTCCTCCCTCAGTGATCAGGGCTAGGAAATATACGTATGTGTACACTTAAACATGTCTTTACTTATTTCCCTGTCTCTCTATTAAAAACTATGACTTTGCCGGGTGCAGTGGCTCACGCCTTTAATCCCAGCACTTTGGGAGTCCGCGGTGGGCGGATCACGATGACAGCAGTTTGAGATCAGCCTGGCCAGCATAGTGAAACCCTGTCTCTACTAAAAATACAAAAATTAGCCGGGCGTGTTGGCGCACTCCTGTAGTCCCAGCTACTTGGGAGGCTGAGGCAGGAGAATTGCTTGAACTCGGGAGATGGAGGTTGTGGTGAGCTGAGATCTCACCACTACACTCTAGCCTGGGCAAAAGAGAGACTCTGTCTGAAAAAAGAAAAAACAAAAAACAAAAAACAAAAAAAACCTATTATTTTATATTGATACCTCCAGTTCCATTCCAGCTCTCAGGGTTCATTCTATTATTTCCCTTTCTTGTTTTTAATTCCTTTCTCTGACAGTAAAAAATTCGGTGGTTATTATTCACAATGTATTTACTTATTTGTTCAACACTAGATTACACATAAAACAGTTTTAGAATTTCCAACCTACAGCCTTGTGAAAAACAAATTTATTAAATACAGTAAAATTTGTGTGCTCTTTGCGTTTAGAGTACATAGTTAAATAACAGTCCAAAGTTACTTAATTCTTTTTTCTCACCTCTTTTATTGTGGTTATGTTATAAACCTGTAATAAATTGAATGCATTTTTTTTTCTTTTGAGACGGAGTTTCGCTCTTGTTGCCCAGGCTGGAGTGCAATGGCGCGATTTCGGCTCACCGCAACCTCCGCCTCATGGGTTCAAGCGATTCTCCTGCCTCAGCCTCCCGAGTAGCTGGGATTACAAGCATGTACCACCACGCCTAGCTAATTTTGTATTTTCAGTAGAGATGGTGTTTCTCCATGTTCAATGAATATTTTAAAACATAAATAGTATTTGTAAAAATATATTGAAAAACACCATATATATGGAACTGTCTTGCAGACAACTTGAAGGCTTGGAGAAATATCTCCAGGCTAAGTACTCCCAAGCCTGTAGGAGGGTTAGAACCCTCATCTCTTCCTACCTTACTCCTTTCACCGGATGTCCTTATCTGTTTCTGTATCACCTGTTTCCTTAGTCCTGTGGGAAGACATTCTCACAAGTGCTTTAAAAGTCCTGAACTTCACTCTAACCCACCTCCACTGAAGTTTCCATTGGTTTGGCCGCAGGTCAAATAAAGCCTTTTTGTTCCTTTTTTTTTGAGACGGTGTCTCGCTCTGTCGCCCAGGCTGGAGGGCAGTGGCGCGATCTCGGCTCACTGCAACCTCCGCCTCCCAGGTTCAAGCAATTCTCCTGCCTCAGCCTCCCGAGTAGCTGGGACTACAGGCGCACGCCGCCACGCCCAGCTAATTTTTTGTATTTTGTTAGAGACGGGGTTTCACCGTGTTGTCCAGGCTGTTCCCGAACTCCTGAGCTCAGGCAATCCGCCCACCTCGGCCTCCCAAAGTGTTAGGATTACAGGCGTGAGCCACCGCGCCCGGCCTTTTTTGTTACTTTTAATACCACTTTTGTCGCTGGGGAGTTTTCTACGCTATCAGCCCTACCTGGATCAAAGATCTCACTGCAATCCCTTTTCCTTTTCGCTTGTGCTGAAGATGGCCACCAGGTGGCACTTTAGAGTCTCCTTCGGCCCCATTTTGAAAGTCAGCTGCTTGGATTCGGTTGACTTTAGAAAGCAACGTATTCATGAGATGGGAAGAGATATTCTAGTTGCTTTTTAATTTTAGTTAAGAAATTTCCTGCCATTTAGGTCCAAGCAAAATGAAAAAAAGGAAGCACATTTCAGCCTCTGTCCTCTTCTTTGCCTAGGAATCTTGAACTCCTTCCATCTTCCTTTATAAAACTTCTCTCAAGGAAAAACAAACATACATATTTGTTGATAGCCAAAGCGGGTTTATCTAAGAGTGACTGAGCTCCTTGGTCTATCAGCCTCTGCAAAAGAAGCTCAGACAGGACATCAAGAGGCTGGAATCCAGGTAGAAACTCCACCACTGACTCTCAGTACTTCCTTGAGTCATTTAGCTTTTTTGGAGCTTCAGTTTTCTTATGTGTAAAACAAACGGATTGAACTCCATGCTCTCAAACACAAATCCCTCAGATGCCAGGTGGATACCATAAATCTATGAAGAGGCTGAAGAGGGGTTTAGGACAACAGGATCTTGTATCGACTAAACTAGAATTACAAAATGCATGCTCTATGAAATGCATTCAAATTTAAATTTTTAAAAAAAGATTGAAAAGACCAAACAAAATACCTCTGGGCATTGAAAGTGTTCAGAAAGCTCCTAGTGTGCAGTTTGTAGACTGGAGAATCTTTATCACTGAGGTTTCTTTTCTTTTCTTTCTTCTTCCTTCTGTCTCACTCTGCACCCAGGCTGGAGTGCAGTGGTGCAATCTTGGCTCATTGCAGCCTTGATCTTCCAGGCTCAAGGGCTCCTCCTGCCTCAGTCTACCAAGTAGCTGGAACTACAGGCACGAGCCACCATGCCTGGCTAATTTTTGTGTTTGTTTTTTTTTGTTGTTGTTGTGTTGGATTTTCACAGTGTTGTCCAGGCTGGTCTCAAACTCCTGAGCTCAAGCAATCCATACGCCTCAGCCTCCCAAAGTGCTAGGATTACAGTTGTGAGCCACCGTGCACAGCCTCACTCATGCTCTTCTATCTGTTTGAAATATTAGCCACTACCCCTGTTCTCCATCACCTCTGCATAACTAAATCCTAATTTTTTTCTTACAAAACCCACTCAAATGCCACTTACTCAAGGATGTTTCCCTTGATTTGAGTCTTTCTAAATTAAAAGATTTTTTTCTTTCTTCTGAATTCCCCTCCTTTTGGCCCTTATTGCTTTTTTAACTGTATTATTTATGTGCTGGTCATCAGTCTTTCACTACATATTTACTTTTAAGATCCTTGAGAGCAGAGTCCATGTCTAATTAATTTTATGTCTCCAACATCTGGAAAATCAGCCAACAAATATTTATTGAGTACCTAGTTGATTCATGTTTACGTGATTTTAGGCACTCAGCACAAAATTGTGGAGACTTAATAAGTGTTTGCTGAATTAATGGTATTAAATGGCCAGCCAGGATAGCAAAAATGAGAAAAGAAGATACTACCAAATGTTAGTGAACATGTGGAAGAATTGGAAATCTTATACTCTGCTGGCCCCTATAATCTTTGCACTCCAGTGTGTTCCAATCACTTTTTCACTTTTTTTTTTTTTTTTTTTTTTGCAGACAGATTCTCTCTCTGTCACCCAGGCTGGAGTGCTGTGGCACAATCTCGGCTCACTGCAACCTCAGCCTCCCAGGTTCAATTGATTCTCCTGCCTCCGCCTCCCAAATAGCTGGGACTACAGGTGTATCCCACCATGCCCAGCTATTTTTTTTTTTTTTAATTTTTAGTGGAGATGGGGTTTTGCCATATTGGCCAGGCTCGTCTTGAACTCCTGACGTCAAGTGATCTGCCCACCTCGGCCTCCCAAAGTGCTGGGATTACAGGTGTGAGCCACCATGCCCGGCCTCCCATCACTATCTTATGTTGCATGGCAAGAGGGATTTTGCAGATGTAATTAAGTTTACTAATCAGTTGATGTTACAATGGGAAGATTGAGCGGGCCCAATCTAATCCTATGAGCCGTTTAAAAGCTGAGAGTTTTCTTCAGCTGGGGGCAGAAGAGGAAGTCAGAGAGATTCAAAGCTCAAGAAGGACCTGATGCATTGCTGCTGATTTAACAATAGAGGGAGCCCCTGGGCCTGAGTGTGGCCTCTGGAAGCTAAGAGCAGCCCTCAGCTAACAGCCTGCCAGAAAATGGAGACCTCAATCCTATATAACTGCAAGGAACAATTCTGGCAACAACCTCAATGGGTTTGGAAGCAGAATGTTCCCTAGAGCCTCCCAGTGAGAACCAAGACCAGCTGACACCTTGATTTTGGCCTTGGAAGCAGAGAGACCAGTTGAGCCTGCCTGGACTTTTGACCTACAGAACTGTGAGATAATAAATGGGTACTGTTTTAACCTACTAAGTTTGTGGTAATTTTCTATGCAACAATTTCAAAACAAATACAGACACTCAAGCAGCTCTGTGGAGGGATGCACAGGGAGAGGAACTGAGGCTCCCGCTGAAAGCCAGCACCAACTTGCTGGCTATGTGAGTGAGCCACCTTGAAAACATGGATCTCTGTCCCCAGTCAAGCCTTCACATGACTGCAGCCCTGCTGACATGTTGACCACCACTTCATGAGAAGGTCTGAGCCAGAAACACCCAACCAAGCTGCTTTGGAATTCCTGACTCACATACATCATTAGAGATAAAAATTGATTATCATTGTTGTGAGCCACTAAGTTTTAGAGTAAATTGTTATGAAGCAATAGATCACTAATAAGCGCTCAGTAAGTGTTTACAGACTGATTGGGCACCCTAGGGCATTATAGCCAAGCAGGGAAATTTCAGGCACCTCTGATGTCTGGCGTCTCAGAATTCCAACCACACCTGCAGCCCTGTCCTCACTAAGGCAGATCCTTTACCTAACTACCTTTCCCTCCTGCCCTAAGTCCTTGCTGGAATTCCTGCCTGAGCTTCTCAGGGTCTAGACTTGCCTGAGTTGCTCTGAACATGCTTCAGTTTCCTTAGCATAAAAATGAGAGAAGGCGGGTGCAGTGGCTCATGCTTGTAAATCCAACACTTTGGGAGGGTGAAGTGGGTGGATCACCTGAGGTCAGGAGTTTAAGACCAGCCTGGCCCAACATGGTGAAACCTCATCTCTGCTAAAAAAAAAAAAAAATAGCCAGGTGTGGTGGCACACGCCTGTAGTCCCAGCTACTCCAGAGGCTGAGGCAGGAGAATCAATTGAACCCGGGAGGCAGAGGTTTCAATGAGCCGAAATCACACCACTGCACTCCAGCCTGGGCAACAGAGCAAGACTCCATCTCAAAAAGAAAAAAAAAAAAAAAGAAAGAAAGAAAAGAAAAGAAAAAGAGATAAAAATTTTTTTCTTAAAATGAGAAAAAACATTTTTACTTCACAAGAGTGTTGTAAATTAAGCAATAGTGGTATGAACACAAAACACGATACAGGCATTAAAAAGATAGAGAAAAGCTCTCTATAGACAGATGTGGAACACTGACCAAGACTGTTATCAATAACAGACAACAGATATATTTTTAAATGAAAAAAGCAAAAGGTTTCAAACTGTTAGGAAAACTATGTTTAGAATATCTCTGTTAGGAAAACTATATTTAGAATATCTCTGGTAATAAAGATTGCCTTTGTCTTGTTACCTAAGATTGACTTTCTTTTTTTCCTAAAGCAAGTAACTTTATTATCATTCCTTTAAAAAGAACCAAGGAAAATTCAGAACATATGTGAAACACAAACAGCTGTGGTTTAGGAGGTAAACAGAGGACCAACACAGCCCTGAAATGCAACAGCCTCTGAGTGGCCTGGGCCGCATGGGTGACTGGGGTTGTGTTAAAAGGGCAAGCTCCTGCCTCCTAGCCCTGAAGCCCCAGGAACCTGCCTTGAAAGACAAGCTCTCCCACTAATACTCAACTTGCAGGGTCTCGCCCTAACATCCAAGACTTGGTAGCATCTCCTTTCTCCCAAAACCCAGCTGGAACTCAACGAATCCTAAACGAAAACTCAAGAACGGCACACCAGATGCCACCTGTTGTTCGTCAGGGTCTCAAACTCCAGAGGAAATGCATTTGCCTGTCATGGGTTTCCTCTCTAAGGGCACCTGTCTGAACTTGGAGCTGTGCTTCCACTGGTGCCTCATGGGGCCTGGGCCTACTCTCCACCTGAAGTCACGCTCCTCTCTGTAAGACATCAGGTGGGGAGTTAAGTCCAAGAAGGTGGCAAGAGGCTCCTAAGCAACAGAGCATGCTCGTTCCTGGCAGGCATCTCCCATAATACCCTAGAGGGCTGGCGAGGCCGTGACAGCATAAGGACAGAGAAGGGGCAGAGGGGTGCTTGGAAGTGCTTATCACTCAGGGGAGCTGGCAGGCCTGGGACAGCAGGCAGTCTGAACAGTGCTGGAACAAAGACAGCTGCCCTGCACCCCTTGTCAAGCAGCTGCGGGTGATGGGAAGCAGCATGACGGCACCACCTCCTTCGTCGCAGGAAATGTTTTGTACTGGGCCGATGACTTCAGTTTTCCTTGCCTGGAGATGCCTTCACGAAGGAGGGGGACAGGGAATACAGGCAGGCATGTTGCAATTGGCATCTCCAGGGCTGCCAAGTCTTGGGTTCACTTGGGGCCAAGCCACTCCAGAATCCCATTCCCCTTCATGCCATTGAAGAAGAAGTTGTGAGGAGGGTCCTGCTGAGACAGGGCCTTCACAATTTCCTGTGCCAAAATCCCTCCAACCACCGCACACACTGGGGCCATCTCAGAGAAGAAGTACGTGATAAAGCGCGGGTCAGGAATAATACCCAGTGAGTCAAGCACATCGTTTCGTATCTGGAGCAACAACTCGGAATCTTCCCCGTGTGTATCAGAACTGGGATCTCTTCCTTTATCTGTGCGGAACTTTAGGAGCACTTGAAGGAGAAAGTGGTCGGAGGTCGTGCGCTTCAGAGCAGCCTTTGCTTTCTTACTGCTCCAGTCCACCTCCAGCGCTTCTTTAACGGGGCAGAAGACCACCTTCTTCTTGACCATCGTTGTCTCAGAAGAATCAAGTTTTACTCTCTTGGTATCAGGCCCATCTTCTACTCCTTGGCTAACTTTAGCAACTTTAGTTTTCTCCTCTACAAACTCATGTTCTCCTAGATTGGCAAATGTGTATCCATGGTAGCTAAAAACATCTCCTGCAAAGAACTTGATGCTATTTTTGTGACAGATCTGGTCAACCTTAACTATGACAGCCCTGGAGCAGCAAGTCAACACACAGCATCAAATTGAGTGAAAAATGACTCTGGTTTCTTCTCTATATCCTCAGTGTCCAACTTCACATCCACCATGGGGTTAAGATTCTGAGCTCGCTCCAAAGAGGCTTCAGCCCTATTTCGGCCAACAGACCCAATACGAATCAAGAACTGAGCTCCGGGTTCTTCTGGAGATATCTGTTTGTGATCCAGCATGGTCAGTCCTTTCACTCCTGCCAGGATGAGATTCTTGGCAATTTCAGCCCCGAGTCCTTTCATGCCTGCAAGAAGCACCTGGGAGGCCCGCAGCCATTTCGGGGCCTCCAGTCCCCAAAGGCAGATCTGCTGGTCATACTGCGCCTGCCTCCTCCTGGCTGATGCCACCTCCAGCCTCCTCCTTCTCCACCATGGTGCCGGCTCTTCCTGCCTCAGCTTCGGTCCCGCTCATGCCAACTGCCCGCCAGCCCCGCGCACCATCAACCCATTTTTTTTTTTTTTTTTGAGATGGAGTCTTGCTCTGTCGCCCAGGCTGGAGTGCAGTGGTGAGATCTTGGCTCACTGCAACCTCTGCCTCTTGGGTTCAAGTGATCCTCTTGCCTCAGCCTCCCGGGTAGCTGGAACCACAGGTGCGAGCCACCTCACCTGACTAATTTTTGTATTTTTAGTAGAGACGGGCTTTTGCCATGTTGGCCAGGCTGGTCTCGAACTCCTGACTCAAGTGATCCATCTGCCTCGGCCTCCCACAGTGCTGGGGTTACAGGCGTGAACCACGGCGCCTGACCCAAAATTGCCTTTTGAGAAGAGAATTGGATGGTTGGGGATGGGGAGGAGGGAGAGCTCTTTTTACTGTATAGCTTTTTGTACCTTTTGAATTGGGAACCACGTGCCATGTATTATCTGTTAAAAATAAAAATTCCTTCCTTGGATGGAGATGATAGGAGCTGACCGATTTTCAGCTCGCCTGCTCCCTCCCTTAACACATTCACATGCAGCTAGAACTCGCTCCGTACTCGCCTTCTGTTCCCGAGTATACTGGAACCTACAACCAAACGCTCTCCTTACAACCACATGGCTGCAGCATTTGTACAAAGGCAACGGTGCATCTGCTGCACTCACAGACATCCCCCGCACAGACCCAACGAGCATGCAGTCTTGTGTGTATGTGTGTGCTTGTGTGTACATATATCCATGTGTGCCTTTGACCCAGCCCCTACCCTCTCCCTTTATCCGTATCTGCTTCCTGGGTGTGTATACCTGGGTGGAGGTCCCTAATTACAAGGTGAAATAGGTTAAAAGTCTCCTACTCTGAAGCACTAAATGGGCCTAATTACAAGTGACTGTAAAACTCTAATTATAAGAGGACACATTAGTTGGAAAAAAAAGGAGAAGGCAGCAGAACTGAAAAGAAAAGACCTGAGTGACACATGTAGCCCCCTTAGACAGTTGAGAAAAAGAGGCTTAATTGCCCTTTGATAAAACTGGGGCAGTGAGAAAACAGTGGGAGGGGTGGGGAGGGGCCAGTAATCAAAGGAGACTCCTGCAGACAAGACCTCTCCCCAGGGAGCTCTCCCCGCCACCCCACCATTTCTCTCATAACTGTCACTTGCCTTCCACTGCTGGTGGGACAGAGGAGGAGGAAGTTGTTACTTGCATCCAGCTTACTCCTTCATCTACTCTCTGAGCTTCCTCAGGAATCCCAGGTCCTTGGTCCCCTTCCACCTATCAAAATCCATTCTCTCAGGTCCCACAGGAATGGCCTTGTGAACAGGACACACATTCTGATCCTGACCTAGCTACTCACTAGCTCTGTGACCTTTGTGAGGCACATACCCTAAATAAACCTGTTTCATCAATTCCAAAGTGGGCTGGTAACATCTCTCTCTTACGGAGCTGTGAAGACGCACAGAATGGTATATGAGAAAGTGCTTTGTAAATGGGAAATCCTTGCACTGTTATTAGCCATTAGGGACTGGATTCACTGGACCAGATCGAATGTTCTTGGAAGACAGGAATCATGTCTTAGTCATTTCTGCTTTCAGGTTCCTGCCTCTGATAGGGTGGAATCAAAGAGTCATTCTCACTGTGGGGTAAATGGCAGACTATAACCACTAGGTTATCTTTCCCTTGGTGTGAACAAATGGACAAAACCTTTGGCAATGAGATGAAGCTGTGGTGGCCATACCATTAATTCTAATATTTATTGACATTTACTGTGTAGCAGGCACTATCCTAAGCAGTTTATATGTATTCTCATATTTGTTCCTCTCAATGTCCTTAAGAGGAGTATGTTATCTCCACCATCTCCATTTTAAAGATGGGAAATAGAATCTCAAGTTAAGAGACTTACCTCAAACTGCACTGCTAGTGAGTAGGGGAGCAGGACTTGAACCAAAACCTACACTCTAACTGTGTAGACTTTAGGCACCAGCCACCAGGTGGTGAATGACATTTGGGTTTTGGAGCCTTTTTTGTGTGTGCGTGACAGAGTCTCGCTCTGTCTCCCAGGCTGGAGTGCAGTGGTGAGATCTCGGCTCACTGCAACCTCTGCCTCCTGGGTTCAAGCGATTCTCCTGCCTCAGCCTCCCAAGTAGCTGGGATTACAGGTGCACGCCACCACTCCTGGCTAATTTTTGTATTTTTAGTAGAGAAGGGGTTTCACCATGTTGGTCAGGCTGGTCTCAAACTCCTGACCTCAGGTGATCTGCCCGCCTCGGCCTCCCAAAGTGCTGGGATTACAGGCATGAGCCACCGCACCCAGCCAGGACTTCTTAAGTAATCTACTCATCTATTTATAATTAAAGGCAATAAAACTGTTGATTAAAGGTCCTGATCATTATGCATTAGCCAACATTTATTCAATAAACAAGTATTTAGTACTTGCTGTCTGTATGGTGCTGTGCCCAGTAATTGAAATACATTGATAGTACATTGATAGATACTGTCTCTTCTTTCATGAAATTTTTTGAGTATTCCAGTTGAATCCAAAAACACTAGACATTTCTGTTCAGCACGCTCTTGGGTAGATAACCATACATCTATTATTAGGCCTTTTGCAATATCTGGAAAAACAATCATTCATTGAGAGAGAACTATGTGCCAGACGTGCACTGAGCACTTTATAAATACTTGCTTATTTGTTTCATGTCTCTCTTCCACCGTCACTAGAAGGCCAGCTCCATGTTTTGTTCAACATCTCTAGGGCCGACAATACCTGCCACATAATAGGTGCTCAACAAATGCTTGTTGGCCAAATAATTTATCTCTCAACAATTCTGCATGATAGATATGATTATTCTTTTTCTACTGATGAGGAAATTAAGACTCGAAGAGGCTGAATAACTTGCCCGAGTTCTTGCTACTCTGAGTGACAGGGCAGAAGTGTGAATGCTAGGTCTGTCTTCTTTCTTCTGTAAGTCTCTTCCACCAGAGTTGTTTAGAGCCAGGGACACTAGGTTGAACAACTCTGAGATAAGATGTGAATGTGCAAAAGTGTGTTTGCGAGGAAGGAGTGGTCACCGTGCATGGATCACAGGGAGAGAGAGGAATGAGACTGCAAGTCATGTTAGTGTGGGAGGCCAGGAATGCTGAGCTGAGAACTTTGAATTTGAAAGGCACTGGTTAATGCAAAATTTTTACTATATTAGAATTGTGTTTTAGAAATTTTCTTTTTTTTTTTTTTTTTTTTGAGGTGGAGTTTCACTCTTGTTGCATGGGCTAGAGTGCAACGGTGCGATCTCGGCTCACTGCAACCTCCGCCTCCCAGGTTCAAGCAATTCTCCTGCCTCAGCCTCCCGAGTAGCTGGGATTACAGGCATGCGCCACCATGCCTGGCTAATTTTGTATTTTTAGTAGACATGGGGTTTCTCCATATTGGCCAGGCTGGTCTCAAACTCCCACTGTCAGGTGATCCGCCTGCCTCAGCCTTCCAAAGTGCTGGGATTACAGGCGTGAGCCACTGTGCCCAGCCAGAAAGATTAGCAGCAGTGTATAGGGCGGCTTAGAGTTCAGAGAGATGGGACCAGTGTCATTAACTCATCATTTGAGAAGGAAGTAACCAGTCATTAAATAGAGGTGATAACAATAAGAATGGAAAGGAGGTCATGATGTCAGAAGAAACTCAAATGCCCCAAGTAGTGGAGCCAAATTAAAGTTCAGAGATAGATTTGCAGTGACAAGTAGATGAGGCAGCATGCCTCTTATAGTGACCTCCCCTTTCCTAGAGTTACCTCCAGGTTGGGTGGCAGCTTCTGTGGTAGGATTGCTTTAAACCAGTCATCTTCTTGGCAAAGCCTCTGGTAAGTCATTTTTTTAGCAAGTATTTTTGGTGCACTTAGTATTTTATAGGCTCACAGCATCAGCATCGTCACTTTTTTTGCACTTAGTTCAATAAAATGCATTAAGCCCATACTGTGTTAGGGTTTGAGATATACGAGCAGAGGTGTGGGACTCTGTCTGGCTTCCTACTTCAATCTATATGTGACCTCTGTTTTTGGATTCCATCAACCATAAAATGGGAATAATAACATACCTATCTTACAAGGTTGCTGTAAGGATTAAATGAGTTGATATAGGGAAAGCAAATAGAACGATGCCTGGCACATAGTAAGCGATCAGTAAGTGTTTGCTGAAGTTATATAAAGCCTATCTCCTCAAGGACACAGTTGGATAATAGGATACATATAGGACACTGCAATAATAGATGCATACACAAGGGACAGAAAGAGTTCTAAAGGGGAGCGATTCTTACAGTTACCTTTTCTATTGTTCAGCCTTATCCTTTCCACTGAGAGTGGAGCTCTTTTCACAGTTTCCTAGGCTAATGTTTCATCCCCATTCCTCTCCCCAGACTACTCAGTGAGAGAATGAGGATTAAATCTACCCAAGCTCCACGACCCTCTGACTTACTGAGAGTGTGTAAGAGGCAGAGCTCCCATGCAATTTTGGAAGTGACCTTTATCCCCTTCTACCTCTGCAGACCTGCCAGGAATGAAATCTTTGCTTGGGACAAATAAGATTATGTTCTCTTTGGAGAGGACAATCTCCATCTCTCCCTGGACACAGATACTCATTTGCCTGCAATGAACCTGCAAGGCAGATGAGCCTCTGAGATACCCTCTTTCTTGTTCACTTAGGGGTGAAAAATTACCGGCAAGAAACCAATTAGCATCCTCTACAAGCAGGTCCCAAGCCTTCTGGAGCCAATTCTTTTACTCCATCTTCTGCACACAAGCATCATCTGCTTTGGGGTTTTATCCTAATTGAGTGAAACCTGTGCTGTTATCATTTGTTCATTGTAGCCCCAAGAGAGAAGAGTAAAGGAGGGAGGGAAGGAGGGGGCTCTGTCTTCCTTTGTCTCCAGCCCAGTGGAAGAGAGAGAGGGTGACTGGCCAAAGGGATCAGAGGTCAATGATGGAGGAACTGCCTAGACACAGAGTGAATGATTTACATGCAATGAAAAGCAATGCAAATGAATGTTTCTTGAATACTTATCGTAATATGTACCAGGCACTATACTAAATGCTTTATATGGATTAACAGAATTATCACAACTCTACCTGTTATTTCCCATTTAAAAATGAGAAAAAATATTAAAAACATAAACTAAAAAATAAAAAAATGAGAAAAATAGAGGCACTAAGAGGACTTGCCCAAGGTGACATAACTAGATAAAAAGGGAAACCAAGGCTGGACGTGGTGGCTCACGCCTGTAATCCCAGCACTTTGGGAGGCTGAGGTGGGTGGATCACCTGAAGGCAGGAGTTCATGACCAGCCTGACCAACACAGTGAAACCCTGTCTATACTAAATATAAAAAATTAGCTGGGCATGGTGGCACGCACCTCTAATCCCAGCTACTTGGGAAGCTGAGGCAGGAGAATAGCTTGAACCTGGGAGGCGGAGGTTGCAGTAAGCTGAGATTGTGCCATTGCACTCCAGCCTGGGCAACAAGAGCGAAACTCTGTCTCAAAAAAAAAAAAAAAAAAAAGAAAGGGAAACCAAGATTTGGGCCTCAACCTGCCGTCCCGTGCTCATAACCACTTATCTCCTCAGCCAGCCCATTGGCTGTATTTAAGGAGCTAAGTTATCAGTTGCAACATTGGAGCAAAGACTCAAGTTCAGCTGGTGCTGCAGAGAAAAAACAAAAACTCCTGCTGAGAAACCAACACGCCTCTTTCTTTGTGATCTTCCAGTTACCTGGGGAAAACCATGATGTGCACCAGGGAGGGAGTGTTCGCCTTCTACAGACTCTGACCTGGCTGCAGTAGGGGAGATGCAGAGGAAAGACAAGCAGCCCTCAGGGAGCCGTGGCCTAATGGGGAAATACTTGTAAATATCGAGATAAGCTAAGGCAAGTTGATGTCTGCTATCAGGGGCAAACTGTCTGAAATCCAAAGTCCAGACTCCCAAGTAAAGCACTGAAGGCCTCTCCCCCAGTGGCCTCTGCCAGCCTCTGCAGCCTTGGAATTCTCACCTTGGATGAAGACAAGGATGAAATTTTTCTCTCAAGTAACATCTTCTTCTCATTCTAACTCCACTGGCAACGCCCGACACCCTCCATCATTGGAGTAAAACTGCTTGGGTTCAAATTCAAATGTCAGATTTCATTTCTTAGAGCTTAAGGTTGCACATTCAAATGTCCTTGGGGGGCCAGGCAGGTAAAACACACAAACAACGGAGGTATAATCCAGCAGTGAATGGTTTAGCCTGCCTTAACCTGTGGCGTATACGTTTTCCCTAAAGGCTTTCAGAAGAAAAAGTGTTTGATAATACCGTGCTGACCAGACAAGACCCCTCTGGCTCCGTCACTACAAGGCTCTTAACCTCAAGGGGGAGGAGCGATGGCAGTGGACCCAGAATTTCTTTCTTCCTGGGAATTCTTTTCTTTCTTTCTTTCTTTTTTTTTTTTTTTTTTTTTTTTTGAGACAGGGTCTCACTCTGTCACCCAGGCTGGAGTGCAGTGGCACGATATCTTGGCTCACTGCAGCCTCTGCCTCCTGGGCTCAAGTGATCCTCCCACTTCAGCCTTCTGAATAGCTGGGACTACGGGCACACACCACTACACCTAGCTAATTTTTGTATTTTTAGTAGAGATGGGTCTTCACTATGTTGGCCAGGCTGATCTCGAACTCCTGGCTGCAAGTGATCCACCTGCCTCAGCCTCCCAAAGTGCTGGGATTACAGTTGTGAACCACCACACCTGGCCTCGTGTGCATTTCTTGACAGTAGGAAGTAGCAGAGAGTGGTCCCACCGCACTGTAAGGACATGGATAGACTCCAGAGACAGATTATGTGATTTTGATCCCAGTTCTGCTATTTATTGGCTTTATAGCTTTAGACAGGTTATATGCCTTCCTCTGCCTCAGTTTCTTTATCTGCAAGATGGGGATGATGATAGAAGAAACTTCGTTAAAGCCTTGTAGGAATTAAATGAGTTATCTCTAAAGTGCTTAGAATAGTGCCTTGTGCATATTTGGAGACATGTAAAATGTTAGCAATTGTTATTTCTTTTTTCTTTTTTCTTTTTTTTGAGACAGAGCCTCGCTCTGTTGCCCAGGCTGGAGTACAGTGGCATGATCTCAGCTCACTGTAAGCTCCACCTCCTGGGTTCACGCCATTCTCCTGCCTCAGTCTCCCGAGTAGCTGGGATACAGACACCTGCCACCATACCCGGCTAATTTTTTTATGTTTTTAGTAGAGACCATGTTAGCCAGGATGGTCTCGATCTCCTGACCTCGTGATCCGCCCGCCTCACCCTCCCAAAGTGCTGGGATTACAGGCGTGAGCCACCGCGCCCAGCCTAGCAATTATTATTTCTATAGTACATGTTTCACAGTTCTGGATGCTGTAGACATATAATAACAGTCTATAATTCTGTGTATAGTGTGGCAGCAAGGAGCTAATCAAGAGTTCTATTTGTGGCAATATCTCTAACTTCCTGGGTTTTCTGGAGTTTACCTTTATATATTTATTTCTCATTTTGTAATTAATAATAACACATAAATAATTAGTAATAACATAATAATATTGTTTACTATGCAATATATTTTCTTTTTTATATTTTAATTAATTAATTAATTTTTTGTTTGGTAGAGATGAGGTCTCACTATATTGCTCAGCTGGTCTTGAACTCCTGAACTCAAGCAATCCTCCCACCTTGGCCTGCCAAAGTGCTGGAACTACAAGCATGAGCCACCATGCCCAGCTTACTATGTAATATATTAATAATACAAATAAAATGAATTTAAAGTAATAATAGTAGTACTAATAAACAACCTAGAGATAGCTTTCTGTGAGTCGGATAGTATAGAAAATGTTTTATATATCAGATAGTATACTAAATGCTTTATATATGTTACCTCAATCTTCACGCTAATCCCTAGTTTAGAAATGAGGATACTGAAGTTTAGAGAAGTTACTCGGTCAATTTTTTTTAAAGCATGTAGAAATGTGCTGCTTAAATTAAATATAATCCTGCCCAATAATGATCAATTTTATAGACAAGAAGTTCTGGAGATAAAGATTATTCTTTTTTTTTTTTTCTTTTTTTAAGACAGGGTCTCGTTCTGTCGCTCAGTCTGGAATGCAGTGGCATGATCATGGCTCACTGCAGTCTCAACCTTCCTGGGCTCAGGTGATCTCTTCCCACCACAGCCTCCTGAATAGCTGGGACTACAGGCACACACTACCATGCCTGGTTAATTAATTAATTAATTTTTTTTTTTTTTTGGAGACGGAGACTCACTCTTTCACCCAGGCTGGAGTGCAGTGACATGATCTTGGCTCACTGCAACCTCCACCTCCCAGGTTCAAGTAATTCTCCTGTCTCGGCCTCCCGAGTAGCTGGGATTACAGGCACACACCACCATGCCCATCTAATTTTTGTATTTTTAGAAGAGATGGGGTTTCACCATGTTGGCCAGGCTGGTCTGAAACTCCTGACCTCAGGTGATCCACCTGCCTCAGCCTCCCACAGTGCTGGGATTACAGGTGCGAGCCACTGTGCCTGGCCAGTTAATTTTTGTATTCTTTGTAGATATAGGGGTCTCACTATGTTGCCCAGGCTGGTCTCGAATTCCTGGGCCCAAGCAATCCACCCCCCTCAGCCTCCCAAAGTGTTGGGATTACAGGTGTGAGCCACTGAGCCCAGCTCTGTTGCCCACACTGGAGTGCAGTGGCGCAGTCTCGTCTCACTACATCCTCCGCCTCCCAGGTTCTAACGATTCTCGTGCCTCAGCCTTCTGAGTAGCTGGGATTAAAGGCGCATGCCACCAGGCCTGGCTAATTTTTCTACTTTTAGTAGAGACGGGCTTTCACCATGTTGGCCAGGCTGGTCTCGAATTCCTGACAAGTGATCCGCCTGCCTGGGTCTCCCAAAGTGTTGAGATTACAGGCATGAGCCACCACGCCCAGCTCAAGATTCTTACTTAAAGGGAAACTCTACTAGTGTTTGTTTCAGATGATAACTCCTTTGCTAGGGAAAGACTGTTTGGAGCAAAAGGAAGCACAGAAACTCATCATTGAAAGTGTTCATTTTGGGCCAGGCACAGTGGCTCAGTCCTATAATCCCAGCACTTTGGGATGCCCAGGTGTGCGAATCACTTGAGGTCAGAAGTTTGAGACCAGCCTGGCCAACATGGTGAAATCCTGTCTTTACTAAAAATACAAAAATTAGCCGGGCATGGTGGCGGGCACCTGCAATCCCAGCTACTCGGGAGGCTGAGACAGGAGAATCACTTGAACCCGGGAGGCAGAGGTTGCAGTGAGCCAAGATCATGTCATTGCACTCCAGCCTGGTGACAGAGTGAGACTCAGTCTCAAAAAAAAAAAAAAAAAAAAAAAAAGAAAATGTGCATTTTAAAAACATTTGGGCCTGGGCGTGGTGGCTCACGCCTGTAATCCCAGCACTTTGGGAGGCCAAGGCGGGCGGATCACAAAGTCAAGAGATCGAGACCATCGTGGTCAACATGGTGAAACCCTGTCTCTACTAAAAATACAAAAAATTAGCTGGGTGTGGTGGCGGGCGCCTGTAGTCCCAGCTACTCTCGGGAGGCTGGGGCAGGAGAATTGCTTGAACCCGGGAGGCGGAGGTTGCAGCGAGCCGAGATTGCGACACTGCACTCCAGCCTGGCGACAGAGTGAGACTCTGTCTCAAAAAAAAAAAAATTGGATCGTATTTAATATTGTATTACACTGCTTTCTTGTTGCTCCAGATCCTTTTTGAAACAAGGCAACGTATAACTAAATCAATAGTGAGGTCACATTAAAAAAAAACTCCAGGCCAGGCGCAGTGTCTCACACCTGTAATACCATCACTTTCGGAGGCCGAAGCAGGTGGATCATGAGGTCAAGAGATCAAGACGATCCCGGCCAACATGGTGAAACCCCGACTCTACTAAAAATACAAAAATGAGCTGGACGTGGTGGTGGGAGCCTGTAGTTCCAGCTACTCTGGAGGCTGAGGCAGGAGAATTGCTTGAACCCAGGAGGCAGAGGTTGCAGTGAGCCAAGACTGCGCCACTGCACTCCAGCCTGGGCGACAGAGAAAGACTCCGTCTCAAACAAACAAACAAACAAACACCCTTCACAACAGTACTGTGAGATAGGCATTATGATCCCCATTTACAAATGGAAACAGTGAGACCCCGAGGGGTTAGGTGACTTGCCCAAGCTGACACAGCCAAGTGCAGGGCCAGCCTTTCCCTCACTGTGCCACCTAGAGGAGTTGAATCAGTCAAGCCACTGAATTTCTGACATTATACTAACTGTAGGGAGGATATAGAGAGCATTCTAGGAATTCCCTGTGCTCAAAGTGGAGAGACAAGACACACATGGGGAAATGAGTTAAGGAGAGAAGAAATGTTTCAAAGTGGTAGAATTGGAAAGACAGGGAAAACAGTTCTCAAGTGTCAATGGGAAAGTCACATTCTATGCAAATAAAAGGGCTTTGTGCATGAAGTACTCTGTGAAACAGGCTGACCAAACAGAGGAAGCCAGAAGCGAGAGGCTGCTGCCCTGCTCAGCCCCACAACACCATCCAGCAATGAGCTGAACTCTCATGCACAGAATCCTTCATTGCCACAAAACATCTCTTCTTTTTCTTTTTTTCCAGGGTGTGTGTGTGTGTGTTTCATTATGATTTTGATTGAGGACTGGGGAATTGATGCCCTGCAACTCTTCTCTTCAGCATTCTCATCGCTTTAATTTGTTGAGCCGCCTAATTACCTAAATACTTCTGGCCAACAAGCAGAATGGGGATGTTGGGGCTGCTGTATCACCTTCCTCCTCTTTCCCCAGTAGTGCCGTCCCCATCTCAATTCAAAAGGCCTAGCAGCTTCCGTCGGAGTGTAGCAGCTCCATTTCCCTCCAATATTAATAATTATGACATTAGAAGGGTGATCTGCGGCAATTCAGCCTTTCTATTTGCAGGCTGGCGGCTGCATATCAATGGCATGATTAGGCAAATGAAATCAGATTGGCACTGTTATGAAATATTTACATGGCCAGAATGCATATGCTTCAATCTCATTGTTCCCATTATTAAGCCATTTTATAATCTCATAACATTTAGACTCACACTTTGCATTTCTAATTAACTTGAGGAGTGACTTCGCTGGGAATTAATTGCAACTTGTGCATTCTTATACACACAAACTCACCGAGAAACAAACTCTGGTTGGCAATCATGCAATTCACCCCCAAGATGGACTCCAGGTTGACTTCTGTTCTAAACCAGCCTCACTGTCAGTTGGGAAAAGTGGCTGGGGACTTGGTTTTCATTAAAATTTGGCTACAAATCACATGCAGGATCAGTCTGAGCGCAAGGGTTCCTTTGGAGAGACTCATTCCCACCTGAACAGCCTTTCACAAAGAACCAGTTCAATGCAGACCGATGGTTTTTTTTTTGTTGTTGTTGCTTGTTTGTTTTGAGACAGAGTTGCTCTGTCACCCAGGCTGGAGTGCAGTGGCACGATCTCGGCTCACTGCAAACTCCACCTCCCGGATTTAAGTGATTCTCCTGACTCAGCCTCCTGAGTTTCTGGGATTACAGCCATGCGCCACCACACCCGGCTAATTTTTGTATTTTCAGCAAAGACGGGATTTCACCATGTTGGCCAGGCTGGCCTCAAACTCCTGACCTCAAGTGATCGGCCCACCTCGGCCTCCTAAAGTGCTGGGATTATAGGTGTGAGCTACCACGTTTGGCCAGGACAATGGTTTTCAGATGTTTGGATTTCATGGATCAATAACATCTCTATAATAATAATAATGACGTAAAGATTTGGGATATCTAAATAGCTTTTATTTTAAGCTACTATATTGCCTTTATTTAAAATTACTTCTGTATGAACAGTGTGGTGTATCTCTCACACTTCAGGGTGGGTTAGTTAGCATTTGAGTGTCTCTAATCAAAAGTCCATACCCTTGAAGTGGCTGCTATCAGGCACTTTAATAATCTTTATTTCCTATTAACACCAGAGTCTTGTTAATGTGCACAATTGGTGTTAGAAAGGATTTTTTACTGGTGAAATGAATGGTATTCAAGATATATGGATTGGTTAGAAATATTGACAAGGTACTAGTGAATGAACAGGGAATTTGCTTCCCTGTGGCCTAGTGGCCTAACCTTTCGAAATAGTGCCCTAGGCTTAGAATTTTGCCTGGTCATGTTTTAGGAAGCTTATACAGGATTTGATTGCCTGGCTCTAAATAAGAAAGGATCTGAAGTCACTGCAAGTGAACCTTGCTTGCCAGATACTTGCAAGTTAGTAGTTCTCAACTGGGGACAATTTTGCTTTCCCCACCAACCCTTCCTGGGGGGCATTTGCAGTGGTCTGGAAACATTTTTGGTTGTCACAATTATAAGCATGTATGTGTGTGAGTATGTAGTGGGTAGAAGCCAGAGATACTGCTAAACATCCCACAATGCACAAGACAGCCCCCACAACAACAACAAAAATGGCCCATTCCAAAATGTCAAGAGTGCCAAGGTTTAGAAACCATGGGAAAGGACACAGCTTCAACTTCACTGAGCTCACAGAACTAATTGCTAATGTTTGTGTGTGTGGCTGACTTTAGGCTGCGCCTCTTTCTCTGTAAATAGACAACTGGACAAGAAGTTGTGGAGAAGTTCATTCCTTTTCTATCTCCACTCTTGGAGGTTACTAACAGCTATCAAAAAGAATCCAAAGATTAAAAGAAAAGTTGAGAAAGAAAAAAGAATACAATATTTCTACATAATCAAGTTGTCTCGAGTAATTTCAAATAGTAGTGTAGGTTTCAGGGTTTTTTTGTGGAAACCTTAAATTTTATTAATTTCAGACTTTAAAAATAAACAACCAGGCCCCACGTGCTTTCACACATTGCTCTCTCGTTTGAAGCCACCATAATCCTTTGAGGCAGCATTATTCCCATCTTACAGAAGAAAACTAGGCTTTCATGACTTGCCAGAGGTTACATGGCTAATATGTGTTTTCCAGTATCTTAACTCAGCTCTCTGCTTCTAAGACTTCAGAGGGGAAACATTTCTGCCATGATTTTTTTTTCTTTTCTTTTCTTTTGAGACAGTCTTGCTGTGTCACCTGGGCTGAGTACAGTGGCTAGATGTCAGCTCACTGCCACCTCTGCCTCCTGGGTTCAAGTGATTCTCCTGCCTCAGCCTCCCCAGTAGCTGGAACTACAGGTGCGCACCACCACGCCTGGCTAGTTTTTGTATTTTCAGTAGAAACAGGGTTTCATCATGTTGGCCAGGCTGGTCTCGAACTCCTGACCTCAAGTGATCTGTCTGCCTCAGCTTCCCAAAGTGCTGGGACTGCGTGTGGCCTGCTATGATTTAACTAAAGGGCTTTGAACGTGTTCCCACCCTATGTCTGATGGATCATAAGATGAAATGGTCCTTAATGGATCATCTGGTCTAGAAATTCTCAAACTTAGACATTAAAGATCAATAACCTTTTAAAAATAATTATATACTTTTATTTTTCCATAGAAAAAAAGTTTTCAAAACCTCCTACCATTTACTTTCAATACCATTTCATTAAAAAAAGGATATTTTAATCCAGGAAAATAGAAAGGAAATAATTTTTCCTTCATTCATTCAACAAATATTGATTGAGTGCCTCTTACATACAGGTATTCTTCTGGGTATTGGAAAACAGAGAACAAGAATATCATCAAAGTCCTTACCCTCTTGGAGCTTACATTCCAACACTATCATCTCAGAAGAAAAGCCCTTTAAATGAAATAAATTAAACTCGAGAGATTCTTTACAGTGTCCTTATTGTTCTCATTTAATTAATAAAAACCTTGTCATGTGTCAGCATTGGTCCATAGACCACCATTTGGGAACTCTGGATCTAGCTGATTTCCAGGGAAAGCATACATCATTATTCTCGCACGGGCTACAACCACGACCAATGATATGAAAAACCATCGTTGTATTTCAGAACAACGAAGTTATCACAGATGGAAGGAAATCAGAACAAAATTTGGATGCAATCTGGATTCTCCTAGGGACAAGAGTTGGTGGCCTAGGTGAGAAATGAATTGTACTATTTACTGTGCACCTCGGGGTAATCTCAGTTGTATTTCTGTGAGTTCCACTTCTGGCTCTTTGGTTCAACAGGTAAAGTGGCATTTTCTAAATCACCTTGCTTTGCCTGCTTTTTCTCCACCTCACTGGTAAGGCTGGAAATGTTCCCAAACACCCTTTGATCTGGCAATCATTGCAGCTCATTAGCAGGCCTGGGAGGCTAAGTTCATTCCACACAGAGGGAAACTGAGCTGCAGGAGGTCACCTGGGAAGGCAGCAATGGCTTGAGGACCAAAACCCAGCTCTTCTGCCTCTATCCATGGATCTGCTCATTGGACAACTCAGAGTAATGCCTGTTCAGAGTAGTAAAGGCCAGAAGTATATTCTCCATGGCCCCACAAGAGCAACCTTGCTTGGATTTCCCCCTAGATTATTTGAGTTCCAACTCTTCAAAATCACCCTTCCCATTTTGCCCAAAGTATGTGCCCCTGGGAGTTCAGGGCAACAAGTTTGCATGGCTAATAACTCTTCCTTCCTGAGCTGCCCAGCAGGCTTAGAAATGGAAATAAAATGTTCAAACACTGAGAGATTATACCAGAGAAAGAGCTCAAGAAAGAGGTAAGAGTGGTCAGGTATGGTGGCTCATGCCTCTAATCCCAGCACTTTGGGAGGCCGAGGCAGGCGAATCACTTGAGGTCAGGAGTTTGAGACCAGCTGGCCAACATGGTAAAACCCTGACTCTACTAAAAATACAAAAATTAGCCATGCATGGTGGCGGGCACCTGTAATCCCAGCTACTCAGGAGGCTGAAGCAGGAGAATCACTTGATCCCGGGAGTCGGAGTTTGCGGCAAGCTGAGATCACGCCCCTGCACTCCAGCCTGGGCAACAGAGCGAGACTCCGTCTCAAAAAAAAAAAAAAAGGTAAGAGCAAGGTGGGAGCAGCCGGAGCTCTGGTAGGAGTTGAAGGTCAAGGCTAGAAGACTGTCCTGTTAGCTCTCCCGGCCACCAAGATCCTGAATGTGAAAATGAGAAGACAGGATCCTTGTCCTACTTTAACAGCCTTCTCTACTCTGTCTGAATATGGTGAATTAGTTTTGTTTTACAGAAAGGGAATTCTGGCTGGCTGGGACCCTTAAAAGACATCATGTGTCTCCCTTGGCCTCCGGGCAGGGGTGTGTTTGCATCACTGCCGGTGCCTCCACTTCCTTTGTCCAGAGCTGTACAGACTGGCTCTTCCATCTAAATGCCTGCTTTTAATCATGACCTTCCCAACTCACCTCCTGTGGCTGGCTGTGGTACATTCGCAAATCTGACCTTGATAATGCATTCAATTTTCTTCATTCATGAGGGAATTCTACCTCAATCACTATTCTACTACAAAGAAGGAGGGCAACTAAGTGATAATAAAAACAGTGGCTAATGCCAACATCTTTCTGTTTGGCACTTGAAGGGATGCACTCTCTGTTAGTCTGTTCTCGCATTGCTGTAAAGAAATACCTGAGACTGGGTAATTTATGAAGAAATGAGGTTTAATGGCTTATGGTTCTGCAGGCTGTACAGGAGGCATAGCAGCTTCCGCTTCTAAGGAGGCCTCAGGAAGCTTCCAATCATGGCGGAAGGCAAAGGGCGAGCAGGTATTTCACATGGCAGGAGCAGGAGCAAGGTTGCTGGGGGAGGAGGTGCCACACTTTTAAGTGACCAGATCTCAGGAGAACTCACTATTGCAATGACAGTACCAAGGGGGATAGTGCTAAACCATCCATGAGAAATCTACCCCCATGTACCAATCACCTCCCACTGGGACCCACCTCCAACATTAGGGATTATAGTTTGACATGAGATTTGGGCAGGGACATGGATCCAAACCATATCATACTCTTTTTTTTTTTTTTTTTTTTTTTGAGATGGAGTCTGGCTCTGTTGCTCAGGTTGAACTACAGTGGTATGATCTCAGCTCACTGTGACCTCTGCCTCCTGGGTTCAAGTGATTCTCCTGCCTCAGCCTCCTGAGTAGCTGGGATTACAGGTGTGAGCCACCACGCCTGCCTAATTTTTGTATTTTTAGTGGAGACAGGGTTTCACCATGTTGGCCAGGCTGGTCTCAAACTCCTGCCCTAGTGATCTGCCCACCTCGGCCTCCCAAAGTGCTGGGATTACAGGCATGAGCCATTGCATCTGGCTGTTTTGTTTTCTTAATATTGGAAGGGCTTTTCTGTGGCAGTGAGCTTTCTTCCATGAGTTCAGAGATCTGAATAGGAATCAGCAGTAGAGGTTTCATGGAAGTAAATTGAGGCGTCCAATGAGGAAGACATTAAACTGTCTTAGATGTGGTTTTTGATGTGAGGCCAACTTTGGGTAGACGCTGGGCCAGATATCTTTTAAGGCCCCTTTATGCTATAATATTATATTGTGTGTGTGTGTGTGTGTGTGTGCGTGCGCATGCATGTGTTATATACAATATAGGCTCTCCTGTACCCAGGAAGGTTTTTGTTTTTTAATGGGGAGAATGTGGCCAAGATCATCCTCTGCAAGTGCAGTACTTGAGGGAATGTGAATGTGGTCCACATGGAGATGCACACGTAAAGATACATGAGCACATAGCGGCAGTATTGCCTAATTTTTATTAAGCACTTACCACATGCCAGATGCTGCCCTAAGCACTTTCCACGCATTGTCTCATTTAAAACTCCCAGCCATCCTGTGAGGAGGTAGGGGCCATTTATTAATGTCCTCATTGTACAGATAAGACAGAGGCTCTAAGAGGTCACAGAGAATATGCCCAAGGGCATATAGCTCAGTAGAGTTGGAAGGTATATTCTGGAGTGTCTGATGATCAGCTTCATTAAGGAGAATGCATGATCTGTATTCAAACACAGACACACATTCTAAGACTATACAGGTGTTAGAGACCAGTGTCAAAGGGCAGAGCCACATAAATACCTGCAGCCACCCAATTCAACCACTCCTCATCCCATGATGGGACTGGAGAAGGGGGAGTTCAGCTTCTCCTCTAAATGAAGGCCTCTTCTTGTCTCCTTTAAGATCCACTTGCCTCCTTCATGACCAGGAGCTTAGGGGCCCATGGTGATACAGGATCATGACATCCACCTGGGCTTCTCTTACCATGGTCCATCATGGGATGACCTCAGGTTATCCTCAGGTTTTTTTTTTTTTTTTTTTTGAGATGGAGTTTCACTCTTGTTGCCCACGCTGGAGTGCAATGGCATGCTCTTGGCTCACTGCAGCCTCTGCCTCCCAGATTCAAGAGATTCTCCTGCCTCAGCTTCCCGAGTAGCTGGAATTACAGGGGTCTGCCACCACGTCTGGCTAATTTTTTGTATTTTTAGTAGAGACAGTGTTTCACCATGTTGGCCAGGCTGATCTCGAACTCCTGACCTCAGGTGATCCAGCCCCCTCGGCCTTCCAGAGTGCTGGGATTACAGGGGCGACCCGCCACGCCGGCCTATCCTCGGGTGTTTTAGTTGAAGCAAATCAAATTTCCTGTGACTTAAGACTTACAATAATTCTTCCCACTATTTGTTCATTTTGTGTGTGTACATATACGTGCATGCGAGTCTTCGGTTTTGTTTTCCTAATGAATGACGTTGGTGTTGGAGTCGCTGGGCTCCTTTCAGCAGGCAGGAGCCTCCAGGTGAACAAGGATGGCTAAATGAGAGGACATGCTTTTCATAATTTGTCTTCAAACAATCGCTTAATGCATGCAGGAAATTTCTGCGAAATGGGTGAATAGCATGGGTACATTTTGATCAGCCCCTCAACGAAGTAAAGCCCACTGGCTTTTAAGACCCAGGCAGCAAACAAAAAGTGGTCTTTATCCTCACACACCAAATCTGTGCGTCAGTAAAGTGCAGGCCCTGACAGGAATTTCAATTATTTAATCAAAAAGAAAATGAAAGAGGCTTTAAGTGTTGTGATTCGAAGACAGCCTTTTCATAGACCAATCTAGGGTGCGCTCACATTGAATTTGAAGCAAAATGGGAAGGAAATTAAGGCAGCTTCGGTTTAAGTCATGTGATTGCAAATAGTAAATTAGTTTCTCGATGTTTTCATTTAAGTGTTTAAGTGGAAGGTTTTATTCCTAATGTAGTGTAGTGACACAGAAGAGAACCCTTGGCGACTCCAGCTTCCCCACCCTTACATCAGTGATGCATTTGCCCTGGGGAGGGAGAGGGAGGAAGAGAGGCTGAGATGGAAAGAGAACGGGAAGCAAAGCCTCAGTCACGTTAAGGTGCTTTTGTTTCAAATTGCTACCAAAGTACGCTTTCGCAGCAAACTCATTAATAGAGCAGATGAGTAACGTCTGTTGAAAATGTACTAAGCGAAAGGCATTTAATTTGGAAGGGAAATCAGGAGCTGCATTAGTCAGAGCTTATAAATGGCAACATCATCCATTTGGCTGTTGTTTTGTTTGATGTAGACTCACTGAATTTGTTCTTAAGGGATAAGGGTTAGGTAAAATGGTCAACATTGCGCTTGAGACTCTGCCTTTCAAAGGCTTCTGGGTAGTTTTGCTGGGGCTGGAACTACAGCCTGCTGTTGTGGTGGGAGCAGGGTCAAAGGAATCTCTTGGGAAAGTGCTAATTGGGTTGGACTGAGACGGCCTCTGACTGGTGCAACAAGTAGCTGGAGGTCATTTCTTTGCAAATGAGCATCCCTTTGCGTTTTTAATTAGCTTTGATTTATTTGGCTGGGAGCTTACGGCGGTGCATAGCAGGAGGTCAGGCTCCCATCAGGTGCATAGCAGGAGGTTCACCCATCGACGAATAGCGAGTGGACTTAATATCAAATTAAGCAATGAGGCCTGGTATCTCTGAGAGTTAGATTTGCCAGGTTCCCTTCTGCAGCCCACAGTGGGAGGGGAGTATTATATATTTTGAGACGGAGTCTCACTCTATCGCCCAGGCTGGAGTGCAGTCGCGTGATCTCGGCTCATTACAACCTCTGCCTCCCGGGTTCAGGTGATCCTCCTGCCTCACCCTCCCGAGTAGCTGGGACTACAGGCACGTGCCACCATGCCTGGCTAATTTTTTGTATTTTTAATAGAGATGGGGTTTCACCATGTGGCCAGGCTGGTCTCAAACTCCCGACCTCAGGTGATCTGCCCACCTCGGTCTCCCAAAGTGCTGGGATTACAGGCATGAGCCACCCTGCCTGGCTGGGGAGTGTGTTTGTAAACTGGCAACTGTCTTGATCCTTCTATAGTTACCAGTGCTTGGCTCTGTCAACGCACATTGCAGTTCTATTCGTCTGAGTGTCACCTTTGCCATGAACTATTCTTTGCCCACCTCAGGCCAAGAGATCTTTTTTTTCTCTAGACTTCTAGAAACTTTTTGGTCTGTGTTACTTTCTGGGCACAGAGTGCTGATCATACACTCACTTTTGCCCTTGTTCAACTTTCTTTCCAGCTTGAGTAGTATTTTCACTCCTTTCTTTTTCTTTTAATTTGCATGGTTGGGAACTTCCAACAAATAGAAAAACAAAGAAAATAGTATAAGGAATGCCCACGTATCTATCACCAAAATTTAAGTTATTATTAACCTTTTGTCATATTTATTGTTACACCCCCTGAGGTTTACTTACAGTAAATTCTGATTTCAAGAACTTTCACTTTAATTACTTAAGAATGCATATTTATTTATTTATTTATTTATTTATTTATTTATGAGACAGGGTCTCACCCTGTCTCCAAGGCTGGAGTGCAGTGAGTGCGATCTTGGCTCACTACAGTCTCAACCTCCTGGGCTGAAGCAATCCTCCCACCTTAGCCTCTTGAGTAGCCGGCACTACAGGCGTCTGCTACCACACCTGGCTAATTTGTTTAATGTTTTGTAGAGACGAGGTCTCACTATCTTACCCAGGCTGTTCTTGAACTCCTGAGCTCAAGCGATTCTCCCACCTTGGACCCCCAAAGTGCTAGGATTACAGGCATGAGTCACTGCACCCCGCCACACCTCTGTTTTTGGACATTTCCCCTATATAACCACAATGTCATTATCACATCTAACAAAATTAACAATGGTTCCTTAACATCATTTAATACCCAGTCCATATACAAATTTATTCATTTTTCAAAAGTATCTTTTATGGTTGGTCTGTTCAAATCAGTATCCGATCAAGGACCACAAATAGTGTTTAATTTTGTCTAAGTCTTTAGTCATCATTTAATTTTTAAAAATTTTCCTAGGCCGGGTGCGGTGGCTCATGCCTGTAATCCCAGCACTTTGGGAGACTGAGGCAGGTGGATCATCTGAGGCCAGGAGTTCAAGACCAGCCTGACCAACATGGTGAAACCCCGTCTCCACTAAAAATACAAAATCAGGTGACGTGGTAGCACATGCCCGTAATCCCAGCTACTTGGGGGTGCTGAGACAGGAGAATCACTTGAACCCAGGAGGCAGAGGTTGCAGTGAGCTGAGATCACGCCACTGCACTCCGGCCAGGGTGACAGAGTGAGACTCAGTCTCTAAAAAAAATAAATAAAATTTCCTATTAACATTGCCTCGTTGAGGGAAATGGGGAATTGCCTCCACAGACTGTTGGACCTTTTGGATTTGTCTGACAGTTTCCATGCAGCGTAGTTTAGCTTGCTCTTCTATCTTTTTTCTTTTCTGTAACTTGAAGTTAGGTCTAAACCTGATTGGATTCAGATTAAACATTTTGGTACCAATACTTTACAAGTACTTCAGGTAGCAGGACAACAGGGGGCATGCATAATGTTTAGTTGTCTCACCATTCGCGACACCAATATCCATTACTGGGTTAAAGTGGGGACAGCCTGGTCGCCCTCTATAAAAGTGATACTTTCTTTTTTATAAACAGCAAGTAATCTGTAGGGTGATAATTTGACACTGAGAAAAAATTCAGTTTCCCCCATTTCACAGCCAAAATCAAATTAGGGCCAGGGATCCTGCATTAGAGAGCTTTCTATTTTCTGCAGCACCTAATAGTGCAAGATATACGGTAACATTCGGTAAATACTGGTTGAAGGGTGAATGAATGAATGCAAAATGTTTTGAGTGACTAAATTTAAAAATTTAATATAATAAGAAACTCTGCAAACTCTTTCTTTCTTTCTTTCTTTCTTTCTTTCTTTCTTTCTTTCTTTCTTTCTTTCTTTTTTTTGAGACAGACTCTCACTCTGTCACCTAGGCTGGAGTGCAGTGACGCGATCTTGGCTCACTGCAACATCTGCCTCCTGGGTTCGAGTGATTCTCCTGCCTCAGCTTCCCAAGTAGCTGGGATTACAGGAACCTGCCACCATGCCCAGCTAATTTTTGTATTTCAGTAGAGATGGGGTTTCACCATGTTGGCCAGGCTGGTCTCAAACTCCTGACCTCAAGAGATCCACCTGCCTCGGCCTCCCAAAGTGTTAGGATTACAGGCGTGAGCCACCACACCCGGCCTGCAAACCTACTTTTGATTGATACATTTGTGAAAGTTCCAGCACCTTTGGAAATCAAGAAATGCTAACATTTCAATGGATGTGAGAAGATTCAGGTTTCCTAACTTCAGCTTTGTTCCTAATTTCCTGTGTGACTTTGGACAAATCCCTTGCCTTTTCTGGAACCTACTTGTACCATAAGGAATACAAAAAGGAAAAATCTCCAAGATGCTACCAGCTTTGGCATTCTAGGATTCCAAAAAACACCCCAAATAACTGTATAAACCAGATAGTTGGAGCCTGCAGATCCTAAGACCACTTGAACCTCGGTTTTTCCTGTGCACTATAGCCTTTTGGTGTTTAATAAGCTTAAAGGTTGTCATAGCAACCACCCTCCCCACAGCTTGTTATCTGATAACCAGCCATTCCATCTCCATCGCCGCCTAGGATTTCTGCCCCATTTGATATTGAATTGGAAAGGTGACCAGAGATTGATTAGCCTTCATGTCATTTTATAGATGATGGAAAACACTTGCTTCTTTCCCAAGCAAAGTAAAATCTTCTAGGCTGGATCATTTGAGTGGCTATTTCACCTTTGCATTTATTTATTTATTCTCTCATTCACTCGGTTAGTCGGTATTTATTGAGACTTTACCATGTGCCAGACATTGCGCTAGATGCTTGGGATATACTTGGTCGTCTTTACGTAGAGTTTGCAGTCTAAACAGGAAGACAATTAAAGAGGTAGTTATAGTACAGTGAAAAAAAACATGATGATATCAGAAGTGTATGGTAACGCGGAGGAATGGCACCTAGCTGATCTGGTGGCATCAAGGAAGGCTTCTAGAAAGGAGTGATTTTTTTTTTTCCTTTTAGAAGTGATGTTTTAGCCGAAAACTGTGTAGAAGCAAGCCAGTGTTAGAGTGAGAGGTAGCTAGAACAGTAAATATTCCTGGAAGAGGGGGAAGCATATACTACGTAAGACTCAAAGATGAGAGATAATATGATATATGAAAGAGTTTAGAGCACTGGAAAACTACTAAAGGCTTTTAAAAATTATTGTAGTAAAATGTACATAACATACTACCAAAGGATCTTAAGCATGGACTGATATAATCAGATTTGCATTTTTCAATGATCCCTCTGGCTAGTGAAGGAAGAATTGAAGGGAGTGGCAAAAGAGGAACAGAGAGACTGATGGCACTTAAGATCATGCCATTATCATGAGGTTTAAAAGCCTTGGCCAGGCGCGGTGGCTCACGCCTTGTAATCCCAGCACTTTGGGAGGCCGAGGTGGGTAGATCATGAGGTCAGGAGTTCGAGACCAGCCTGGCCAAGATGGTGAAACCCAGTCTCTACTAAAAAATACAAAAATTAGTCAGGCGCGGTGGCAGGCACCTGTAATCCCAGCTACTTGGCGGGGCTGAGGCAGGAGAATTGCTTGAATCTGGGAGGTGGAGGTTGCAGTGAGCCAAGATCACACCACTGCACTCTAGCCTGGGCAACAGAGCCAGACTCCGTCTCAAAAAAAAAAAAAAAAAGCCTTAAAAGCAGAGGCCATATTGTGTTTATATCTTCTCAGCTAATAGTGCTATGGCTGACATCCATAGAAAGTGACTAATAAATACTTGTTGAATTAATGAAAGAATGGTTTGTTTGTTGAATGGACTTACATCTGGAAACACCAATAATTTACTTTCTGGATTTTCCAGTGACTTTCCTCCAATTCCTAATGCATAGAGACTCAGATAAAATTTCCTAAAACTACCATTCATGGCTACAACTCTGCTCAAAACAAACCTTCATTGGCCTCTACCCCCACTTTATTGTCCTCAATATTAAGAACAATCTTCTAACTATTTTTCAAAATACTCATTAATAAGATCCTGAGCACACTTCCAAATACTTCTCAAAGTATCCCGTCTACTTAATCTAATCTCAGTATCCTACAAATATGCCATGTTCTATCCCACCTCTGAGCACTTGTGCATGCTATTCTTAGCTGGAACAGTTTCATCAACTTGCATTTCACCTGCCCAGATTCTACCAATCCTTGATGGTCCAGCTGTAGTCCCATATCCTGCGTGAAGCCATTACTCGCTCATTATGTTTGATAGATAACTTAAATAAAAATGTATTAAAACTAAAGCAATAGGAGTAGTTTACGTAAATTATTAGTCAAAATGTGGGTCTGTAGAAAAAGCCCAGTCTCTGGACCTGTGCAAGCCTGGATTTCAATATCTTTTCTGCCACTTGCCAGCTGTGTAGCCTTGTGAGTCTCCTCTCTGAGCTTTAGTTTCCTGAAATGCAAAACTGAACTAACTACATTTACTTTGCAGTGTGGATTAAGGAGAACATAATTAAAGGACCTAATACAATGCCCATTGTGAGTAAGTGCTGAAAACTATTATTCTTTTTTTTTGAGGTGGAGTTTCACTCTTGTAGCCCAGCCTCCAGTGCAATGGCGTGATCTTGGCTCACTGCAACCTCCACCTCCTTGGTTCAAGCGATTCTCCTGCCTTAGCCTCCCAAGTACCTGAGATTACAAGCGTGCGCCACCACGCCCAGCTAATTTTTGTATTTTTAGTAGAGACAGGGTTTCACCACATCGGCCAGGCTGGTCTCAAACTCCTGACTTCAAGTGATCCACCCACCTCAGCCTCCCAAAGTGCGGGGATTACAGGCATGAACCACCTTGCCCAGCCGAAGCTATTTTTCTTAGTAATAACATTTTCATCTTGCTGGATAGTTTTCACAGCTGTTTTGCATATTTTCATCACAAAATAGTCCCCACAATAGGCCTCTGAGGTAGATGACATCCCCATTTTGCAGATAATAACTAAGGCTCACAAGCGTTAAGTAACCTAGAAAAACAAGAGTGTTCTTAGATCATCTGCATGAGAATTATCTGGGACTCACTAATATACCACAGATAGGAGTATACATTGATATTACCCCTGTAGAGAACAGTTTGGCAATGCCTATCAAAATTACAAATTTGATTCAGCAATTAATCTTCTAAGAATTCCTACAGATATAGTTGCCCATTTCCAAAATGAATTATGTATATGATGATTTATTACAGCATTGTTTGCAATAGCAAAAGATTAGAAACATTCTAAGTATCTTATTATCATCAAATGGGGACTAGTTAATAGATCATGATCCATCCATTTTTTAAAAGTTGTTAAGAAAAAAAGCAATGTGCAAAAGACTACTCAGTATATTATCCTTTATGTAAAAAGACGTAGAAAGAATGTGCATATGTGTGAGGAATATATACTTATACACATACAGCTGTCCCTCATTATCTGCTTAAATATAATTATAATATCTCCAGAAAGATACCAAGAAAATGATAACAATGGTTGCCTCCAAAAGGTGAATTGGGTGGCTGGAAGAGAGGGAAAGGGGAAGATACATCACTTCATAACTTTTTTTTTTTTTTTTTTGTGAGACAGAGTCTTGCTCTGTCGCCCAGGCTGGAGTGCAGTGGCGCAATCTTGGCTCACTGCAACCTCTGCCTCCCGGGTTCAAGTGATTCTCCTGCCTCAGCCTCTAGAGTAGCTGGAACTACAGGCTCCTGCCACAACGCCCAGCTCATTTTTGTATTTTTAGTAGAGATGGGGTTTCACCATGTTGGCCGGGCTGATCTCAAACTCCTGACGTCCTGATCTGCCTGCCTCAGCCTCCCAAAGTGCTGGGATTACAAGCATAAGCCACCGTGCCTGGCCCACTTCATGACTTTTTATAACTTTTGACTTTTGAATTATGTGAATATATTACCCATAGAGGCAATAATGCATGCTCTAGTTGGGAAAACAGAACATGGTTATAAAAAGAGAAAACCTATCAATGCCAAAGCCCAGTGAGTTGTACATTTGCTAATACGATGATGGTTAAGTACTGTGGCCAGGAGTGGTTTTCCAAGGACGAAGGGAATATAGTGGATCTAGATTTGAATGGAAGTTATCTGTGTAGAAGGAGAGGTGATAGGGAAGATATTTCTAGGAAGAAGACACATGAAAGCAACCTGTAAAAAATAGAGCTTTGAAAGGCTAAGACTCCAGAATACAAAATGGAGGTCATATTTTAGTTCAGTTTTGAAGAGCTTTTCCCAAACTTGCCAGCCCATTGTTTCTTTTTTACTCCATAAAACCACATGGTATTAAAAAACAATAGCAACATAGGGTATTGCCACACCATCCCAAGGAGCTGCTCACTTTCCAGCCAACAGAGAAAGATCTGGCAACCCACACTAAATTATTCTTTTACCTGGGACTGTCAAATACTACTGCAGTCAATCATAGATGTATTTGTGTGTCAATTTTGAGAGAGTTCGATATTGTGTACTGGAAAATATTAAAACAGTAGATAAAATTAGACCCTTGGCCTAAATGTGGAAGTAAAATACACACACTTGTGAGAAAAAACTTCCAAATGCATACTCACTTTTTTACAAAAGGTACATGTTTAATAAATGTTTTCAGATATGAGTGCATAAACCATAGAGCTCTTGGATTCACCATTTCCCACTATTATTTCATATCTGAATTACAAAGATAACCGAGTCTGTATCACTTTAGTGATGAATTATTTTACTGATTAAGTGCACAGAGAAGCCCTGGTTTGTTTATTTGTTTGTTATGCATTTCTGGCTGCATGTATTTAGGGTTGTGTGTGTATGTGTTCAGAGGTGATGGAAGGCTTGTACTTTTCTTTTTTTTTTTTTTGAGACGGAGTCTCGCTCTGTCGCCCAGGCTGGAGTGCAGTGGCGAGCTCTCGGCTCACTGCAAGCTCCGCCTCCCGGGTTCAGGCCATTCTCCTGCCTCAGCCTCCCGAGTAGCTGGGACTACAGGCGCAGGCTTGTACTTTTTTTATGTTTCCCTGTTCCCTGTACTTTTCCACCTTATCTCTCCAAACCACTTTACACAGAGCTTAGTACGTGGTAGACACTCAATGGTCTTTGCCTGATTCGTTTCCTGTCTCCCACATACCTAGAAGAAAACAGACGACGTTGATCTTCAAGTATTTTTTTTTTTTTCTTGAGACCGAGTCTCGCTCTGTCTCCAGGCTGGAGTGCAGTGGTATGATGTCGGCTCACTGCAACCTCCACCTCCCGGGTTCGAGCGATTCTCCTGCCTCAGCCTCCTGCGTAGCTGGGACTACAGGCATGCACCACCACACCCAGCTAATTTTTGTATTTTTAGTAGAGACGGGGTTTCACCATGTTGCCCAGGATGGTCTCCATCTCCTGACCTTGTGATCTGCCCGCCTCGGCCTCCCAAAGTGCTGGGATTACAGGCTTGAGCCACCGCACCCAGCCGATCTTCAAGTATTTTCTAACCTAATGTTTTCATCCTCTGGCTGGGGGAAGGTGGAAACACAAAAATTGAAGTCATCCAATGGGAAGATTCTTTTTTTTTTTTTTTTGAGACGGAGTTTCACTCTTGTCGCCCAGGCTGGAGTGCAATGACGCAGTGTTGGCTCACTGCAGCCTCCGCCTCCCAGGTTCAAGCGATTCTCCTGCTTCAGTCTCCCGAGAAGCTGGGGTTACAGGCGCCCACCACCCTGCCTGGATAATTTTTTTGTATTTTTAGTAGAGATGGGGTTTTGCCATGTTGGCCAGGTTGGTCTTGAACTCCTGGCCTCGGCCTCCCAAAGTGCTGGGATTACAGGCGTGAGCCACCGCGCTTGGCCTAGGAAGATGTTTAAAGTCATCTTTAAGGTATCTTCTAGACCTAAATAGAGATTCCTCACTCCTACCCAGGAAACACTCCTTATTGCTCATCATCACCTCCTTCTCAGTACTTTTTTTTCTTTCCGTGACTCTTTCTAGAATTATATAAGCCCATTTTTACATAGCAACATTACGTCAGATTCATTAATTAGTCATGTCCATGGTAGCTCTAGAGTTTCAGTATTGATCATTTGGGCTTGGTTTTTTTTTTTTTTTTTTTGAGACAGACTCTCAGTCTGCTGCCCAGGCTGGAGTGCAGTGGCGTGATCTCGGCTCACTGCAAGCTCCGCCTCCCAGGTTCACACCATTCTCCTGCCTCAGCCTCCCGAGTAGCTGGGACTACAGGTGCCCACCACCACGCCTGGCTAATTTTTTTGTAGAGACGGTGTTTCACTGTGCTAGCCAGGATGGTCTCGATCTCCTGACCTCGTGATCCACCTGCCTCGGCCTCCCAAAGTGCTGGGATTACAGGTGTGAACCACTGCACCCAGCCGGGTTTCTTTTTATATTGGCTAGTTAGGCCACCGTCACCACCATCACCACTACAAACACCATCATGGCCAAAACCATCACCACTACTATCATCACCACAACCACCATCACCATCACCACCACCAACACCACCATCACCACCACCACCATCACCACCACCACCACCATCACCATCACCACCACCACCATCATCACCACCACCACCACTACCACCACTACTACCATCATCACCACCACTATCATCACCAGCAGCAGCAGCAGCAACAACAGCAGTGGTGCTACTTATTGAGCGTTGGCTGTGTGCCAGGTGCTGAGCAAAATGCTTTACATACTTTACCTTAATTACTCCTCAAAACTATCCTGTGAGATAAGAAATGTTATTATATTCATTTTACAAATGAGGACAGCAGGCCTTAGAAAGGTTCAGATTTTCAAGGTCATATAGCTAATATATAATGGTGATGGAGCCAGATCTCTAACTTAGGTCTGACTGCAGACTTTGTTCTATCACCACTGGTAATATATACTGCCTTCATCGCGCTGATGTAAAGATGGTAAGGATGGATAGATAGACAGACAGACAGATACATCGATAGATAGATAGACAGACAGACAGACAGACAGACAGATAGATAGACAGACAAGTGTGTGTATCCGTGTGAGTAGAAAGGATTTTTTGAGGTTTTGACTTTGGAATGTATATTTATGTACACACGCACACACACACACGTATACACATACACATATCTATACCAAATATGTGCACACACAACACATTCCAAAGTGAAAACCTCAAAACAACTTTTCTAGCATTTAGGTTCTAGTTAGTGCAAGTCATGATATGAATTTATAAAACCATCCAATGAGAAGAAGAATTGGAGAGACTGGCCTCTTAAATCAAAGGCTATAGTTTCAAGTTGCATTCAAGATGAGAAATAAGCAAACTCTATTCTTGCTTTATTTGTTTATTTTTTAAAGATGATGTGGTGGAGTGAACAAAGTATGAACTCTGAGGTCAGATGAACCTGAGTTCAAATCCTGGCATAGAAACTGTGTAATCTGAAGCTCACGACTCTACCCAAGTGACTCCCCTGCTTCCTTTATCTGTAAAAATAGAAAAGTGATGATGATACTCAAATAAAAAGGCAAAGCAAAATATTTGATATATAATATAAATGCAAGAAATCCACCTCGTTTAAAAAGCCTCATCACAATAGTGAAAAGCATTCTTTAAAGACGTTTCTTTAGGTAATTAATAGATATTATCCATAATTTCTAGATGGGGGTTAGGTGTTAACTTTTTGAAACCACATATAATTTGTATGAAAGTAAACCGTTTGCGAGGCTGGGCATGGTGGCTCACTCCTGTAATCCCAGCACTTTGGGAGGCTGACTTGGGCGGATCACCTGAGGTCAGGAGTTCAAGACCAGCCTGGCCAACATGGAGAAACCCCGTCTGTACTAAAAAATATAAAAATTAGTCGGGTGTGGTGGTGCATGCCTGTAGTCCCAGCTACTCAGGAGGCTGAGACACGAGAATCATTTGAACCTGGGAGGCGGAGGTTGCAGTGAGCTGACATCGCGCCACTACATTCTAGCCCGGGCGACAGAGAGAAAGACTCGGTCTCAAAAAAACAAAACAAAACAAAACAAAACAAAACAAAAAAACAGTTGCATAATCTGTACTGAGAAATAAAAGTTTGATGTTCCTTATAGGCAAATGTCAAACAGAACTATGTGCAATTTGGGCTCAGTAACTTATGGAGAAAAGCTAAAGTTATAATTTTAAAATTTAGTGAATTTGATTTAGACATTTTTTGTGTTGAAGCAAAATCATTCTTTTTCCCTTTCTGCTTCAATGTTTGAAAATTTAATATTATTTATTTACAAATAAATATTACATTTACATGATTTGTACTCAAAAGGTACAAAAGGGTAAACAGGGAAAAAAACAATCTCCTTCTCATCAAGTGCCCAGCACTTCAGTCTCTAGAGGCAACTAATGTTGTGAGTTTCTTATGTATCTTTCCAGAGGTATGCATAGACAATCAAATGTGTATCATTTTCTCCCTCGTCAGACATATTACCTTTCTGTACTTTGCTTTTTCTGCTTAACAATACATCTTAAAGCTCCTTTTTTGAGTGTGTATAATTGAGCTGTGTTGTGCAGAGTATATATGTTGCATAAATTTCAATGTACATTTGTAATTTTGATAGACATTATCAAATTGTTCTCCATAGAGACTGTATAAATTTACATTCTTTGCATCAATAGATGAGAGTTATTCTTCCCCCCACAGATTTACCAACAGAGTGGGTAATTAGACTTTTCAGTCTTTTAATTCTGTAAATGAAAGATGTCTCAGTGAAGTTAAATTTGCGTTAGACTTATATTTGCTCCTTTTCAAATTTTTAAGAGTCCCTTATAGTTTCTTTTTTGTGAACTATTTCTTTTTATCCTTTGCCCATTTTAAAATCATGCTCTTCACTTTTTATCTTGTTGATTTGTAGAAACTTTTCATATATAACAAATTATCCCTGTGTTTGTGATGAACTGCAAATATTTTCTCCCGGTTTGTTGTTTCTCTTATTTATTTTGCTTAAGATAATTTTTGCCATACAGAATTTAAAAAATTAACACGGTTAATTTTATCTATGTTTTCTCTTATGACTTCTAAACTTTCATTTTATACACAGAATGGTCTTTCCTATTTTAATTTGTTTAAAAGTATTTTTTCAATATTTTTTCCTTGTTTCCTTTTAAGATTATTTATCATTGTAAGACAAATCCCTTTAGAGTGACAACATTTGTACCTTCCATTTTTTGGTTCATAACTTGATTGCATTATCAATGGGAGTTAGAAGATAAAAATCAATTGGCTTCATGAAAAATATCTTCAAACAAAACAGCACTTTAACAAACATATACCTAATATTTAGCTCTACACACAAAGTCCTTTTGAGAAATGTTTACAGGCTCATCTCCATACCACATGTACAATTTGATAGGGTCTTATAATCTCTAACACCAGATACTCCCAACATACAATGGTAATAAGTCTCATGTCCTTTTATTTTCAAAAGTATGCATATTAATTTGGTATAACTGAAGTTTTTTGTGTCAAACTTTATTTTAAATCTGATCATAGAATTTGAATGGTTTAGAATGGAAGAAAAGAATATTCAAAAGGCATGTTTATTAGCTTATTGGGTTTTTTTCCCTAATAATATATTTGGCTACTCTTTTGGGCTACAGTGGAGAAACTGGTGGGATACTAACAAAAGACTGATGAAAGAGCATTCTTATTCCACCATATATCTTTTGGAGGATTAAAAAAGTGGCATACATTTTCTCATGCTTCAAAGGTCTTCTTTTCTCTTTATCACTTCATGAAACATGCTTTGAATTGAGATATCAAAGGCAGAATAGAGAACTTCGAGAGAAATGAAATGAGTTTTTGACCCTATAGACTGACCAACCTGAAGGAGCAAATTGGATGGATTTAGTCCTCCTTATATTAGGAACACTGTGATCTGAATACCACATCCTTAAGCATGTTGTTCTCATGTGGGTTCACACCCTAATTTCCACTGCAAACATATTATTTTTGAAGACGCATTTGTCAGAAGCAGCCAGCAACTCCCTTTCTTTTTGTAGACATGTCATCCACTTTGGTAGTGCTTAAAATAAAGTACTCAGATAGAAGGTAAGTTGCAACAGACAACAAGCAATATAATACAAAATGTTATGAGTAAAGTGTGTTACTCAGATACTTCTAAAATACATTTCTTCCTTTATTTTGAAGGCCACGGTATAGGCAACTTGGCTAATGGAACCAGTCTCTTCCTTTGATCATCAATAGAGTTATCTTTTCGGGAAACTAAGTCCCAGCTCAGATGACCATTTTAGCTGAGGCTGACATGAAAGGGAGAGGGACTGTTTAATTATTAGCTCTCTGAAAGGCATGTTTTTTTCTTTCTTTAATAATTCTTCAGCTGAAACCACAAACAGAGTACTTTTGGGGAGGTGGCTTCATTTGATCTTTATTTCTTTACTCTGGGCACTGTGTAGGATCTGGGCTTTATGTGTCAGCTTTGCAGAGAGACAGCCTGCTGGCCCTGGGTGACAGATTCTAGTCAAGTAAGAATCAAAAGTAAGTATGATTTAGGTGCATTTACTTAATCTCCTAAGACTTGGGAAGGTGTGTGGCAAGGAGCCTGGCATATAGTAGGTGCTCAATGAATACTTAGAATAATTGAATGTAATGAATGGATGAAGGACAAGTCTGGAGAATGTGCTAGGCTGCTTTCTGCAACTGATTTCCATTTTCTGTGTGTGTCTATGGATATTTGAAAGGGTAATAGGGACTATGGCAATTGACTAAAAGTGCTGTGCAACACAGTAGCCACTAGCCCTATGTGGCTATTGAGCACCTGAAATATGACTAATCTGAGATTTGTGGAAAGTGTAAGATACACACTGGATTTAGAAGATTTAGTATGAAAAAGGAATGCAAAAATCTCATTAATAATATTTATATTGATTACATGTTAAATAATATTTTTGATATGTTGGGGTTCAGTGAAATACATTAATATTTCACCTGTTTTCTCCTACTTTTTAAATGTGACTTTCTGCTTTTTTAAAAATGTAACTAATAGAAAATTTAAAATTACCTGTGTGGCTTGCATTATATTTTTACTGGAAGCACTGGTGTAGACTTTAGAGATAAACCCGGCGTTGTAACATCTCTGCTTTTAAAGAGAAAATAGTTTCCCTGTCCCCGTTCCCTGCCACAGACAACCTTTGCAAGCTATCTAAAAATGTCTAAAAATGTACTCCTTCCCTGGGCAGCCCTGGGGCCCGCGGCTGGTGGGTGGGGTGGGGGTTAGGGCTCGAGCAGGCAGGAAGGTGATGCCGCCGCCTTTGGTATGCGTTGCCTGCCACAGGAAGATACCAGATTCAATACCAAGATTGAATTTCAGAGGGGCCTCCCTAACCCCACCACGGAAGTAAGGCGGGCCAGCCACCGCCTCGAGCCAAAGTTTCTGCAGCCCTGGCAATCCCCCGCGCGTTTCTGCTCAGGAGCCCCACACCTCAGAGAAACTTCCCGGCGTCCCCAGCCTCGCTGTCTCCCCTAGGCTTTGGGACACAGCTTTAAGGGACTGAGCGGCCCGGACGGGATCTGAAACCTTTGGAGGACCAGCCACGTCCGCACAGCCCGCCCATGCGCGCTGGCACCAGGACCCGCAGGCTGCCAGCGGCGAGTCCCCGCCGCGGTTCCTCAGGGCACCCCCGGAGAAGGGGGCGGCCCTGAGGAATCTCCTGCACTCCGGATGCCCTATTTTCCCCGCCCTTAGCGCCCCAGGGCCCTGCTCGGGTCCTGGCCGCGCGTGGTGTTCTTTTCAGCCGCGGAGCTTTGTTTCCCAGTGTCGCTGAAAGGAAAGAGAAAGAAAACGCCTTCGGTCCTGGAGGTCCTGCCCCTTCCTGAAGCGATGCCATTTCCTCCCTCCATCTCTCTTTTCTTAGATTCCTCCTGGGGCCCCGGCAGAGGCGGGGCGGCTGCGCCCCGAGTCCCTCTCCGGCGGCAGCGCGGGAGCGGGGCTGGAAAAGAGGGCGCCGGGAGCCGCCCCGCCCCTCATCGCTCCTGGCTTCTCCGCCTGAGAGCAGGGCCTGGGGAGATTGCCTTAGCTTTGGGGGAAAGCAGGACGCTGAGTCCAGGGCTCACGAAACAAGGGAAAGATAAGGACGGAGGAGGCGGTCTACATTGCCCCCCACTCCCTTCCCGATCCCGCAAACACTCTGAGAGGTGTGTAAGTTCTGACGGGGTGGTTGCAGTGCCTTGGCTCAAAGGTAACTGTCACTCGAAGATGTTTTTACTGCCCCTGCTCTCAAAGGGACATTCAATAATCACTTCTGCTTCTGCGACAGAAGTTGGTCCCCTCCCCAGAATGAAGCCGAAATCCCGCCCCCAAGGCTGGGTGCAAATCTGCGCTCTGTGTGAGGCTGGAGTGTAGGGCGCCCTCAGGCACAGGCCACACTCTGGTTGTACACCCGTCCAGCCCTCGATAGCCACTCGGCCTATAGGGTGGAGAGACAGAACGGCTTGATTTCTACTCTGCTGATGCTGTAAGCTCACAATGGAAGCGGGGGTGTACGTGGACGTCTGTGAAGTGTGGACCGACACCCCTGGCCCCTCCTCACCAGTCTCCTCCGTCTGGTGACTGAGGACGATGGGCCAGGGCTTAGCGCTAGGAAAGGACTTTTGGAAAGTCTATTGTCTTGCTCTCCACGGCCACCTGCTTTCAGGTCTTCTTTTCTTTTCTTTTCTTTTCTTTTCTTTTCTTTTCTTTTCTTTCTTTCTTTCCTTTCTTTCTTTTTCTTTTATACACATATTTTATTTCCTTCCTTCCTTCCTCTCTCTCTCCCTTCGTTCCTTCTTCCCTTCCCTTCTCCTTTCTTTCTTTCTTTTTCTTTTTCTTTCTTTCTTTCTGAGATGGGGCCTCACTATATTGCCCAGGGTGGTTTTGAACTTCTGGGCTCAAGCAATCCTCCCGCCTCGGCCTCCCAAAGTGCTAGGATTACAGACGCGAACCACCACGCTGGGCCTCTTCAGTTCTTACTACTATTAGAATTTTTTAAAAATCACGTTTTGGACTTCAGATCAAAGCATTCTGATTTCATTTAGATGCCTACTTGCCAAGATCTTATTTTAAAGTCTCCCCCACATCCCTTCCTCCTTCCTCTCAAGCTCTTCATCTACTTACCATTTACCAGTTCATCCTCATGGAATAGAATGCTCCCACTTCCTGGTGCACTGTAGTTTGGGGCCTAATTGATTCTGGTAATTAATTTGTTCTACCTGCTAGATCAGATGGAAATCCTACCCATGCGCCCCAGGATTAGCACTTGGCTTTCTAACACCTCCTCTAATTATCTAATAGCATGGGTTGTGAGGACTCAGTCTCTATTAAAACACTTTTACTATTAGCAGTAGTGATTGGAATTGTGATGACGACTAGATTTCAACAAATTAGAGCTTAAAAATGGGGAGATGGGAGAGAAGTGGCTTCTTCTAATTTCCCTGAGTTTAACATCAATAATTAGAGCAATTTTCAGAGATGTGAGCTGAAATTACCCCTGCTGTGTTGTAGATGATCACCCTAATTTTAGCAAATTGACTCCAGGGAAATAAATGTGACAGATTAGAAAAAGACAAACAGAAAAAAACAAAAGATTGGGAGGGACGGAAATGAAAGGAAACAGGCTGGGAAAAGGAGTGGGAAACAAAAACCTAGTACAATTAATTCGGGGGGCTAGGGTTGAAAGAGTAACAGCAGAAATAGCAAGCCGCGTGAGTGAAATGAGGAGAAAGCAAAGATTTGAGGCGACATGGAGGATGGCACTAAGAGGTGACTCTGGACATATTTACACAGACCAAATAACTTGACTAATGTAGACATAACCCTCCTCCTGCCCACTGCCTATAACTGAGGTAAAGACTGTTGTGATGACCATCATCATTTTCTTTCTTTACCTTAATAATCCAGTCTTCCCTCAGCCATAAACTTAAGTAGAATCTAGCAATCTGAAGTATCAGATGCCCTTTCTCCTCACTTCCTCCCTTCTTTTTTTGCCACCAAAATTATGGAAACTCTTAAAACCCAGGCCTAAATGCCTGAATAAGTGCTTTATCCATTATTGCTTTGGGGCCCTTTTAGTGCCTTCTCCTCTGTAAAGAGGAGTTTGCCGGACAACAGAGACTTTTTCCTTTTGGCTTTCTTTTAAAAACGACTGGGAACAAAGCAGCCCCTGCAGTGACGGGGCAGAAATTGAGGTCGAGAAACCTGGTAGGAACAAGAACCCTGCGGGCTCTGTTGTTCCCAGGCTCGGCCGGTGGTGTTCAGCACCGCGGACAGCTCCCCGCCCCGCCCCGAGCCTCCCGCACCCTCCCCTCTGCCTCTGGCAGCCTCGTCATTGGCTCTCCCGGCCCCCCTCTCCAAGCTGCCAATTCTCCAACACAGAGACCCAACCTACCCAGGAGCTTGTCTTCTTGCCTCTCCAGCGCCCGGGGTAGCCCAGGCCCGGGAGAGAGCAGCGGAGATTCGAGCCTCGGAGGGTGGTTGCCGGCTTTCGAGCAGGCTTGGAGACTCTGCCTGCGTCCTCCACTTCGTCCCGGCCCTTGTCCTGTGGCAGGTGCTCCGCTCAAGATGAATCTCAACTTCACCTCTCCTCTACACCCGGCGTCTTCTCAGAGGCCCACATCCTTCTTCATCGAGGACATCCTGCTGCACAAGCCCAAGCCGCTGAGAGAGGTGGCCCCAGACCATTTCGCCAGCTCTCTGGCCTCTCGGGTGCCTCTGCTAGACTATGGCTACCCCCTCATGCCCACACCCACCCTCTTGGCTCCTCACGCCCATCACCCTCTGCATAAGGGAGACCACCATCATCCTTATTTCCTCACCACCTCGGGTAAGTAACAGGAACCTCAAGGTATGGGCAGTGAGAGAGCAGGGCTTCTAGCACAGACCCTAAGCCTGTGATGGAGTCAAGGAAAGGCCAGACTGGCTCGGCCTGGCTTGGTGGCCTCTTTCCCTAAGTGACAGTGGAAGGCTGAGGATATTGCTGAGGCCATGCAGAGCTCCCTAGAGGCATGCCAACCCACGGGGATAATTCGTGATTCCTCCGCACTCTTCATAGCGGAGGATAGGTGCCTGGTCAAGAGGCAGCGTATAGGGTTTGACGATACTCTTGGTAGGCAGTGCTCAGTGTCCCTGCTCGTGATCTTCCTGGCCACTTTGGTCCATCTCTCAATCCTGATTCTCCGCCTCTGCCCACTCAGAGGGAGACCCTTGACCATCCCACCCCATGGACACAACTTTTTCTGCACAGAAACTCAAAACACTCTGTCCAGGCCAGATCTCTTTTTTCCAGGCACTGAGCATTTGCAGATACCGCTGGGGGCATAGAAGTGAATGAAGGTTTGGGCTAGCCTGAATAAGACAGAAAGGGTGAGAAAAAAGGGGGGTAGGGGGAGATGCAGCTCTTTAACCCTCCGCATCCTCAACATCTAACATTTAACTCACAATCTTAGTCTGGGCTACCCTCCTCTGCCCCAGCTGCCAGCATTGCTGGAGCCGGGTGCTAAAGTATTTTGATTTCTCTGGTCTGACAAAAAGCAAGGGCTAGCAAAGTCTGTTTGGGACAGGAGGATGTGGGGAAATACTCCGATTTTTTTCTGTCTCCCTCTGAAAGGCCACATCCATGGTTTTTTCTCTGGCGTTTTCAATCTAGCCAGAATAGAATAATTCGTTGAGTCCAGACTCATAGCTCAGAGGCGGCAACAACCATGGTCGGTGGAGGGGCTGGGGGCAAGACAGGAGGCAGTTTGTGCGCGCTGGAATCCAGAACAAAGCTAAAAGTGTTTGTAAATCCAGGTCCGCATCTCTGCACTGGCTTCACCACCCGCCGGTGACAATCTATTCTCAGCTGCTCCGGTGGTCCTCCCATACAGCAGTGGCCAAAGCCCTAAGTACCCGCACTGGTTGTTGTTATGTTTGTTTATTTTCTCTGGGATTGGCCGATGTTGCTTGTGGCAGCTTCTCTCTGCTTGGTGCGTCTCAGACAGAGTCAAGCCTGCGAGGGTCAGGAAAGACAAGTCTCCCCGGACCCGGCCATGGAAAAACCCCTCAAACCCTTCTGCTTCGCTGGGCTTGGAGTGAGAGGGAAAGAATGAGAAAAAGAATGAGGACTATATTAGGTAGCTGGGTCCCTAGCGCGACCCCGAAACGGACGAGGAGACGTGAGAGGCGAGAAATGCTCCTCTGTTTCGGCTCCGGGGCTTCTCCGGATAAGGCAGTTTTGCTCTCCCTTTGGCTGCAGGGGGATAGGGGTGGCTTGGGAAACAGAAAGGTATTTTTCAGTAAGGTTTGGAGGCAAGATTATATCCATGCATCTACCAGCCCCAGAACAGCAATGAGTGTCATCAGGGGTCTAGGAGGATAGGTGGGGGCTGGGGACAGGACTGCTCCTGGGCCATTTGACGTTTGCAAAAAACTTGGCCAGGCGCAACTGAAGACTCCGCGCTGGCCGACCCTACGGAAGTCTCTCCAAGAAGACATTTTTAAACAGCCTCCGGATCTATTTTCCGATTTTCTTTTCTGTTTTATTTACTGTTTGTTGTTTGTATTTCTAGATGACTTTCCAGATAAAGATCTCCAAGCGCTATTCTTGCGGCTTTTTTTTTTTTTCTTCCTCTGCCCTGGATTCCTGAGAGAAAGGCTTGAGGGGCTTTGGGGCGAGCAGACTGACGGAGGCGAGGGGCGGAGGAAGGCACTGGGGGCTAGGGGAGGGGAGGGGAGCGGAGCGGAGATTGCTCTCCGGCGACCCACGCTCTGCCCACTTGGTTGCTCTTCTCTCTGCAGGGATGCCAGTCCCAGCGCTGTTCCCGCACCCGCAGCACGCGGAGCTGCCGGGGAAGCACTGCCGCCGCCGCAAAGCCCGCACGGTTTTCTCTGACTCGCAGCTCTCGGGCTTGGAGAAGAGGTTCGAGATCCAGCGCTACCTGTCCACGCCAGAACGAGTGGAGCTGGCCACGGCCCTCAGCCTGTCCGAGACGCAGGTGGGCGGGAGGAGAGGGAGGCCCTGATCTCTGCTTCGTTCCTCTCTGCCTTCAAGTCTTAATACCTTCGGGACCTTGTGGAGTTCGAGTAGAAATAGACCCCGCTGACGCTTATTCTAAGCCTTTCCCAAGAGCTTTCGTAAAATTACCTACACCTGGCCGGGCGCGGTGGCTCACGCCTGTAATCCCAGCACTTTGGAAGGCCGAGGCGGGCGGATCACGAGGTCAGGAGTTCCAGACAAGCCTGACCAATATGGTGAAACCCCGTCTCTACTAAATACACAAAAACTAGTCAGGCGTGGTGGCGCGCGCCTGTAATCCCAGCTACTGGGGAGGCTGAGGCAGAAGAGTCGCTTGAACCCGGGAGGCGGAGGTTGCAGTGAGCCGAGATCGCGCCGCTGCACTCCAGCGTGGGCGACAGAGCGAGACTCCGTCTCAAAAAAAAAAAAAAAAAAAAAAAAAAAAGAAAAGAAAAAGAAAAAAAAAAGTACCGACACCCCAACCCCATGTCATACTTACCCAAGCAAAATTTCTCGAGCGGGGCTCTGGACAGGAAGGAAACACTCCTCAGGTAATTCTGACGACCACCTCCAGGTTAAGAACTCTTATTCGTATGCCTTCCTCACTCCTCTCCGACCAGGCTGGGAACCCGGGTCAGAGGTAAATGGTAAGAGTTCAGGCGAGTTCTTGTCCTGAGAGAAGCCCACACAAGGAGATTTTTTCCCCCTTTCTCACTTCAATCTCTCTCACAGCGGCCAGTGTTCACATGCACCTCCGCTCCAACCCCAACACACACACTATGGTTTAAGTTCTCTCCCTGTTCCCCTGTCCTGAGTGGAAGAAAGGTTTTTATCTTCCTCTAGGCGCTATTCACCTGCAACCTCAAAACCCCATCCTCTCTTCCCCATCTTTCATAGTCTCTACCCGGAACGCCTCTTGCTATGAAATCATTAGCTCTGCCAGGCCCGGGTCTGATTTTCTCTCCGATGAGAACGCGGAGTTTCAATTCTCATCTTCTTGTCCAGGAGTCTTGCGGATCAGGTGGTTAGATGTCTCAATCAGAGGAACATCAGCTGAGCGTAAAAGAGACTTGCCCACGCAGCACCTACTATTAGTAGTTCTAATTCATAACAATATGCATAACTGCTAACCACCCATGTTAATCCTCATCATTATTTTGGGACAGTTACTCCTGAAAGCCTCAGACTGTTCGATTCTCATTCGGCTTAAGGCGATAACTTATGAGCAGTTGAGGCTATCACCGCTCTTGGATACTTCATCAACGGACTGCAGCCCATTTTCCTAAACCCCAGCGATGGCTCAGATTTGGAGGAATGACATGATTTTATTTTTATCTCCCCGAAATCAGGTGAAAACGTGGTTCCAGAACCGGCGGATGAAGCATAAAAAGCAACTGCGGAAAAGCCAAGACGAACCCAAAGCACCAGACGGGCCAGAAAGCCCCGAGGGCAGCCCCCGCGGTTCAGAGGCCGCCACCGCCGCCGAGGCTCGGCTGAGCCTGCCCGCCGGTCCCTTCGTGCTGACCGAGCCAGAGGACGAGGTGGACATTGGAGACGAGGGGGAGCTGGGCTCAGGGCCGCACGTGCTCTGAGCCGCCAGGCTGGGGAGGGTAGTAGGCAGGGGAGGAGACTGCGGGGCCGAGCGCGGTTCCCTCCTGGACCGGAAGACTCAGACTCCAGTCTCGTGGCGGGCCTTGGAAATCCGCTCCTGGAAGACAAACAAAACCCACCTGTCCTCCAGGCCGGTGCGGAGCCAGCACGGCCCGCGGCCCGGCCTCCCGCCTCCCCTCTAGCCCTCCCGGTCCCAGCCACGGGAGACTGTGCGCCCGGGCGCCCATTTTCCTGCGTCCGTCGTCCTTGGGGTCAGGGACCAGCCCAAGTACCGCGTCCCAGACTGGAAATTCAGCTCTCGGCTCTCTGTTTTCTCCGATCATAGACCCCTTTCTCCCTCGCCTTTCAGCAACTTGCCCCTAGCTCTGTTCTTTCCTCTCCACGCCAAGTCCTTGCCCGTTCTTGGGCAGTCCGTTTGGCTGCAAAGGGACCAGGTCTCTGGGGCCTCCGCTCCGCCGAGATCCAGATAGAACCACAATCTGATCTTTAAAACGTCCAGTTTCAGGACAGACTCGTGCACTGCTCGTCACTAACCTCCCACTCGCCCCCATCCCCCATCCCCAGAGTCCCATCTCTGACTCAAATACTAAGGCGACTCCCTCCTTCTCTGGGCGGCGCTTCCATCCTCTCCCGTCCCTGTTCTCCTCTAGAGCTCGCGGTTCTGCATCCTGGCACCCTTCCTGAGTTTGTAGCCCCCAGGCGCAGACGCCCCTTACGCCCTGCCTCCCGCGTACTGCGCGGCGCCAGCGCGCGGCGGGAAACTTGGGCACAGAAAACCCCTAGAGCAATTTCTGCTTCCCGAACTTGTTGCGCTCCTGTCCCGCAACGCTTCCACGTTCCACGGGCTACTGATATTTTAAAAGTGAGTGTTCCTCGGGTTGTGTGTGGAAATATTCATTCTCAGTGCATTTTAGGAAATCAAGATGAAGGCCAAAGGGTTAAGGCTAAAGGCGTTCCGGGCGTGCACCTGTTTGGGGAATAGATGGGGCGGGGGTCTGATTGACTTTGCGCTTTACCCCTCTCCTTTTCCCCTGGGAGGTCTCTTATTCTTTTACCGGGTTTGTAGGCTCGCAGGGCAAAACTGGGAATGATCACGCGTTTCCAGGAATGGTTTGCCACCGCGTTCTCCTACGCGTACGCCCCCTCCCCTCGGCCCTAGGCAGTTTCCTAGTCCCTGTAGAAATGAACTTGCGAATAACCTTTCATTAACTGATCCCCTCCCTCTCACTCCAAATTTTCTGTTTCGAATCGTTTGATTAATGGTTTTGAGTTCCACCTAAGTGGAAAAGTGGCTCTGGTATTCTGTGGCTCTGAAATGCTGAAGAGACAGAGATGTATTGATATTTGGAGTTTGAAATTATACTACCGAATTGTGTGATGACCCTACACACTCAGTACACATATAAATATAGCAGCTGTGCCAGAGGCACTCTCACCTTCTGATTCTTTCGCTTCTGGTTGTGTCTCTAGGTAAGTGAGTCCAGGAAGGCTGGAAAAGAATTAGTAGGACTGAGTGGAATCCTGACCCTCGGGTTCTAATGATTAATAATAATTATAAAAACCACAGTGGGTGTGAGCTTGGGTTAATCTTTTTGTTTTCTTATTTCTCCAATATGGGGATGAATCCTAAAGATCATTTTAGGTCTAAGTTCTATCCTTATGTGAATGTAGCAGGAGGCCTTTTCGTTTTTCTGCAATAGGCTTGTTGGAGAAACATTATCCCAGGTAAAGATAAGTGTCAGAGTGACGGCTTATCCAAGTGCATCATTTAGGAGGCAAAATTATTGGTTTTAAAACGTAAGCATTGTATAGCCTTTTGGATTTTCCAAAGTGCTCTGTAATCAATCAATGATCTTGTGAGTCTCAGATGACATATGGGTATTTTTTCCCTTTCATAGACGAGGAAATTGAGGCTTAGCAAGATTGAAGGATTTACTAATGAAATCAGGACTAGCTAACAGCCAAGGAAGGATTAAAAAATGTCTCCTCTGTCTCCTTGTTCACTTCTTTTCTCATGCAGTTTATTTATTTATTTTTCTTGGTAACAATGCATTGATTGGCATTTTGTCTCTATCACTTTATAAGAACACCTCTCTCATCTCTTTAGATTACACAACCTAAAGATTGTGGCTATTAAAAGCAAATCTATGCTCAGATTTTTCTCCTCCCTCCCTTGTTCAGATGATGGCAGTACTGTTTTAAGGCAGAATTTTTTGGCAAATGCTTTACAATATGACAAAAGACTTGGTGGAAAAAAAAGTGATTTGTGACTGAGAATGTTCTTGGTAACTTGGAAGGGAAAGTGTGTGTATCCCTTGTGTATAGGGGTACTATTACACAAGATTATGGAGCCAAGGGAAAAATCGAATTCTTCTAATCCCACGAAGAACAAATACTAAATAGGGGTTTGAAAGAATCTTTAAAGTGAGTAGAAAAACTGTATTTGGGCAAAAGTGTGTGTGTGTGTGTGTGTGTAAATTAGATGGTGAATCCAAACTCAAAAGCACCAGGCATTTCTGTCTTCTGCTTTCACAATAACTTGTCAAGGGCCTGTTCTGAGTCTAACAGGAGTGGATTGGGTGTATTTCATTACCTTTTTGTCTTCAAAAAGCAGGTAAATAGGGAAGCTGTTAGTATATGCACGGCGCTGCCTGATTGGAGGCAGGATGAGTCCTGGAGCCCAGGGACTATTTGGGTCTATAATTCATGAGCATTAAACTTGGGAAGATACTCATTCCTCCTTACCCTGGTGCTCCCCTGTGGTGGTTTCTTGGTGGATTAGGTAGCAAGGGAAGAGGTGAGAACTGTGGCACCAGCCACGCCAACTATGGCACAGTTTTCTCATCAAAAAATTCCCTGTAATTGATGGCAAACAATCGAATAGCAAAGTTCTAGTTTTATTTATTTTTATATAGTGAGTGAGTGATAGTGATAAAGGATAGGCACAATTTAGTCTCAATTTAATGTAACATGACAGTGCTTTTTGGTTTTGGCTTTCAATACTGATCAAAGCTTCCACAGGCTGAAAAAGTATTTTGTCTGAATAACCCAGGCTTTTGCTTCAACTCAGTTTCACTTGTGGTAAAGATCTGACAAAACTATGTTTATTATGATATATCTTTAAAAGACATTCAGAGGTCTAATTTTGAAGAAGCAAAAATATCACAAAATAGCCAAGGTAGGGAAGTCATTTTAGATCTAATCCCACATGTCATAAATAATTTGTTCTGCACTTGTTCGAATGCTGTGTTTCTGATGGACTTCATTTCATAGATTCTCAGAGAGGGATTCCTGATAATATTTCTGCTCACATGATGTGAGAATGTAAGAAATGGACAATATACCATACAGCCCGGTTTTAGCTGATGTTAGCACTAAGAAATGCTGAGCTGGAGTCCATGACACCAATTGAAAAGATAGAGGGCTGGCTTTCATCAATGTATTTGATAATTAGAGAGAGATGTGAAGGCACAGAGCAAGCAGAATGCTTTCTGGTGCTAAGAGAATTGTGCAATAAACATATTTAGTTGAAGCAGTGACTCCCTGGTCTTCCTGAATTGGGCTCAATATATGTGAAAAATAACAAGTTAATTGACGTATTTTATACATTTATATTTTTGGCATCACATTTTAAAGAGAATATAGACAAGCTAAAACTCATCCACTATGCAGGAACCTGGATAGTAAAGGGTGTGGAAAACAACAAATAAAGAAGTGTGAGCTTTAGCTTGGAGGAGCAAAGCTTTGGGGGAGAAGTGGGGAAGGAGGTTCAGCTATGGTAGTTGAATATGAATGGTTACGGGGCTATTAAGCATGAAGAGGTATATCTATTCTGCCATGCTAACCGATGATAGAACCAGAATCAATGGGTGATTCCAGGGAAGCAGATTCTGGAGCAACATTTGAAGACAGGCACTGTGTTGTACATCAATAGAACAGGATAAGTCCACAAAACATTGAGTACGTTTTCACTAGAAATCCCAGAGGCTGGAAGACACAACATAAGGGCTTGTCTATTACAGATTTCTCCAGTAGTTGGAGATTGGGCTAGATATCCTGTACGGTTCTTTCTAACTGTTAAGATCCTAATCTATCTTTTTTATTGTAGGAAAGGGACTGCAAGTCCCAAGTTATTAAAGTTTTTATCTCACAAAGATTTCAGTTTCTATACTTTAACTTAAACACATATATCCACAGCAATTAGAAGTTTTAAGGGAAACAACAAAGAGAGGAAAAGGATATTTCTTTATTTATTAAAGAAGTTCCAACACCTCATTCTAGAAAGTCAGCGAGAACAAAGTGATGTTCCACTAAGTCAAGGACAAAGATACAGTCAGGAAGAAATTGTCAGTGTTAGAAGAGATATTTGACAAAATCTAAGCCCTTCATTTTATAAATTGGAGAAATTAAGGCCCAGATATAGTGGTGAGTACTTTGCTAACATCACATAGACAGTGGTGGAATTAAGACTAGAAGCCAACGTTAATTATCTTACCTTACAAATAACTCATGTTGTGATAAAAGTGATTGTGGAGCTACTGTCATTGTAGCATATGGAGGAGAAGATTTTTCATAGCAATTTTGGGTATAAGTTTTTAACATTGCAGGTAGAAATTATCTAGTAAAATCTTAGATCAACTTTTGGAAAAACTTCTGATTAAGAGCCATCTGAAAGTTGAATGAGCTTTCCTGAAGGTACTAAATTCCTTAGCCCTGTTTTCATTGAAGCCTATTTAGAAAGTAGTCCTATATACAATAGGATGAGCTAGATGATCTCTTAGCTATCTTAAATTTCTACATTTCTCCACTATAAAAATTTTGACCTGCTCTCTTTTAATTACAGATGAGGCAACTGACAGTCAGAGATATTGACTTGTCTGAAATTACACAGCCTGTTATCAGGCAAGTTATGAAATTAATACATCTAACAGTCAGAGATAATTCCAATAATATTTAGGAGTGAGATGAAAATTCAGAATGGTTCTTGTGTTTTCTCTCCTATTGTATTTTCTGGTTGTAACCCCCCTCCCAATGACATATTTCTTTTCCATTTCATTTATGCCTGTTCTCTGAGAATTCCCAGTGTGTACACTGATAAACTTTCCTCCATGATTTCATTGATACGAATTCCATGAGCCTTCTCTTATTACTCTGTGTTTTTTTTTTTTGGTTTTTTTTTTTTTTTTTTTTTTTGAGACGGAGTCTTGCTCTGTTGCCCAGGCTGCTGTGCAGTGGCATGATCTTGGCTCACTGCAAGCTCTGCCTCCTGGGTTCACACCATTCTCCTGCCTCAGCCTCCAGAGTAGCTGGGACTATAGGCTCCCACCACCACGCCCGGCTAATTTATTTTTATTTTTATTTTTAGTAGAGACGGGGTTTCACCATGTTAGCCAGGATGGTCCCAATCTCCTGACCTCATGATCCGCCCACCTCGGCCTCCCAAAGTGCTGGGATTACAGGCTTGAGCCACCACGCCCGGCCATTACTCTCTTTATAGTATTGGGTAACCACATTAGATTTAGCATGATGAATGGCTTGACTTAGAGGCTTACATTCTTTTTTTTTTTTTTTTTTTTCTGACAGAGTCTTACTCTGTCACCCAGAATGGAGTGCAGTGGCACAATCTCGACTCACTGCAACCTCTGCCTCCTGGGTTCTGGCGATTCTCCTGCCTCAGCCTCCCAAGTAGCTGGGATTACAGGTGTGTGCCACCATGCCCAGCCTGTTTTATTCTTTTAGAGACAGTCTTACTCTGTCAGCCAGGCTCACTGCAACCTCTGCTTCCCAGGTTCAAGTGATTCTCATGCCTCAGCCTCCAGAGTAGCTGGATTACAGGCACATAACACTATGCCTGGCTAATTTTTTTTTTTGTGTGTATATATATATATATATTTAGTAGAGACTAGGTTTCACCATGTTGGCCAGGTTGGTCTCAAACTCCTGACCTCAGGTGATCCACCCACCTCAGCCTCCCAAAGTGTTGGGATTAGAGGTGTGAGCCACCACGCCCGGCCCTAATTTTTGTATTTTTGATAGAGACAGGGTTTCAACATGTTGGCCAGGCTGGCCTCTAACTCTTGGCTTCATGTGATCTGCCTGTCTCTGCCTCCCACAGTGCTGGGATTATAGGTGTAAGCCACTGTGCCAGGCTGATGCTTAAATTCTAATTTTACTTTTACCAATGATAACATTATTTCTGTAACTTGGCATCTGAAAAATGAGGTTAGAGCCCTATGAATCAGTTTAGAATGGTGAGGGGATGAGATAAGAACTATGAAAGTACCTACTGTGAGGTCTTGGATGAAAAGAGCTAGAGGAAGATAATGAATTACAATATAGATCTGAACATATCAGTGATAAATGTGATATGTTCCAAACATCCATAGTACTACAACTGTTACATGGTTAACTAAAAGTTATTAGTCTTGGGCCTAACCACATCATTACAAAGGAGTTATGTCTCTTTCAAAGAAATTTTATTTTCTAAAATAACTTCATCTTATTTTCTCTTTGTCTGTCATTGTTCTACCTCTTGGGCTAAGAGAGGATGTGTAAGCCCTGAATGAAATAGGATTCAGAGCCTTCACTGAGGATGTTTCCATTAGAAGGGTCCTTTCCGCCCCATTACTTATCCAACACTCATCCAGCCCTGGAGTTTCTGTTATCCTATTTGGTGACAGACGTAATGCTATGTGGGGAGAGAAGTTAGAATTCAAATTCATGGGAACCCTCTTAAGTGATAAAGACTTGCCTACGATTCCAGTATGGAATCTACTAGGGAAAAGGCACGATTTCTTCTAAAGTTTTTACAGAACTTTTTAGCTTAAAAAAAGACATGATGGGCTGGGCACGGTGGCTCATGCCTGTAATCCCAGCACTTTGGGAGGCCGAGATGGGCGGATCACGAGGTCAGGAGATCGAGACCACCCTGGCTAACACGGTGAAACCCCATCTCTACCAAAAATACAAAAAAATTAGCCAGGACTGGTGGGGCGCCTGTGGTCCCAGCTACTCGGGAAGCTGAGGCAGGAGAATGGCGTGAACCTGGAAGGCAAAGCTTGCAGTGAGCCGAGATGGCGCCACTGCACTCCAGCCTGGGAGACAGCGAGACTCCACCTCAAAAAAAAAAAAAAAAAAAAAAAAAAAAAGACATGATGAGCCAGGCGTGGTGGCACACGCCGGTAACCCTAGCACTTTGGGAGGCTGAGGTGGCTGGATCACTTGAGGTCAGGAGTTCGAGACCAGTCTGACCAACATGGTGAAACCCCGTCTCTACTAAAAATACAAAAATTAGCTGGGAGTGGTGGCGCATGCCTGTAATTCCAACTACTTGGGAGGCTGAGGAGGGAGACTCGCTTGAACCCGGGAGGTGGAGGTTGCAGTGAGCCAAGATCTCACCACTGCATTCCAGCCTGGGCAACAGAGCAAGACTCTGTCTCAAAAAAAAAAAAAAAAAAGACAAAAAAAAAAAAAACCCATGATGGATATCTCTTTATGACAAGAATAAGTTGTTTAACAATATTGACTAATATAAACTTTGGGAATTAGCTGAACATTTCTTTCTTTCCTTTTTTTTTTTTTCCGAGATGGAGTCTTGCTCTGTTGCCCAGGCTGGAGTGCAGTGGCGCCATCTTGGCTCACTGTAACCTCCACCTCCTGGGTTCAAGTGATTCTCCTGCCTCAGCCTCCCAAGTAGCTGGCACTACAGGTGCATGCCACCATGCCCAGTTAATTTTTATATTTTTAGCAGACAGGGGGATTCACGGTGTTAGCCAGGATGGTCTCGATTTCCTGATCTCGTGATCACCTGCCTTGGCCTCCCAAAGTGCTGGGATTGCAGGCGTGAGCCACCACGCCTGCCCTTAGCTGAACATTTCTAACATCTATTGTCACCCTAGTCTCCATGGCTATAGATGATGGAGTGGCTAAGTGTAGTTGCCAAATTCTAGCTGGAAATTAAAGAATGGCTAAATAGTTTTTATTTTTCCACAGTGCTTGACTTGAGATTGGAAATAGGCTGTGGAAAACAATGGTCATAAGATAGAAGGGTGCTCCTCATCCTGAGTTTCAGATGAGAATAATTTACATGCTATGAGCAAAAAACGAATACTGTATGCATGCTCTGCTCTTTTTCCATCTGTTTTTTTTCTCCTTCCCTTCCTAAGTTCTTTAATTTTAAAGATTAGGGTTTTATCACCATGAACATTGTTTAAAGAGTCAAATAGTTCTATGAGGGTTTTTTTTTTTTTTTTTTTTTTTTGAGACGGAGTCTCGCTCAGTCGCCCGGGCTAGAGTGCAGTGGCGCAATCTCGGCTCACTGCAAGCTCCGCCTCCCAGGTTAGCGCCATTCTCCTGCCTCAGCCTCCCGACTAGCTGGGACTACAAGCGCCCACCACCATGCCTGGCTAATTTTTTTGAATTTTTAGTAGAGACAGGGTTTCACCATGTTTGCCAGGCTGGTCTCGAACTCCTGACCTCAAGTAATCTGCCCGCCTTGGCCTCCCAACGTGCTGGGATTACAAGAGTGAACCACCGTGCTCGGCCTAGAGCATTGTGATGATGTGTACATGCAATTCTCAGCTAAGCCAGGTAATCAATGACTTTTCTGCGAGACTTTTTGTTTTCCTTGGAATTAACACTTATTTTATTATTCTTAATTTTAATGTACTTATGACTAGTTTATTCCCAAACTCTTTGCCGTTTGTCTGTATCACACTCTCAAGATATTCACAAATTCTTAACATTTCATTTTCCTCAACACACCTCTCCCAGAGCCTTCTGATCTGCTCCATTCTGGATTCTATGTAAATGGCTCTCCCTTCCCAGCATCTTGGGGATTCCTTTAATTTCATTGTATTTTACTTGTTTCTCATATCTTTTTAATTTCTTGGTTTACTCTCTCATTATGGTGGAGCACAGTTTACTACAGTTTCTTGACAATTGGTACATGAGAGGTAAATGTTTGGAGATCTTCCTTATCTAAAAGTATCTTTATCCTAATTTCATGCTTTATTAGTAATTTGGCTGAGTATAGCATTCTAAGTTGGAAATCATTTTTGAATACTTTTGAGTGCATCACTTCACTGACTTTTGGCTTCCAATTGCTATTGTGAAGTCTAAAACGACTTCGATTGTTGATTTTTTATGTGTGTCTTGTTTTATTTATTCATTTATTTTCCTTTTTGGAAGCTTGTAGGATACTTTCTTTGTAGCCAGTATACTGACATTTTACAATTATATGCCTTGCTTTAGGTTTATTTTCATCCATTGTTCCAGGTATTCAATAAACTCTTTTAAGTCTGAAAATGTATTTTTTTTTTTGAGTTATGGGGAGTACTCTTGAATTCTTTAATGATTTCTATAGATCTCCTGTTATTTGGATTTTTACCCCCTGGATTTATTCTCTAAATTTCTAATCTCTTATCTCCTATTTTCTATCCCTTTGCCTTTTTTCTCTGATTTTTGGAAAAATTCCTCAATGTTGTCTTCTAACCTTATTTTTGTGTTTTTAATTTTTTGACTCTAATTCTAATTCCCAAGATCTCTTTTAATTTTCTTGTTCCTTTTTAAAATGGTCCTGTGTCATATCCTCCGATGTTTGGAAATTCTTGGTTGTCTGCTCATATTTAAGTGAGAGGCCAGAAAGCTGATAGGAAACTGAGTACATGGATGGGACTCGTTGATTTCTGAGGTTTAACTGTAGGATAACAAGGTTGGGGTCTTTAGTTGGAGAACCTCTGAAGTCAGGATTTTTAGGTCTTTTTTTAGGCTGGTCAGATTCCCCAGAGAAGAACTTTCCTTCCAAATTCCTGCTTGTAGGATAAAGTCCCAACGTTCTGGGAGGCAAATGGAAGACCAGAGGTTTCTGTGTTTACAGTACACATGTTCACTATTGACTCTTTTTTCAGCACGTACTGTGCATCCTCAATAGAACCAATTGTCCCTGACTCCAAAGACACTAGGGCAGTGTCTTTTACTGTGGCAGTGCAAGGGCTGTGCTTGGCTGCATGGGAATTGAGGAAAGGATTTACAGGTGTAACTGCTCTGAAACTGACTTTCATGCAGTTACCCTTCATTAGCTCCCCCTGCCCCACGTCTCCATTCATTCCTACTTTGAGAGGTAACTGACACCATTAATTCCTGAGCATTTTGGGTATTCTAGAATGTAAGTCAGATTGATTCTTGGCTTTCCTATTGCTAGCTTAGAATTTAGTATTTTGGAGAAATCTCATATTATATGAAAATATAAAAAGAATTTAGTGTTTTTTGAGTCTGCTAATTCTTTTAAACAACTCATATGCTTTCCAGTTTTCAAAATGTTGTTACTATTGTCCCTCCTCCTGTTCTCCCTGTTCTTATATACTTATGTCACTTAAAAACCTTTACTGTTATTTTAGTAGGACTTGTCAAGGGAATGAAATAGATGTGTGTGTGTGTGTGTGTGTGTGTGTGTGTGTGTGTGTGTTCAGTATACCATATTTATCCAGAAGTCCTATAATTTGAATTTTCTGTTTTATTTTGGCATTTACAGTGAGTGATGGAGGTGTTGATCTTTTACCTTGACATTTCTTTTATGTAACTGACTTGTTGAGCTACAGGAGAATTGCATTATCACTGGAACAGATAAGAAGGCTGATTTCCTTGCCAAAACACAGAATAGCCTATCTACTTCATATTAAGTGATGCAGTACCAACGGCTTGGGATCTGCCTGGTTGAGAGCATTGGAAGTTAGAGTTAGTTCTTAAGAATCTTTGCCTGTGGAAGGTTCTGAATAGCTCTGCCAGACAGTCTTATAAATTTCAAGGTGAGGGAATTTATATTATTTCATTTTCCTTTGTCTCAGATTAATTTAAAACCTAGGTCCCTAGCTGCCTGAGGAGAGGGGAGAAACAGAAAGGATGAGCAGAGAGAGAAAGACAAAGATACAGATACACAAATAGACATATACAGACAGACGCATATACAAGTCTCTAAAGAGAATGATGCACACAGGACAGGAAGAATTGGGAGATGATCAATTAAGACATTAAGTGTTTTGTGACACATGGATGCATCTGCATTTTGCCCTGGGAACAAGGGCCATCAGCTCATTTTCAGAGGGCTGCTGGCTTCTGCAGCTCAGTCCTCAGATCAAAGCAAAACTGTCTGCTCGCATTTTCCAATCAGAATAGGGATGCTAATTTATACTCCTTAATGTGTGATGGTAAGAGACTCCTTCAATTAACTGAATTCTATAGCCAGCAAAATAAAAGGTATACAAAGAGGCGCAGGCTGGAAGAGCTGAAATTCTCATTAAATCAAAAGGTCCAGTATTCATTACCTCATGCATCTGAGGCTAAACACTAAATATTGGGATCATCAAAGGAGGTTTAATGGGTTAAATTGAGAATATAATCTAATTAAAATATTAGGCATGGCTAAATAGTTCTTTGATATTCATCTAAAGGTTTCATTAAAAATAGATGCTTGAGGTTTTTATCATAGGAGATTATCAATTTTAAGCAGAAACAACAGATTTGGGAACCTCATCAGCACTACTTCAAAGTGTCACCATTGTGTGGAAGCAGGGGAAATGGGAAAAGACATCACTGCCAGGTGACAGGGTGGAGATATGATATGAGGCAGGGCCAACCAGGTTTCATGATAATGATTTTGATAGTTGTCTGGATGGTAAAAAAATAAAATGTAAGATTGATTTGGGAGATGATTTTGCCACAGAGGAAAGAATAAAACATAGAGATCTGAACTGGTTTTATTCAGTTTGTTCTTGACTTCCTTCCTCTGTTTAGACAGCTTCCCAAAGGACGGCTGATCATATTTTCTGGGTTTTAAATTTTGGGCAGTTATTTCCCCTACTATGAAATTTGAACCATAGGGATATCTAGCACTAAAACCTCTCTTGCAAAAGCTTGAGACCCTAGTGACAGAGGGTGCCCTGAGTAGCCCGTTTAGCAGCCCCAGTATCAGTGCTGGTCTCTACAAGCTGCCAGTTCAGCAAAGGGTATTTATGAAATCTTATCAGAGATTTCCAAGGCTTCACTAAATACATTTGCCTGGAATGCTCACATCATTGTAAACCTTTCAACCTGTTAGAGCTATTTAATAGCGGAAGACCATTTATTCAGCTTATTGAAAATTAATTACTTACATTACCCAGGTTTGCAAGGGGAAAATGAAAAGGCAATGGAGAGGCAGCAAGGGAGATAAATCCTGTTCACCAAATTCTTTTTCCCTTTCTTCATATTTTCCAGAGCCCATATATTGAGAGGTGGAGAGAGCTGAAAATATTATTCATTTTGTATCTTATTGTATCTTGCAATGTGTTGTCTAACATTTTGGAAAAGTGTCAACTTTCCAATTATTTTACTGAGCCAAAAGTAAATAACCAAACATGAAAAGTGGGAGTGTTTCACACTAGGAAGTAATTTAGAGAGTCTGATGAACGAATGAATGAATGAAGTCTTCCATCCGAAGCCTTTTGCTTTCCATTGGCCAGGTGTTTGCTTAGGAAATTGGGATATTTTACGTTTCCTCTGTCTCTTTGTGAGATAGATGTGTGGTTTTGCTTAATGAAGCTAGAGGGTGTGTAGAAACAAACATTGCACTTAGTCTGGAGGCAGTAGGGTGGGGGGACAGTGCTGAGCATCAGATTTTCAGCTTCTGGGACCCTCCTTCAATATATTTCAAAAAGTGGAATAAACGTCTAAATGTAACTTTTTATTAGAACATATGTCCTTGCTTTTATTTTGCCTTTATAGTATGGAAAAATATTATTTTGACAATATTTTATCATCACTGATGTAGGGAGAACAAGCACAACGGATAAACAAAATCCACAGTCATTCAAAAATTTCACTTCATGCTACAGTTTTAAATCCTTTCCTGACTGGGAAAACAACTAAAGAGGCAAATGGAGTATTTCTGTATCTTTGTGTCTCCCTGTTTTTACCCATTGGGAATAGCAATTGTGGAAACACAGTTAGCGTTAGGGAGGAGAATTCCTATAGTCGTCCTATGAATACTTGACTGTTAGAATGAAATGTATATTATTAAAGCCTGATTCTTACTCTAATAGGAAAAGTAATCTTAAAAAAGGCATATTTAGGAAAGCAACCCTGATTTTTACTTAGGAACTTCACATTTTCAGATGCTACTTCTAATATAATGGTAACAGATACATTTTGAAGCACATCTTGGGATAGAATTACCGAAACTTGTCTTGATATCTGCAGACTATAACCCACATCCAATTCATTTTCTGCTATTTTTCAATAAGTAATTAAAGAAGAATCCCCCGAGTTATCTAGTCTGCTATTGTGGGCCATTTGCTATCAACTCAAAGTTCTCAATTAGCTCCAGTGTTGTTATAATTACCGGACGTGTTTTCAAACAACTCCCAGTTAATAACTGTTGGGATGGAGTCATTTTCTCACTATAGACTAGACTGTGCACGTTCTTGCTTGCTGTGATGTTTTGACAATGATTCATTAACCAATAATAAGGCCCCAATTGGAACCATTAAGCATCAGTGCCTTTGCTAGGCTTACCTTTTATTTTGTTCCTCAATATTGTCTTTTCCTGACTTGGTTTCTGGATAACTCCCAAGAGACTCCTTACTATACAAAACAATATCAGGAAGACAGCTGTCATTAAATTCAGCTACTTGTAAAAAAAAAAAAAAAAAGCTCCCTTTAAAAGGATGCTCTTGTTGGAAACTCAAGATGGAAAAACACAATTAAAAGGAGGCTTTAATAAGAGAGAATACATGGTTTAAATGTCTTTTATTTGCACCAGTTTATAGACATTAGGCAGATTAGGTACTATGTCTTTCAATGGCATGTATATAACATCTAGTCAAATACAGGTGCTCCATCATTACATCACTTAAGTTTGAAGTTTTTTGTTTTCTAATTGGCAGATTATTTTTTGCTTTTGAATATTTGAAACAGAAATGCTATGAATTGATCACTGATCCAACTTGGGCCTATAAAAGATCACTATTGTTGTCATTAGTACAATTTACTTTAAAACAGGAGCAAAAAACGTGTCTGTCACTCCCTGTTTTTGCAAAATCTCTCCCCTTAGTTTTATGGTAGTTTAGTGACATTCTGCTGTATTTCACTATTGTGAGATGACGTGGAGCCAAATGAAGGGCCACTTTGATCCATTCTTTGATTTCAACCCCAAACTTTCTGCAAATATGTTTTATTTCCTAGCCAAAGTTATTTTAGATGCCACATGGCACTATATAAAGAATTTTAATGTTCTAGAGTCTTATGTACTGGATAGTAAAGAGTTGCCTTGGGGGTAAGAATCCTGTGAAATGTTGTTTGACATGAACTGAATCACTTAAGCTGCTTCAGCCAAATTTGGGTTCTTGACAGTAGGTGTGAAAGTGAAGGATTTAACAACGCTTAAGCTAACAGAAAAACAGTATGGGAAGTTTTTGAAATGTTCTGGAAAAAAAAAAGAAAATAAATAGTGTCTCTTTTATTGGTCAGTTTCTAAGTTTGAGTTGCTTTATATGTGTATTCTACTTTTATCAATGTTGTAAGGAAGTTGGCAGATTGTACATGCTAAAAAACTATTAGGTACATAGTAATGCATATTTCTAAAAATTGAACTTGGTGGAAATTCAGGTCCAAAATAGAAATTCATAGCAACTATATGTTGCTCATCCACACAGAGAAACAAGGACAACCTCTTTCCATAGACAAATAAAAAGTACTATTCCTGGTGTTCAAAGATGGGAGATTCAGACCTGGCTCCCCTCCCATTACTCTCAGTAGGACTGATGGACTTCCGAGTCATGTAACCTTTCTCTTCACCTCCATTTCATCTTCTGAAAAACTGGCAGTTGAATGTGACAAACTTTCCAAGCTCTAAACTATTTTAAGATAATACAAATGGAATATTTAAAAATTTTACCCTATCCCTTTAAATATGAATGTCTCTATATGCATTCTTTTTCTCTTCCAAATTAAGTTCGAATTTAAGGCCATTTCGGAAACAATTAATGAAGGTTATTCATTCTACCTCATATTTCTAGAAATGTCTTCATGCACCTAGAAGGGCCTCTTCTCTTATAAATACATTTTAGGAGTAGTTTTGGCCTGTGATTTTCCTGTCTAATGCCTCATATATTACATTTTCCAAATCCCACTGAAACATGATTCACCAGTTTTCTGTTTATCTTCAGATACTTGTTATCTTTGCAGACTCTCAATTCTAACTGCTTTCAGTTTTAAGAGAAGGTTTCATACAGGCATCTTTTATGCTACATTTTGGTATATGTAAAATGTATACAACATAGGAGTACATTTCCAAAGCTAGTCCTTACACCACACGTATAGATAAACAGATTTTCCCCAAATTGATGTTCAAATTATCCACTTCTGGATATGCCTATCTAAAAATGTAATGTCCATCTAATATAAGGAAGGAAGTAGAAAATTAAACTCTCCAGTAATGATTTTAAGACTGGGAATTCTTGCAATATTAAAAAAGATTTAAAAACTAAAAAATATTTATTAACATTTGTATTCAGTAGTAAACTATGGAATGCTTTTGTCTTATCTATTTTTGTGTGTGTGAAAACACACATTTGACAATATTTTAAGATATTTGTGATGGCAAAATGGCCAGCAAATTTATGTACTTGGAGTAAGGAGCTTTGATAAAGTGTGTCTCTCAGAGTTGCCTGCATTAGGTGTTTCTGGACTTGTTGGAGGGTTTCTAACTAATGTCTTGATGCTCTGTTAGAACAACATTAGGATTTGTTCTATCTGAGCAGGCACAGCCAGATGTACCTTCATTTTTTTTCAACTTTATTCTTTATTTATTTGTGTTTCATTCAATTGTCACTTTATTGCAAGATGGTAGAATTAATTACAAATTTAAACTATAACCTGGTAATCTTTAGTCAGGCACCAAGATTTAACAAAGGCAAACTGCTTATTCAAAAGTGATCATAGGGCCAGGTGTAGTAGCTAACGCCTGTAATCCCAGCACTTTGGAAGGCCAAGGTGGGCGGATCACCTGAGATCAGGAGTTCAAGACCAGCCTGGTCAACATGGCGAAACCCTGCCTCTACTAAAAGTATAAAAATTAGCCGGGCGTGGTAGTGCACGCTTGCAATCTCGGCTACTCGGGAGGCTGAGACAGGAGAATTGCTTGAAGGGAGGCTGAGACAGGAGAATCGCTTGAATCCAGGAGGCGGAGTTGCAGTGAACCGAGATTGTGCCACTGCACTCCAGCCTGGGTGACAGAGCGAGAGTCTGTCTAAAAACAACAACAACAGCAAAAAAAACAACAATAAAAAAATGATCATGGAACAACTCAAATGCTGAGTAAGAAGGATGGGAAACATCTGATTGGCCAATAGATTGAGTTCTCTCAGTATAGGGAACAAATGTTTCATTTTTAGGAGATATAAACTATCTACTTCAGTAGAGGGCAATACAGAAAGATTTTGCCACATAGCCTAGTTTCCATTTAGTCAGTCAACTGTTTCTGGCTCTCTCAATTGGGATAGATACATTTACATAACTGGCTGTGCATGAGTCTTCTTTGCCAACAGCTTTAGGTCCCAAATGCACTTGGCAATTGTCTCCTTTTCCTGTTGTGCAGAGATGCTCTGCACCCAATTTATCATGTGCTCTTGTTCCTTTCAACGCATCATGTTCTGCACAGATATATGATAGTCCAGGCGATTCTTTACTTCCTTATACACTCTATGCAGTCATTCCCAGTAAGTAACCTCCACAGCCATAGCAATGTTATTCCTCTGCACATCAAAAAGGTAATGGCGCTTCTGAACCAGTGAGCGCTGCGACTTCTCCAAATCAATTGCATCCTGGATTTGTTTGATGGAAGCCTGCTTCACCTCTTCTAGTTGGGCAATGTTTTGCTCATTGAGTTGATAAGCAGATTCTCCAATAGAGGCACCATATTTTTAAATTACATAGACAAGTAACCCTACTATTGATATAGTAGAAAAGGTCTCTGGGGTAATCATGTATATTTCTTTGGATAAAGCATACAAGATAAGCCCAGTTTGGAGCACATAGGGTCCTGTTACACTGGTTTCAGGATAAAGAAATTGGAAGAATTCCTCAGGGATCAGCCCAAAACGAACTTTTCCTCTATAGGAAAAGGAAGGAAGAGGTGGTAGAGGGGCAAGGAGTGGCTTCCCTGTGTGAAAGGTCCTTGTTGCCTGCAATACCCCTGGACCTAAGAAAACTGCATTCTACAGAGAGGGGGCCACTGTGGCAGTGGCAGAAAGTGCCACCCAGGACAGCATGGTCAGCGAAGACCCAGGCAGCCAGCTGTCTTAACATCCCTGTGACCCCGACCAGAGAATCTGTCAGGGCAGGAACCTTTTGTTGTTGTTGTTCAGACAGAGTCTTGCTTTGTTGCCCAGGCTGGAGTGCAATGGTACAATCTCGGCTCACTGTAACCTCTGCCTCCCGGGTTCAAGCAATTCTTGTGCCTCAGCCTCCTGAGTACCTGGAACTATAGACATGCGCCACCACGCCTAGCTAATTTTTGTATTTTTAGTAGAGATGGGGTTTCACCATGTTGCCCAGGCTGGTCTCAAACTCCTGGCCTCAAGCTATTCAACTGCCTCAGCTTCCCAAAGTGCTGGGATTACAGGCGTGAGCCACTGTGCCCGGCCTCAACTTAATATATATAAGCCCTTTGCCAAACTTGGAGATTTTAGTAATATTTTGAAATGTTATCACAAAATTTATGGATGACTGAGTTCATTTTAGGAGAAACTGAAATGTTTATACTTGTTTTTCTTACTAGGAAGGTAAGAGAGAAACACAGCTACATTTATTTCTGGGTAACTTTAAGGTTTCCATTATGCTAAGGAATGGGGTAGAGATGAAGAAATCAAAAGATCAATATAAAACAAAAGCTTTATTCTCTAGTTATTATTCAGCTCCAATTCTAACTGATTTGAAAATAAATAATTTAAAAAATTTTCTTCCTAGAAAGTAAAATATGGCACCATAATCCAATTGGGCCTCATATTTTAAATCCTGCAGAAAGCAAACATGGACGGCAGATAGATGATAATAATAGGCCATTACTCTCAACGCAGAGAAGGTGGTTGGCGTTTCTTTTCTCCACGTTCATTCCTGGACCATTTTTGGTCTCCTTCCTATCAAATGTTGTCTATACGATGTGAAGGACTTTGAAAGCAGCCACAGCCTGTTTTTCCCTTTCGTGTCTGTTCTGCAGTATTTCCAGCAGTGAGATTTCAGGTAAACTTTCTTCTTTCCCAGCATAGGTTGGATTTTTTTGTTCCTTTGATGCTTGATGAGTCAGATTTGATGGTTTGGGTTTGGGGATGGTCTTAGCGTATTCCAAAGCCTAAACGCATAAAGATGAAATTTTATTTGAAATGGGAAGTGAGCCTGGATTCCTTAAATTAAATCTAGGAAATGTTTATTTATAATATAAATGGAGACTATCACTATAACTTACTAAGACATTGGTGGAAATGGAGATCAAACAATGCAATATAACACACAGTTTAAACAAAATACATTAGCCACAAAACAATATATTGTGGAAAAAAAGGAGTTGAAGAATAATACATACGGTTGTGTCCTTTGGATGCTTTTGTCATAAAACTGAGTTTCCTTCAAGTGTTCCTTCTTATGTGTTTGGTCTACTTAGTTTCCGGAAGTCTTAGTAAAACCAAACTTCTATTAAGGAGATATTAATAGACCTTTCTATCCAAAGAAGACTTGTTACAGCTTGAGACCAAAGACATCACTGTAGTTTACATACACTTGAGCTCCCATCATTATACCAGCTATTCTTGTTCCTAGGATCTAGAAAGTATTTGAGGTTGAAATTTTTTTCTTTCTATAGCAATCTAGACGCTGAAAAAGGCAGTCTTTTTCTCAGTGATGTCAGTTCTGAAAGGCATTACAATAAAAATGAGATCACTAAATATGATTCCTAAACCTGCCTTTATAACAGTTTTGCATTTTAGTAAGATGTTGTTGATAGCTGAAATACAAATGGATTGTATGCTTTCAGTCCTGCAAGGGGAAAAAAAAACCCTCTAAAATGTAGAAAAGAAAAGTCTAGACTTCTCAGTGCATGTAGGTGAATGCTACAGATATTTCTAATTATAGGTTTGTTGCCTTGAAACTCTTCATGAAAAAAAAATGGATTGGAGAAAAAAGAAAAAGTAGCACCATAGAAACTCAATCAAGTGGATTGAGGTCTTCAAGGTCTGAGGAAGAAAGGCAATAAATAGAAAATATGATGGTCTGTGAAAGAGAACATGAAGTACAAATTCCTGCAGGCACCAAAGGATCTCTTGTTCCTCATGCAAAGGGTCCCGTGTCCTTACAGGGACTGGATAGATCAATTGAGGCAGAGACTTGTACTGCAAAGCTCTGTGTACATATTTCATTCACATCACAACTGATGGTTGATGCCATCTGAGAGGGAGAACATTCTGTATTCCATGAAATCATTTTTCTTCAATAGAGGAACCTATATATTACAATCCCTATGGAGAGTGTAGGGGAATGAAGTTGAGAGAAACAGTGTTTATATGTCTTTTCTTTGACATATAAGCAGCAAGAAGACAACAACTGCCTTAAAGCTTATTTAATGATACAAAATAAAATTGATGATGAAGCTTGCTCATTTAAGAAATCACATTATTATTTAATTTTTATGTGTGACACATTTAAAATACTATTCCTGGAAGAAAAGACATGGAGACAATAACTTCAGGAAAAACAAAGGTTAACTTTACAAAAGTGTGTGTGTGTGTGTGTGTGACTGTGTGTGTGTCACTATTGCATTGCTATCTGTGAATGATGGGTAGCTACAGGAATGGAAGTAGCTAAAACATCTCCTGCGTTCCAAAAAAATGGGAAGGTTTTTTTTTTAAGTTACAAGAAAACGGGCTGGGTGTGGTGCCTCTCCCAACACTTGGGGAGGCTTAGTTTGGAGGATAGCTTGAGCCCAGGAGTTTATGACCATCCTGGGCAAGACGGCAAGACTCTGTGGCTAATTAAAAAAAAAAAAAAAAAGCGATAATAAAAGTTTCCTTTTAATTCTGCTTGAAAAAATAAATGCCTTGTTGAGAATTTCTTACCTTCTGCCGAGGGATAGCAGATTTCTTTTGAGTTTTTTCTGTTTGTGGTTTTGATAGAATGGATAGTGTCTTCATGTTGTACTCCTTGACTTGTTTTGCATATTCCTTTTGCTGTATTAATTTTTGCGTCTGTTCAGAGAAACAAAGTTATGATGAATCCAGGTGCTGCTAGTTCTCTCTGCTCTCTATTTAAAGCGATGCCCTGGTTTCAGTATACTGGGCGTATCTTATCAGCTGTACAGGAGCAATGGGATCACCTTGAGTAAGGTGGCAGCAGTGAAATGGTTAAGTTAATTGTTTCTCCTTGAAATAGTCTCTCTGTGAGGAGGCACATCACTGCAATATCACGCCCGGTATTCCCTTAACAGGGGCTAAATCACATTCAGAACCTTCTTTGTTGCATTTACCCAATTTATTTTCATTTTTGCTTCCAACTTTGAACTATACTCTCTTTTTATGCCTTGAGTGCAACTGCAGTTAAAACACATTAAATGAAGATCTCCTTTCACTAGAGGAAAGAGAATAAAGTGGATGCACTTTTCAGGGGTTGGGAAACTCTTCCCGTAAGTGTCTTCTCTGTGGCCACTCTTCACAATTATCAAGATAACTCTAGTAGGAAAGACCAACAACCACATAACATACACATTTCTTTTCAGGTGCACAGGCCCCACTTTTCCGTGCGGGCCTTCAAAACTAACTGAAAGACAGATACATAAAACAACACGGGCTAAATATTTTTATTTTAAGGCAAAAGGCACGTGTCTGGGTCTCTATACCAAGATTATTTCAGAAGGTCTCTATTCAGAGTGAGACATTTGAATTAGGGTTTAATTCTGGGGGGCGTCTTCATAAAGTTTCCTAACAGACAGATGGGCTGAGTCAGGTCTGGAAACACTGTATGTGCATCTCACTCACTTTGTCTCTGATGGACTCAAAGTCAGGTCCGAGGCCTCCAAGCTTCACGTCTCTTTTCTGATAACCTTTCAGCTTGGTGTTCTAAAAATACAACCACAGAAACAGTTTCTTTTAAGGACTTGTGTGTCCCCCGACTCCTAACACCCTGTAAGGTGTCATAGCCACATAAAGTAAGAAAGAAAATAATGAAAGCCTGTGTGCACTGTCAGAGAATGGCCGCATTTCCTGACAATGCTTCCATTTTCATGGTAGTTATTGGTAATAGTCTCTTTGGTAATTCGTAGCTGGTTAGCTAACATGTTTTCACTTTTCCACTTCTGCAATAAAGAAACTTAAAATTCTGAAATTACAAATAAAAGTTTTCAAGCTAGTGATGTCCTGTTTTCTTACGAATGTTTTTTATTTTATTTTTTTTTTTTTGGAGATACCTGGTTTTGCTGTGTTGTCCAGGCTAGACTTGAACTCCTGGGCTTGAACTCCTGAGCTTAAGTGATCCTCCCACCTCAGCCTCTTGAGTCGCTGGGATTACAGATGTTAGCCACTTCACCTGGCCCTTGCTATTAACGTTTTTAACACAACATATATGTTATTACTTTGCCACTGTTCCTATTACCATTTTGTCCAGTCTTAGACAGTTTACTGGGCCAAATGACTTCCCTGGAAGAAGGTATCTAAATGCACCAGATAAACACAGTGCTTCAAAAAGAGAATACCCTGTCCAATGATGTCACAGCATTACCCGTTAGAGACAATCCAGAAGAGAAGTGAAGAAGGTAGCAACCTTTCAAGTTTTGCTATTGATTATTGGGGGGAAAAGATAATTTTAAGGGAAAAACAATGATAATCTATTTATAATATTCAAGAGAAAAGTAAGTGTTTGAGAGTCTTGGCAAGACTCACTAAGAAACTCATATTGTTCATTCAGTGTGATTTCAGATATTTTGAAGGGCACATAGAATTGAATATGACAACTCTTATTAGTATTGCCCATTTAAAAGGACAGAAAGCAAGAAAGTGAGACAACTGACTGATTAGATTATGGCACCTGAGCACAATAATAGGCAGGAAAAAACCCTAATATTCTACTGCCTATCTGTCTCCTGATAGATTAAGATATTCCCCAAACCACTGCTTTCAAAATTAAAACTGAAGCTTAGGCTGGGCGCGGTGACTCATGCCTGTAATGCCAGCACTTTGGGGGGCTGAAGTGAGCAGATCACCTGAGGTTAGGAGTTCGAGACCAGCTTGGCCAATATGGTGAAAACCCATCCCTACTAAAAATACAAAAATTAGGTGGGCGTGGTGGCAGGCACCTGTAATCCCAGCTACTCGGGGGGCTGAGGCAGGAGAATCGCTTGAACCCGGGAAGCGGAGGTTGCAGTGAGCTGAGATTGCAACACTGCATTCCAGCCTGAGTGACAGAGAGAGATTCTATTTAAAACAACAACAACAACAACAACAAACCCTGAAGTTTAGACTCGCTACTTCCCCTTACAGGGAACTCACATCCTTTTTAAATTTCAGTTTGTTACTTAATTTGGTTTCCTTTTTGGGAAGGATAGGAAAGACGATATAAAAGAGGTGGTTGGATGACAGTAATTTCTTAAGGCACACGTAAGTTACTACTTAAAATGGAGAAAAATCAGCCACATTGAAGAAGCAGCTGTTGTGTACCTAACTGTGGATGTTAGTCCCTGTCTATATGTTAATGACAAAGCACAGGATTTTTATCAATTTTGAAATCTCCTGTTAATTTTAAAAATTTTATCTATTTATTTAGTTTGAGGCCAGGTTATGAGACTGTCTAATTTTTGTACTTTTGGTAGAGATGGGGTTTCACCATGTTGCCCAAGTTGGTTTCAAACTCCTGGCCTCAAGTGATCCACCCACCTCGGCCTCCCAAAGTGCTGGGATTACAGGTCTGAGTCACCGCGACCAGCTGTGCTCCTGTTAAGTACTAAGTCCTAAGATATACATCTAACTTGCCCTTTTCTAAGACAGAATTTAGCAGAGGTCGTCCAGAGACTTAAAATAGGACATTTTCTCATATTAGGTATAATTATTGCATATAACTCTCCAATCTTAAAAATGAACTTGTGTAAACACACTGTATCAACCACTACAAGAACATGTCCTACTCACTGTGGTCTACTGAGTACCCAGAGTCATCCCAATTCACTTCTCCACTGCCACTTCCCACTGTAGATGTTCAAAAGACAAACATTCTCCTCAGCACTGAACTCTTGCCCATGAAGTCTAAGCAAAAGTTTGCTGGGGTACAGTGTATATTTTGGAAAGCTTTAAGGCTGTGGTAGCCCCTTCCCTTCCCTTTCTTGGTAAGGATGTGATTCCTGGAGCTGGAGCTGCAGCAGCAATTTTGCAGCCAGGAAAAAGGAGAATCACAACAATACTGGTTCTGATGTTCTGAGCTGTGGAACCACCAGTGCTAGCAATCACTTGTGGACTAATTGTATGTAAGAAGAATGAACTCATATTTCAGAAATCACTGTAAATGGTAATTGTGTTACTTGCCCACTGAAGGCAATATTCCTAACATCTCAGCACTTTTATGTTGCATTAATAATTTAAAAGGGCCAAAATGATGTGCTACATAGGCAACACTTCTACACTACAAGGATTCAAAGTTCTGTAAAATAGAATTTGCCCCATTAGAATGTTAAACATTTATGGTCAATACTCTAATTCTAATTCTAAAAAGTAAAACAAGATTCTTAAGGAAGGCTTTGAACTAAAATCATTAAAAAATTAGTAACATTAAAGTATGCAGAAGACACACTGTTCATTGAAGGGTATTTCAAAATCATACATCTCCTTTAAGAAAACAGAAGTCACTACTCAGCAAAACCATGATAGCTGCTTCCTCTCCATTATATCTGTCTGTTCATACTTTCATACAATTGTCCATTCACTATGAATTCTTATTTTTTCATTTCATTTCTTTTTTTTTTTTTTTTGAGATGGAGTGTCACTCTGTCATCCAGGCTGGAGTACAATGGTGCAATCTCGGCTCACTGCAACCTCCACCTCCCAGTTTCAAGTGATTCTCCTGCCTCAGCCTCCCAAGTAGCTGGGATTACAGGCGCCTGCCACCATGTCTGTCTAATTTTTGTATTTTTAGTGAGGCAGGGTTTCACCATGTTGGCCAGGCTGGTCTCGAACTCCTGACCTCAGGTGATCTGCCTGCCTGGGCCTCCCAAAGTGCTGGGATTACAGGGGTGAGCCACTGTGCCCAGCCCAAATTCTTATTTTTTCTAAGCATTTTAGTACTATAGTACATTTTTTCTGTCAGTATATATATATTTTTAAATGTGAGTTTTATGCATAACATTCTATTGTCTAGTTTTGTTGGACTGTTTAGCTATTTCTCTAAATGTTGAACATTTAAGATGTCCTAGGGTAAGCATTGTTTTTCTGGGCTACTTTGATTATTTCTTTGAGATACGTTAATAGCCATAGAATTATTGAAATAAAATGAATATGTTTAAGGCCATCAATTAACACTTCCACTAACAATGGAGCCACAAGATTGCTCTTTTTGTCCAAACCTTGATTATACTGGGTATTTTCACATTTTAAAACCTTTACCAATTTTCAATAGGTGAATGAACTCAGACAACTTATATTTCACAATTGCAAATTTGTTCTTTCTCTCACGTATGCCATCTGTATGGTTGTTTTGCAGTCACTGAATTACTATCTATTTGCCAAAGTAAACCAATGATTAAAAGGAAGGAAAAAACCCTGCTCATGTCCAAGTCATAAATCCAATTTGTCCAAAGATGATGAGAAAGAAATGATCAGTGCTCACAAATCACATCCTAAGTCTGAAGCAGCTTAACTTCTAATCATTCCACTGACTTACAAAAGACACATTGTGATGCATGAATAATTGCCCAGTACTCTCCAGCCACAGTTCTTACTATTAACTCCAATAAACATGTTGGCTATCACAGAAAACCAGAGCCAGGGTCTAGTATTACACCTCGATATGAAGGGACAGAGTGTGGCCTAAAGGGTGATCTCCAAGTGCTGCTGATCCCTTTACAGGATGGATGAAGTGCTTATAGCAACGGGACCTTTCTCAAGGGACGGTGATGGCTCCTAACGGAGTTTGTTCTGGGTGACTGGCAATGAAAAATCTTGGATTTACTTAAGGTTGGCGCAAGTAATCTTGATTTGTTCTCAGAGGTGCAATTTTGTTTGATCTCTCTCCATCAAAAGTCTTTTTAGCAGCTTATTGAGATATAATTCACATACCACAAAATTTACCCACTTGAAGTTGTACAATACAATGGTTTTCAGTATATTCACCAAGTTGTGTAAACATCACCACATTCCAATTTTAGAACATTTTCATCACCCTGAAAAGAAATCCTGTCCCCATTAGCAGTTACTCCCTTTGCCCCCTCCGCCTCCAGCCCTAGGCAACCACTAATCTACTTTCTGGCTCTTCAAAAGTCTTTTATAGTAAAAATAATCCCCAGAATTTACTTTGATTTACCTCTCCATGGCTGTTACAAGACTAAAAGGTCATAGTAACACAATACTAAAAAAAAAAAAAAAAAGTAAATCAACAATGATAGTCTTGTTAAGTCTCCAAACACAAGGGGAACAAATTGGAAAATACAGGCATGCTCTCAACCAATCCCTGATGAGATTTGCTGCTAGTCTTTGTATAAGATGCACATGAGCTGGCATCTACCGACTCTGGCACCATCTGAGGATTGTTAAGGCCAGACCAGCCCCTCTGCACTGGTGTTCACACTTGATTGCTTTAGTGGAAGATGGCATAGGACTCTCCTGATGCAAGGTTTGTACCAGGAATTAACCACAGTTCTTCTCAAGACAGCAGAGTTTTTAATTGTAAACTTGGGACACAGTGTGCCCCGACTGGAAGTGACATTGACTGTTCAGTGAGGACCTGTTTCAACTCTGAAAGGTGGTACCCTGCTGTGGGGGCCACTGCAGAGCTATTCTCCAGAAAATTCCTCAGATGTGTAAGTGTGAGAAAGTTACTGAAAAACACGACAAAAAACAATGCCTCAAACACTGTGGAACAGCAAGTGAAGGAAATTTGCTCTGCAGTTGCTAAACTTAATCCAAATAAACCCCTTCTTAGAAGCAGTCAAGCAGCAATGCCCAGATTGTCTGTGACAACAAACACATGAGTTAATTACTTCAGCTCAGCACAGTTAGCTGTCAGCAAACTCCTGAAGCAGTCATTTTGTGGTGGGTTGCAACAGATATTTTTATACTGTTTGCCATCCCTTGATCCCTGACTGCCTGATGTCTAGATTTCATGGCATGGACAATGCCTGGCATTCGGAACTCAGTTACAACAGAGCTGTCAGGAGAAGAGGAAGGGTGCTTGGGCCTATTATCTTTACAAATCCTCCAAGTTTTAATGTGATTCAGGGCGATTCTCTTGGAAACCAAAAGATTTGACGTGACCAGCAAATGGCCATGACCTGGATAATGATCCCCTCTGTCTGGTGCCTTGACTACCTGCTGTCCTATACAAATAGCTCATTTCTAAGTCATTTTAGCTTCTGGAATAGCTTAAAGGACAAAGAGCACTTCTGTGAATTTGTCAGATGTAAGCTGAAAGTGCTGGATTGAGAAAATGGATATACAGATTGTAACATTCCTGATAGAAAGCAGGAAGGGGGATGTCCCCAGTTGGAAAGATGGCTGGGAAGGCAGCAATTGCAAATTTTCCTTCCTCTCCCCTGACCTCCCATGCGCTTAGATTTCTGGTGACACACACTGTCGTCGGAGTACTTTCCTCTACTTTTCTCAGTAAAACATAAATTCAATTAACTAAAAGAAGGGGAAAGGAAAAGGAAACTAACATTTAGTTGATGTCTTCTTTGCTAGGGACTAAGCTGTAGTTTTAATACATTATTTCACTTAACATCACACTAAGTCTACAAAAAGAAAGAATAATTCTGATTGTGTAGATGAAGAAATGAGGGCTCAGGTGAATTAATAACTTGTCCAAGTCATAAGAGATATTGGGAACAGAGATGAGAACCTAGGAATGAATGGGTCCATGGCTTCCTCTAAATCTTGCCGAGTGAGAATTGAGCTCAAAAGCTTGCATTTTCAGCAACAACCCATCATTGGCAAGAACCCCAACCTGGAAGATTCTCTTGTGAGCTAGTGTGTTTGAGCTAAATTTAGTCCCTGGTAATCTATATGTACTGCAGTGAATAGGCTGTCCTCACCTCGAAAATGTGTTCTGAATACATGTCCTTATAGAAATAATACGGATGATGTCCAGCTTCCCAGTCAAGTCTTCAAAACCTACTTTATTCACAAAACTCTTGAAAACAGTGCTAATAGTACCTTACAGCCTAACTACCATGTAATGATGTTTCTGTGGAAAAAGAAGTTACCTGTGATTAAAAAAACACGTTTGTAGCTGGGCGCAGTGGCTCACACCTGTAATTCCGGCAATTTGGGAGGCCAAGGCAGGTGGATCATCTGAGGTCAGGAGTTCGAGACCAGCCTGGCCAACATGGTGAAACCCCATTTCTACTAAAAATACAAAAATCAGCCGGGTGTAGTGGTGTGCGCCTGTAATCCCAGATACTCCTGCTGAGGCAGGAGAATCACTTGAACTCGGGAGATGGAGGTTGCAGTGAGCCGAGATTGCTTCACTGCACACCAGCCTGGGCGATGAAGCGAGATTCTGTCTCAAAAAAAAAAAAAAGAAAAGAAAGAAAAGAAAAAAGGAACACCTTTCTCCTTACTTACAGTGGAACCGGGGATTCTCCCAGCTCCAAGTCACTAGTTGCAGATTCCACAGCGTGGGCACGGATAGGGTCCCGTCCCCAGCAGAGGGGAGGACATGAGAGCGTGAAGTTGGAATGAGGAGTTCAAAGATCCCCAGGTGGGGGTATGTGAAGGAGCTGGGGTAAGAACTCTAGGGTTGTGAGCTGAAGACCCGGGGTACACAGAGGGGCTCAAGATGGGAGCTGCAGGATTGGGGTGGGGTCATATCTCAGCCCCAAGACATCCTCTTTTTCTTCTCGTTAGTATCTCTTGCTGCCTGATCCAGGCCAGTTTCACTTTCTCTTTGAGGCCACCCCTTATCTTTTTCTCTAAAGGCCCCACTTGAGGATCCATGGACTTCATAATCCCATCACTTTCTGGGATGTCTTGCATCTGCCCTGCACACCATAGCCAGAGCTGCCTTTCTAAAATACAAATCCAACCAGTTTAAAATTCCTCCATGATCCCCCCGTCCTACACAATAAAGTACTTCTTTGAATGGAAAATGAGATCTTCTAAGACCTGGCCCCTATCCACCACTCCGCTTCCATCTTTCAACACTCCTTGCCTCCCAGGTTTAGTCACAAGGACCTGAAATGCTCTCATCCCCAGCATGCACCATGTTACAGCTTCAGAACCTTTGTTCGTACTGGTACTCCCGCCTGAATTGCTCTTGCAGTCTTCTTTTTTTTTTTGAGATGGAGTCTCACTCTGTCCCCCAGGCTGGAGTGCAGTGGCGCAATCTCGGCTCACTGCAACCTCCATCTCCCAGGTTCAAGCAATTCTCCTGCCTCAGCCTCCCGAGTAGCTGGGATTACAGGCACCTGCCACCACATCCGGTTAATTTTTGTATTTTTAGTACAGACGGGGTTTCACCATATTGGCCAGGGTGGTCTCAAACTCCTGGCCTTGTGACCTGCCCACCTCAGCCTTCCAAAGTGCTGGGATTACAGGCATAAGCCACCGCGCCCAGCCTGCTCTTGCAGTCTTCTTTGCCAACTCTTCATCACCCTCTAAGACGCAGTTCTGAATTATCTTCTGAAGCCTTGCCTGACCCCAGGTCAGGATATCAGTTTTCCTTTACGTTCCTCTGTGCTCCCCATGCATGCCTACATTATTATTATTACTTTTATTATTAATTAATATCATTATTTGTTTTTTGCTTGCAACATTATACTGCAACATAATAAGCATTTACACGTCTGCCTTCCCAAGCTCCATGCAACTGGAAGCTTCCTCTGAGGAGGGGTCATAGCTCATCTTTACATCCCAGCATCTTCCAAGTTCCTAGTAGAAATCATTATTATTATTATTATTATTATTATTATTATTATTAAGACAAAGTTTCACTCTTGTTGCCCAGGCTGTAGTGAAATGGTGCAATCTCGACTCACTGCAACCTCCGTCTCCCAGGTTCAAGTGATTTTCCTGCCTCAGCCTCCCCAGTAGCTGAGATTACAGGCACCTGCCACCATGCCCGGCTAATTTTTGTATTTTAGTAGAGACGGAGTTTCACCATGTTGTCCAAGCTGGTCTCGAACTCCTGACCTCAGGTGATCCACACACCTCAGCCTCCCAAAGTGCTGGGATTACAGGCGTTAGCCACCACGCCCGGCCTAGAAATTATTTAATAACAAACTGAATTCAACTTAGGAATGGTTTGCTTAATTCCTCTCAAGTGGTCTTAGCGCGGAGGCCCTTCTGTACTGAGGCACTCATTTCTCCAGACGCTGGGAGTGTTGTCTGCTGATGGCTCACAGCTGAGTTCCTCCCTAAACACTGCCTCAGCCACGTGGAGCTGCTGTGCACAAAGTGACCACCCTTCCCCAGGGGCAGTCACTATCCAATGGCAGGTTGGTATGGGAGAACAAAAGCCTGGGTCCCTTGCCTTCGAAGGGCCACCCCAACTTTAGAACCCTCAGAACCTTGGCCAAGGCTACTGCTGTGTCTGCATCACAGCCCATCTCTGCCCAGCCCCGCTTCCCTCACTCCCTTAAAGGTACCCCAGGTTGCTCTGCTAGAGACCTCCTGCATGCAAATCTCTATTTCAGTCTAGAGACCTCCTGCATGCAAATCTCCATTTCAGTCTGTTCCCTGAAAACCCAACTCACCACAGGCTTATTGCTTTCAACCAGGCCTTTCCCTGTTGCCTGTAAAACAGAATGCATTTCCAGCTTTTTTCTTATGATTTGACACTGGAAGCAAGTGACCTTTCCTGAGGGCTTTTTATTGCCAGTGACAGAAGAGAAATACACAGGACATAAAAAGTCCCCTTCCTAGGCGCCTTCATTTCTTACTGAAAACATTCTACTTTGGGTCCCCAATTTTACTTGTTAAATCATGTAGGCCCTATGAGAAAAGACTGAAGTGCGCAAAGGTGCTAGTAATGGTGATTTGAGACAAAGAACTCAGTAAAGGTCAGCTAATGTTTGAGAGGAAAGTTCAATCACTGGCCAGCCCAGGTATTTTACTGCAGAAGTTGGGGTGAGATTAGGGCCAAGATGAGTCCTCATAGTGGCAGATGGTGGGAAAATGCAATGGCAACAGGCGCTTTCACTCACTCAGCCCTACTTTCTCTACTTTTTAAGATATGAGAATGACCTGGGAAGAAATGATTTAATAACCATGAAGACTCAGGTTAGCATGGGGCTTGGGGTGGAGTATGGAAGCTTTCCTAAGGAAGAGATGTTTCAGCTGGGGATGAAAGGAGGAGTTCTGCCACTCTGCAAATGGAGACCTCTCGCCAAGATGACTTGAACAGGAGGGAGAAATGGGCATCCCTGGCAGCAACAACTTCTATTAAGAAGGGGAGGGAAACCCCAGGGAGTAGCAGGGGCAGGAGTAAGAAACTCCTTAGGACTCTGGGCGACCCAGTGTGGCAGCAACTCAGTAATGACCATCCCTATTCCAGGGCTATAATTACATCAAGGTCCATCTGTATTCTCAAAATGGAAGAGTTACTTGGTAAAAATGGCGCTTTTATTACCTTACTGCTGCTTCTTTTCTTATGCTTTTTTCCCTTTTCCAGTTGAAACAGATAGCCTTCAGAATTGCTACGGCTAATTTTCACTTGGTTTCTTTGGCTTCTCTCTGAACTGAGTTGGGATTCACTTTCTACCCTTGACAGTATAGGTGGAAGCGTGACGCTGGATAAGGCCCCTTCACTGGGCTGCACGTCGGTCAGCTGCACCAAGGCTTGCTGATGCTGCTCCATTATCTGGGTGAGCCATGAATCTGGAGAAGCTCTAACCGTCTGGCTGTCAGAAGAAGAATGGAATTTCCTTAATGAAAAAAAAAAAGGCACAAATCTATTAATAAAATCCAAATACATAAGACATCTAGCATAAAAGTCTTTATGAACCATTAATTTGATGTATTTATCACTCTCAAATCAAATTAATGACCTTTAGCTTAATCTTTTCATGAATACATTAATTTCTTATTTATCTTAAACTCCTCCTCTTTTTCCTTTAGGACAGTCTACATTTTATTTAGAACTTTTGTTTAGTGCATTCAGAATAGAAAAAACACCATTTTGAAAAATCAAAGACCTTCCCACTGCAAAATACCTAGAAATGTTGCATTACATTAAACATCCTTTAAACACATAGTTGAATTGGTAAGATAAACAGAAATCTCTAAAGACCAAAACGAACAAAAGGAATAAAAACCAAAGCAGATTTTAGATTAGCTGAAGTTATAGCTTTCTTTACAAGAGTTTTGGGTCTACAGGCTTGAGTTTTAATAGTTAACGCTGGTATAGGATATGCAAGATCTTGGTCCTGTGTGAGGCAGGGAATCAGAACTAAGATCGTTGTAAGAAGACTATAACTTGAGGTGCTACACCCTCAGTTAAAAGCTACATTAATTCAAAACCCATTCACCAGCCATGAGAAACAACAAGCAAGTCTGTCTGTCTTGGTCTCTGGGCTCTGAATAGAAAAACAACCCCCACTCTCTCCAAAAAACCCAACAACAACAACAAGCTCTTGTGAATATCTATAGGACAATATTTGGATTTCAAATTTACCTTACCCACATAATCACGGAAATCCAACATGAAGAAACTAATGTAACAATGATCTTGGATGAGGGATACTTCTGTAGTATCTGGCAGAAGCAAATACAAAACTTCTCTAGAGAAATACACTCCCACCCAAGCCTGCCTAGGTTTCCACGGAAAAGGTGGCTAAATGTAAGTTCACAATCCAAAGTCCTTGCCCGTAAGAGGAAATAATCTACCAAATATGAGAGTCAGCAGACACACATACACACACATACAAATAGCAATAGTAGACTTCCAAGAACTTCAGATGATAGAGATATTAGATAACATTCATAAGGTAGTTTAAAATGAGTAAAGACTTGAGAAAAGAAGCTAAGAACCTGAGAAACATATTTAAAAATCCTGTATTTTGGAAAAAGAACAGAGAGGTTTTAATGAGAACCAAATAGAAATTCTAGACATGGAAAATACCATTATTGAAATTTAAAACTCAGTGGATACATTAAAGAGCATATGTTGGACACAGGTAAAGAGAGATTTATTACACTGGAAAACTTATTTGAAGAAATTATTCAGAAAGAAGCACTGAGAAATAAAAGGTGTAAAATAAAAACAGTTAAAAAGGCACGAAGTCTAGAATAGACAATCTAACACACAGCTATTTGGGGTTCCTATAGGAGAAAATAGAGTAAATTTGAGAGACATAATATTCAAAGGGAACATGTGTGATAATTTTTCATTATTTATGAAAGAGATGAATCTTAAGATTTAGGAATTATAGAAGAGTCTCAGGCAGAATTAAAAATTTCATACCTAAGCATATCACAACGAAACTTCAGAACACCAAAACCAGAGGAAACACTTACAAACCAATAAGAGAAAATAAAAACAAAACAAAATAAATGTTAATTATATTGACAAAAGACTTTTCAAAGCAATGCAGAAACCAGGAGACAGAAAAGTAATGTTTTCAAAGAGTTGAATTCTTCACAATATTAAACTATAATTCAAAATAGTAAAATAAAGAAGTTTTCATGTAAATTTACCATACTTGCTAAAAGAACTTCTAAAGGATTTACTTCAGAATAAAGGGTAACATGGAAGAAAGGATGTGAGGCAGAGACATTAATAAACAATTGGCTAAATATAATACAGTATTAACTCATAATACAGTATTAACTCTAGACAACAATAATAAAAGCAGTGACTAATTTTGAATATATAAGGTGATAGAAAAGTTGTTGAACAAAGTAATATGTATGACAGGAAAGGTGATTGGATTAAAACAATCTAATAATTTTGAACATGTTCTAGAGGAGAATGGGAATATTAATTTAATGCTAGACTAGTTAAGTACATGAGTTACAATAAAAGAATATAAAGAGAATATATATTTGCAAATCAGTAGAAGGAAAAATAAAGAAAATTCTATCAGGTTAGTAGAGGATATAAAAGATATAGAGAAGTATAGAGAAAGTAGGGTGATTCGGAAGGACAAATTAAGACTGTAGAAATAAATTCAAAGGTATCAGTGCCACAATAAATGTAAGTAGCTTTTTTGGTTGGTTTGTTTTTTGAGGCATCGTCTCAGTTTATCACCCAGGCTGGAATGCAGTGGCAAGATTTTGGCTTACTGCAACCTCTGACTTACGGGCTCAAGTGATCCTCCCACCTCAGCCTCCTGATTAGTTGTGACCACAGGTGCACCCCACCATGCCTGGCTAATTTTTGTAGAGACAGGGTTTTGCCATGTTATCCAGGCTGGTCTCTAACTCTTGGACTCAAGCAATCCTCCCTTCTCAGCCTCCCAAAGTGCTGTTATTACAGGTGTGAGCCACTGCACCTGGCCTATAGTTTTAAGTCACTAGTTAAAAGTGAGTTTAAGAATGAATAAAGAAACAAAATCCAACACACTACTTAAAAGAGACTCACTTAAATCATAAGAAGACTGAAAAATTTGAAGATGATGGAAAAAATATACCAGACTCAATGCTAAATTTAAAAAGCTGGTGTAGCTGTATTAGTATCAGAAAGCATAAACTTTAAGAAAGAAGCATTATTAGGAATAAAAATATTGATTACATCAGGATTAAAAGAAGAATTCATCAGGAAGATATATCAATTATAAATCTGCATGTCCCTAATAACATAAGTTCAAAATACATAAAGCAAAAATTAATGGAATTGTGAGGCAAAACTGACAATTCTTAAAGAGGGAGATGCCACCTCACCAGTTTCAGTAACTGATATATCAAACAGAGAAACCTAACTAGGCTATAGAAGACTTAAAAGACCTATTCAACAAGCCTACTCGTACATAGAATGTAAGTATATAGAATGATGTAATCAACAACTGCAGAAAACAAATGAGGAACATTTGGTTACATTGACCAAAACGTTAGGCCAAAAACAAGTATCAAAAAATATCAAAAACTTGGTATCATGTGAATGATGTTTTCTGACAATAATTGTTTTGTTAGATATATAACAATAAATATATCTAAAATAACTTTATATGTTTTGAAATTTATAAACATACTTCCAAATAACTGATCATCCAAGAGGCAATCATAATGGAATTAGAAAATACTTAGAACTAGCTGAGCGAGGTGGCTTGTGCCTGTAATCCCAGCAGCTCAAGGGGCTGAGGCAGGAAGATGGCTTGAGCCGAGGAGTTTAAGACCAGCCTGAGCAACATAATGAGACCCTGTCTCCAAATAAATTTTAAAAAGTAGGTGGGTGTGGTGGAGCCTGTCTGTAGTCCCAGCTAGTGGGGAGCCTGAGGTGGGAGCATCACTTGAGCTCAGGAGTTGGAGACTGCAGTGAGCTAGGATCACTCCGTTGCACTCCAGCCTGGGCAACATGGTGAGACCCTGCCTCTAAAAAGAGAAGAAAATACTTAGAACTAAACAATAATAAAAATGCTACATTTTAAAACATGTGGGAAGCAACTAAAACATACTTAGAGGAACATTTATAATTTTAAATTATATTGGAAAAGGAGAAAGCCTTAGAAATAATGAGCTAAGCATTTAAAACAGAAGTTAAGGGCTGGGCACGTTGGCTCATGCCTGTAATCTGAGCACTTTGGGAGGCCAAGGCAGGTGGATCACTCGAGGTCAGGAGTTCAAGACCAGCCTGGCCAACATGGTGAAACTCTGTCTCTACTAAAAATATAAAAATTAGCTGGGCATGGTGGCGTATGCCTGTAATCCCAGCTACTTGGGAGGCTGAGGCACAATAATCGCTTGAACCCGAGAGATGGAGGTTGCAGTGAGCCAAGATCATGCCAATGCACTCCAGCCTGGGTGACAGAGTGAGACTCTGTCTCAATAAATAAATAACAGAAGTTAAGAAGTCAAAAACACTGAAGTAAATTCAAGCAATATCAAAGAAAAGAAGTAAATATATGAGAACAAAGATGGATAAAAGAGAAAACAAAACCAAAACATAGAGGAACAGTTGTTTTTGAAATGACAGATGAAATAGACAACCCTTTTGCAAGGCTGATCAAGAAAAAGAGAGAGAAAGCACAAATAAACTATTGTGGTTTCTTCTGAGTTAGGACAGAATAAATTTCTGCTTTGAAAAAGGAATTTCTGGCCAGGTGCGGTGGCTCACGCCTGTAATCCCAGCACTTTGGGAGGCCGAGGTGGGTGGATCACCAGAGGTCAGGAGTTCGAGACCAGCCTAACCAACATGGCGAAACGCTGTCTCTACTAAAAATATAAAAATTAGCTGGGCATGGTGTCACGTGCCTGTAATCCTAGCTACTTGGGAAGCTGAGACAGGAGAATCACTTGAACCTGGGAGGCAGAGGTTGCAATGAGCCGAAATTGTGCCACCACACTCCAGCCTGGGTGACAGAGCAAGACTCTGTCTAAAAATAAATAAATAAATAAATAAACTAAAACAAACAACAAAAAGGGAATTTCTATTTCTTGTCATGGTCCTTACCAAACAGGAGGCACACACAGTGACCTGCAGTCACACATCCTACAAGCAGCTGGTTACCATGTAATGTTTTACATATTCAAAAAATAAAATAAAATTTAAAATCAATGAGAAGAAAAGAAAATCCTAACACTGAATACAAAGCAAAACAAATGAATTTAACTGTATGTTAAACTGATTACCTCTACCAAGAGAAAAGAATTAATTTATGAAGTAATTTTGAGTCAATGTAGTTTGGTTGTACACCCTTAGAAGAATATAGAGGGAGGAAAAAGAATGGCAAAGAAATCATGAGCTTTACTTAGACTGACTGTTTGGTAGTGGTACTGGCATTGTAATTATAAAACTATTTGTACATATACTGTAGGGAAGGGTAAATGTGTAAACATATTGATGTTTTGGTAAACTAAGGTTTTCACTGTTGGAAAAAGGAGATACAAATATGGAAAAGGAGAAGCATGAGGAAGAACCCAGAGCTGTTGGATTTGAGGTATCTGTGTGACCCCACTAGTATACAGAAATATGTATTGGCATAGGCATAATTATAGAAAGAGGTTCAGGTACAGGTATTTTCTAGCTCTAACTGCTGAGATCTTGAGTCTAGAAGCAATAACATTTCAGTAGCAATGAGAACACATAGCTCTCAAATCTTGGTTTCTAAATTCCATTCCCTACTAAAAAGAATTAGGGTTTTTTGGAGAAACTGATGCTTCCACATGAGTTCAGGGGAAGTCCAAAGGTAAACCTAGAACATATTACTATGCCAGAAAACAAAGAAGTGCTCGAAGACAAAAGATGTTACATCAAAAGGACCCAGGAACTGGAGTGAAGGGGCTCCCACTGCTCAAATCCAAGACAGTGAGAACATATACAGTATAATGATGGTAATAGACTTTAACATGTTTATAGGAAAAGATTTATGAGTCCATAATGATACTAGAGAGAGAGGGAGAGAGAGAGAGAGAGATAAAGAAGGAAGGAAGGAAGGAAGGAAGGAGAAAAAGGAAGAGGAAAAGGTCTTATTTCAACAGCCATGTAATAAATGTATAGGTATTGATAGAATTACAAAATCACCATTTTGCAACCCCAGTGTAATGGATGATTTAGGTAAGCACTGTCAGTGGATGCTAAAACCACTGTACAAAAAGCTGTTGAAAACTAGGATAATTACACTGTCTCGAATATTAATAATTACTTATAAAGGGAAAATGTTCCTTTACAATGGGGAGATCTGGTAGTCGCTACCTTAATCAAAAGGTTTAACTTAGCATCACCAATAATATGATAGCCTGATAGTATGTATCCCCTGGTATAATGTAATAAAAAGTACACCAAATCACCCAAGTAGTATTCTTGCCTGAAATGGTCAACCTAAATATAACTATCCAAAAACAATAAATTTTTTCTAAAAAGGCAATGTTATAGAAAACAATGAAAAGTGAGCATTGGATAATTTGTTCTAGATTTTTTTTTCTTTTTTTGAGACAGAACCTCACTCTGTTGCCCAGGCTGGAGTGCAGTGGCAGGATCTCAGCTCACTGCAACCTCTGCCTCCCAGGCTGAAGAGATTCTCCTGCCTCAGCCTCCCGAGTAGCTGGGACTACAGGAGCCTGCCACCACACCCAGCAAATTTTTGTATTTTTAGTAGAGTGGGAGTTTCACCATGTTGGCCAGGCTGGTCTCGAACTCCTGACCTCAAGTGATCCACCGCCTTGGCCTCCCAAAGTGCTGGGATTACAGGTGTGAGCCACCATGCCCAGTCTGTTCTAGATTTTTTTTTTTTTAATTAAAGGGACAAAAAGTAAATGAAATGTATGAACACTGAATACTGGATCAGGAATTTAAAAAAAAAAAAGCTGTAAAAGGCTTTTTGGAGACAAGTAATACAATTTAAAAATGTACTGATACTACATGATATTGTGTACAATAACGTTAATATTCTTAGCTGTGATAATGGTGTGATTGTTGTATAAGACAATGTCCTTATTCTTAGGGGCTGAATGTTGAAATATTTAGAGATAAAATATTGTGATTCTGAACTTGCTTTCAAATGATTCAGTAAATAGATAGAAAATGTTGCAAAATTTTAGCACTGATGAATCTAGATGAAGGACTACAGGTGTTTATTGTAGATATTTTCCCCCAAGTTTTTACTAGGTGTGAACAATTTCAAAATGAAAAGGTGGTAGAAAAAACGTGGCAGAATAAGCATGCAATTTAACTCTCAAATGCAAATCAAAATTATATATAAAGAGATTTTTAAAAGACATCAACCCACGAAGATAAAGAGAACAAAATGGGGGGAAAAGAGCAAATATTTCGGAAGCAGAGAACAGATGGTTGAATGGTAACTATCTTAGCAGACTCAAAAAAGTGGAATCTAAGTTAGCAGCAGGGAAAGCAGAGAAGCCACAGTTTACACCATAGAATCCTGTAAGGCTCATGAGCTGTAAGTGGGAGTGGCGGTGGTGAAAGTCTATGTGAGAGTTACTTAAAAAAGATTTGGTTGAAAGTCTGTTTAAGAAGCAGTCAGGGTTGGGTGCGGTGGCTCACGCCTGTAATCCCAGCACTTTGGGAGGCCGAGGTGGGTGGATCACGGGGTCAGGAGATCGAGACCATCCTGGCCAACATGGTGAAACCCTGTCTCTACCAAAAATCCAAAAACTAGCCAGGCGTGGTGATGGGCGTCTGTAGTCCCAGCTGCTCAGGAGGCTGAGGCAGGAGAATCGCTTGAACCCGGTAGGCAGAGGTTGCAGTGAGCTGAGATCGTGCCACTGCACTCCAGCCTGGCAACAGAGTGAGACTCCGTCTCCGGAAAAAAAAAAAAAAAAAGAAGAAGCAGGCGGATCTCCAGATCATCTTCTCCATTTTGTGCACCTAGGCAACTGTCCCTTCCCTCTCTCCGCAGCTCGCTGGAGGTTTTCATTCTGAAGAAGCCAACAAGTCTTCTGCCTGTGAAGCACCAAGCACAGATAATAAATCTGACCACCAAGAGAAAAGACCTAAAACCTACAGGAAGGGCTTCCTATCACATGGCACCCAAAGATCATTCTATAGGCACTCAAAGTCAACAAGCACTGTCACTCAGAGCTTCCAATAAGCTTTCTAGTCCCTCATACTTGATCATGAGAAGATGATCAAGAATTGCTAGACATCTGACACAAGCCCTAAGGTGGAAGGCAGCAAAATAGGAGAAGAGAAACAAACATCACTGACAAAGACCTAGAGGAAAGAGAAGCAAAGCAGGGAATTAAAAACACTTAAAAATTCAGTCACAAGGGCCCTTACACCCTATTTTGCCTTGTTGAAAATCTAAGAAGACGTTGAGAAAAAAGGATGTTGTATCCATGAACAAAAACATGAGGCTATAAAACGAGGAGCATTCAGAAACCAATAACAGAAACAACAACAAAAAAATCCTGTCGGAAATTAACAAACATGATAGCAGTAGAAAGGCTGGAAGCTAGGACTGAGAAACCCTCCCAGACAGTAGAACAAAATTAGAAAGAAATGGAGAAAGAAAGAGAAAACAAAATCATAATAACGGTCCTGGAAAAACGCATCTGAATCACAGGAGTTTCTAGAAAGAGCAAACAGAAAATGGTTGAAAGGAACTACCCATAAAGATGACTCAAGAAATTTTCCCAGAACTGAAGGTCATATGTTTTCAGGTTTAAAGGCCCCAGCTCAATCTATGAAAACAGACCTATACAAAGGCGCAATATTATGAAATTTCACTTCAGTAGAGAAAAAGAAAAGATCCTAAAGCTTCCAGAAAACAAAAAACAAAAAACAACAACAAAAAAAACAGATTATATACAAAGGATCAGGAATAAGGTGGCTTCAGATTTCTCAACAGCAACACTGGATGCAAGAAGGCAATTCTGAGGGACAATGATTTTCCATCTAGAATTCTACAATCCTCTGCCAAGCTACCAATCAGGGGCGAGGGCAGAAGAAAGATAATTTCAGCAAGATCTCAAAACATTTACCTCTCAAGCAATGGAGGATGTTCTCTATCAAAATTAGAGACGAAACTAAGAAAGAGAACGGGGATGGAAAAAACGGGAAGGGTGACGAAGGAGAAGAGTGAAGAGGGTCTCCATGAGGGCATGGAGATTCTTAAGGATAATATGAGCACAACAACAGCGGAACGCAGTCAGAAAACAGGTGTGGCACAGGACACTGGCACGCTGAGAACTGCCCATCACCCTGTCCCCTGTCCTTGTACCACATTTTCAATCTGAAAGAAATGCCGGAAGGGGTGCTCAAACAAAATAAGGAAAATGTGAGATACTGAAAAAGAGAATCCTATCAGAAGAAAGGCAAAGGGAATCCTCAGCCAGGACAGCTGTGAAGCAAGTCTCGAAAGAGAAAGAAAGTAAAGGTGTCTACAAAGTCTGGCTCCAAGAAAGAGAGAAGAATTGAGAAATTGCCCGATGGGGTTGTCCTTATGGAAACTTATACTAAAAGGCTACTCATAAGCGTAGGATCAATTAGCTATATGTACAGAGAGAATTAAGCAAAAGAAGCCCAGGAGGTTGAGGCTGCCAAAAAAATTAAAAAAAAAAAAAAAGAAATGAAAAGAGGGACATGATTATAGATATAATAAAGGTGGAATAATATTAAAGTTATTTAAATACTACAAAAAGCTTTATGACAGTACATTTTAAGACAGCATAAAAGGAAAATTTTTCCTAGAAAAATATAATGTATTAAACTGACTAAAATGAAAATGAAAAGACTGCAAAGTCTTATAATGATTATAGTAAATGCATCAGGAGTTTAAAATCTGCTCACAAACAACAACAAAAAGCCAAACAAAACCCACCAATGGCCCAATAGTTTTAGAGGAAAATTCTATCAAACCTTCAAGTAACAGGTAAGGCCAATTGTATATAAAGTGTCCCAGAGGATGCAAAAAGAGGAAATAGTCCTCAACTCATTTTATAAGGCTGGTATTTTCTTGATAATCCACCCAGTCAAGGCCAGTGGCAGATAGGAAAATTATAAGCCAATTTCACTTCATGTATATGAAAATGTTAAATCTTAAACAAAGTGTTAACACATCAAATCAAGCAACTTATTAAAAATGCAGTATGACAAATTGGGTTAACCCTAGGAATAAAAGGGTTATCAGAAAAATCAGTGCATCATCAGAAAAATCTGTTAACATATTTCATCACACTAAAGGATTAATGGAGAAATGTTTCAATTAATGCAGAAAAAGTATTTGATAAAATCAAATACTCGTTTATGATAGAAGTTATTTGCAAAGAGGAATAGGAGGAAATTTCCCATCTATCATCTATCTATCTACCAAAAACTAAATATTATTTTTAATGGTAAAAGTGTCAGAAACAATCTTTCTAAAATCAGGAAAAAAAAAAAAGACAAAGATGCCTGCTATTTATCATTATCTCTTCTAGGAAGCTAACTTTAAATCTTATTAAATCTACATTCCATATCACCAAGTGTGACACTTAAATGTTCTTTGATCAACTCACGAGGGAGTAATTGTCTCCCTACTTTGAAAGTCAAGTTCCTTGAAGGTGCCTCACACACCATACTTCTTTTGTACCTTGTATAGCATTTAGCACTGTAGCATTATATTCAGTATGTTAGGTATGTAGAAAGGACGTTTGATCGAAGAACACCAAGAAATGGTGCCTGAAGTAATTTTTAAAATAACTTTCATTTTCCTGTTTATAGAAGTTATACATCTACATCGTGGGGAACTTGAACTGTTCTGAAAATATAAAGAATAAATTTTTAAAATCCCAATCCCTCTTGCTAGAGATAACCACTATTGACATTTTGGTAAATTTTTCTTCTGTGCATATTTTAACACAGTAGAACTCATACTCCTTAGATGTACTTTTTCTTCTACCAGTGTCATTCAACCCAAGGTGTAATTTTGTACCTTACTATTTTCTTCCTATAGAAGCATTTCCTCATAACCATAATTTTTAGTGGTTCCATGATACTAAATATCATAATTTACCTAAACATTCCCTATTGTTGGATTTTTAGGTCACCTCTATAAATGATGATTTTTTTGTATGTGCATATTTTTCTGTATTTTAGATTATTTTCTCAGGATAGGCCATGATAATGTTGAAGATCATTTGTTTCCTCCAAACATTACTTGCAACCCCCAAACACACTGATGTTTTTTGACTGGGTCCCTCTGTCCTCCTCTCCCTTCAACTTCTAGTTTAACTACAGTGGAAAAATAGCGGAGACAGGGAAGAGGAAAAGAAATCCATCAAAAGTAGACTCTTGGCCGGGTGCGGTGGCTCACACCTGTAATCTCAGCACTTTGGGAGGCCAAGGCGGGTGGATTACTTGAGGTCAGGAGTTCGAGACCAGCCTGGCCAACATGCTGAAACTCTGTCTCTACTAAAAATACAAAAATTAGCCCGGTGTGGTGGTGAACGCTTGTAATCCCTGCTACTTGGGAGGCTGGGCCAGGAGAATTGCTTGAGCTCGGGAGGCGGAGGTTGCAATGAGCCAAGATGGCACCACTGCACTCCAGCCTGGGCAACAGAGCAAGAATCTGTCTAAAAAAAAAAAAAGTGGACTCTTTGAGGCAGGAATCAGAGCTAAGGAAGTTGTTAGGTGAACTCTTCTTCTCACCTAGCCACCTTATGGATTCCCCTTCCCCTTCTTCCTCTCCCGTCTTTCTGCAGCAGTCTCTCCTTTCTCCTCTAGAAAACCACTTGAGAAAAGGGAATTCTTACCATAACATTTCTAAGTTCCTGTATTTTGTCTCTGTATAAGGCTGTTTGAGTTGTTTCTTATTTTTGGTTGATCCATGAGTATTTATGTGATAAACAAACTGAGAGCCTTTCTGGCTCAGGAGCACGTGTCTCTTAGAAAGTTCATTAAGGTTGTTCAAATCCATGTCAGAAAGGGTGTGTAGCTGCTGATATGAAAATCTTTTCTCTTCTTGGTCTTTGTGTCCTCTTTCTTTATTAACATTCAGCCCAGAGTCACATCCAGTAGAGTTTTTAGATAAGACCTTGTCAAAAGCCTGTTTTGGTGGAGCAAATGTATTGGAGGTTTCTTTGAGATTGTGGCTTCTAAGTGCCCTTGAGGCTTGTACATCATTGTTAGAGGCATGCATAATCACAATCGATTCAGGCTTTGTTGAAGTATCAAGAGGCTTATTTTGGTTTTGTTGCTGCCTGGGAGGGTTATTCTGGTTCCCCTGACTGGCAGTCACCTCTTCCGTTGTGGAAGACTTCAGGCCATTCTGGTGTTTACACTGCTTTCGAATCTTGAGCTTGGCTGGTCTTCTGGAAGGTTGATGGTCATTCACCATGTCAGAAGGTTGCCCTCTTGGTACATTGCTTGATTTTGTACTTTCATATTGAGACCAGTGTTCCTGGTAATTCTAAAGAGATATTTTTGGTTAATGTAAAATTAGAAGACTGGCACTCTTCACAAATTTTATTTTATTATTTATTTATTTATTTATTTATTTATTTATTTATTTATTTGAGACGGAGTCTCACTGTCTCCCAGGCTGGAGTGCAGTGGCACGATCTGGGCTCACTGCAAGCTCCGCCTCCCAGGTTCACACCATTCTCCTGCCTCAGCCCACAAATTTTAAATTAGTGTTTTCCAAATTGGGGGTTGAGACTTCTAGGAAGGTGACCATAGAACTGAAAGCAGATAAAGAAAAAGTAGACGATTTTTTTCCTAATTTCAGGGAATTGGAGTTAATAACTGAGTGATTCCTCCTGGAAATTTAGGATTATAAGCCTAGAAAGAAATAGAAAGCTTAGAATGGGCTTTATATTAAGGACAAGTCTTTGGCTTCAAAGTTTAAGTTTTAAAAGTTAAGTCTTTGACTTAAAAGTGTTGCCAACTTGGGGGATGAGGTGGGGAAGCTTTACTTCGAGAGATACGGAGAAAGTACAAATGCAAATCTACATTACAATATACAAGCTTATTTTAAGTAACATGAATATTTTTAAAAATCTTAACCAGAAAACACTAATAATTTGCTTTACAAACCAAGTACAAATCTAATATTAAATACAATTGAGATGATCAGATCTTTTTACTCATGCTGGTCAGAAGCTAGAAATGACCTCTTCACCAGATGAAACAAATTAGATTTTATTCAGAGGATTATAAAAGAGCCTGTGCTGTGATAGGACATCTGTGAAGCCACAAGGGCTGTTTTGCTTCTGTTCCTTAATATAGCCTGCGCTTAGGCAATCAAACATCTGGGGGAAATATTTCAATTTCACAACAGTCTTTATGCTTTTCAAAGTCTCCTAACAACAAAATGTACTCCTGGTATAATAGATACACTATGTAACTATATTGTGCTATTGCCATTTAGAAATATTTTCCAAGGAATAAAGCACTCATTACTTCGTGGAAAACTAGCTGAGTTAAGAGGCCTTTGCAAAGAATGATTAAATGCTTATTGAAAACAGTAGGATGACCATATGCATCAGTGTGTTATATAACTGCAACATATTTCTTCCTTTCTGAACACATATACTAAAAAATCTCTTTAGCTTTTATCTATAAAACATTAACTGAAAAATGCAACAGTTGGATGAATGATTATTTTAGCTTGCTAGAAGGAATGATCAAATTACTGTGATGAGTTCAGCTTTGATTTCTCTTTTCTGATACATTCTGATACAACCACTAAGACTCATCCTATTCCTGTATAATATTAAGCAGTGTTCTATTTCTAGTGAAATCACATTATAATGATAATGTTGAGATTATTAAATTTAAAACAGTAATACACAATGTTACTTATCATATCATATTTTTAAGAAATAACGACTTCTAATTTGAAATTTAGAAGCTGTTCTTTTGAGAATTTGAGCTTTCTGGGGGATTGGCCAGGCTCTGATTAGCTCCTACTTACTTTAAATTTTTACCTGTGGTGCTCCCAAAAAAGGGAAAACTTCTCTTCTGTATTCCAGGTAAATTCTAGGTATTCCTTCCATGCAGTAAATTGAGCTGCATGGGGAAATGCGGGCAGGAAGGCTCTGCAAATACATAGCTCCAAGAAAATCCTTTCTTGTAATGGATCCAGAAAATAATTGCTATATTACAATATTATAGGTGTGGTTGTGGAATATAGCAGCTCTTTTTATGGCTGGCAGCACTATTCGTGAAGGTCAAAAATGCCCCCCTTGACTGTGACCTAAAAGTATTAATTGATGCTGATAATGTCATTCTTTTCAATATTTTGTTCAGCCTTTAACTCGCTAGAGAAGTAACCAGGATGCTGCCATCTAAATGTACTTTTCCTAGTTTTCTCTCTTAATTTTCACCAAAAAAGAAAATACTTACTTCTCAGAAATTTCTTGGGTACTAGATGTGAAATCCTGGGTTACCACTTGATCTTAATCATGTTATTACCTTTGCTGCTGACAATCCTGTTCACAGGGCGCTCTGACAACAAGGCCAAGGACTCATCATTTTATGAAACTTCAATTGTCTCAAGTGTTAAATCTGCTATTCACATACATATAAGTGCCCAGAGATGGCATTTCAGTCCCCAGAAAGGAAGCCATTTATGGGCTTGATACGATTTTTCTCACCTTCCAAGCAGCCTACTTGAGATCTGTGGTTTACTGAAGATTTATTACCCTACAATTGGGGCATCAGGTGTCACTCTTTAGGTGGCAAGACCTGAGTTCCCTGAAGTTAATATACAAAGCCATTCTCAGACGATTTAATCTCCATCAGCACTGAAATCCTCTATTCCATTCTGCTCTCACTGGGGTTCTTTTGTTACCAACACCCGCAGTCGCTGCATACTCCATGCACTTAGAATAACTGCTTAATGGCAGTAGGTTTTTGCGTCACACACGGAGTGTTAGCATGGGGGAATCCTGATGCCTAATGCTGGGATGATAATTTCTTGGTGGGACTCATCCTTAGTTATTAATTAATGCTCGTTCATACTGTGCCACCCAAGAGAAGTTTGTCCCCGACCCTGTGAAAGCCAGCACCTTGTTGTTTCTCTTTTACGGCTTTCCTTTTCACATTTCATCAGCAGACGGGACAATGCCTGCTCTGATCTCAACCAGAAAGTTCATCTGTTTCAACACAAAAGCCACTCCTGCTCTTAGTTAACCTGACTCAACCGTGGAGTCCTGAGAGTTGTGCCTGGGCTCTGAGATCAGCTGTAAAGTGAAGACATGTCTGTTGTGTTCTGCTTTTCTGCTGTGTTTATGAACAATAAAACATGAGTACTTTAAGCCCGAGATACAAATTCCATCTGATAATATTAAGAGAATCTCAAGCAAAAATATTAATTGGCTCTGATTTTCTCTGTGGGTAAGGAAGAACTCTGTGTTCAGATGAATAGAAGAAGCATAGATCTATTGATAGTGTTGGAGGCAAAACCAAATTAACAGCTTTTTGGAAAGGTTAATCAGGATTTGATTACAAGGGCTTTCATATTAATAAGTAAAAGGTCCTATATATCTTTAATACTATCATTACCTTTTCTTTGCCTGGAAAGCTAAGAGTTATTTTAGAGGGGTAAGAAAGAAAACATCCTATTTATCCTTTTGAAACATTACTTAATTGGGGAACTTTTAATTTTTTTCTACTGGCATGTTTCTTGCCTGGTGCCATGGTTTGAATGTTTGTGTCTTCCCTAAACTCGTACGTTAAATCCTAACCCCCAAGGTAATGCTATTTAAAGGTGGGGTCTTTTCGGGTGACTAGGTCAGCAGGACGGAGCCCTCCTTCTTGGGATTGATGTCCCTATAAAATAGGCTCAAGGAAGCTCATTCCCCCCCTCCATTGTGTGAGGACACAGTGAGAAAGCATCACCAATGAACCAGGAAGCAGATCCTCACCAGACATAGAAACTGCCAGTGTCCTGACCTTGGACTTCCAGCTTCCAAAGCTGTGAAAAAAATAAACCTCTGTTGTTTCTAAGCCACCTGATCTATAGTATTTTGTTATAGCAGCACAAACAGACTAAGATACCTGGAAAAGATCTTCTGCCAGTGGGAATGTGCCCCTCACACTGCCCAGCAAGAGTCCTGAGCCTTAAACATACTGCATTCAGTCTGGGCACACAACCTAAGCAGGATTTGGAAAACCTGTGAAGATTCACAGGCAAGTGCGAAGCGATTCAGGACGCTAAGGCCTATGTAGCAAGGTTAAATGAAGAGAGATGACTTGGCTTCAAGTGATGGATCTGGGCATGGATAAGACTCTTACATAGAATATGATGATGACCATCATTCTCAGTATTTTTAAAGTAAAAATACATAGGCTGAAATGGTCTCAGGCATATCTTCTCTCTTTTCTCGCCCTTTCTCTGGTTTCTCGTTCTTTCTAGCATGTAAATGTATTTAAGTCTCTCCTATGAAAAGAAGGAAAAAAACATTCACTTGAATACATCCTCTGGTTAAATCCTATCTCTTTCTTGGCTGGGCACAGTGGCTCATGCCTGTAATCCCAGCACTTTGGGAGGTAGAGGCGGGTGGATCACTTGAGGTCAGGAGTTGAGACCAGCTTGACAAACATGGTGAAACCCTGTCTCTACTAAAAATACAAAAATTAGCTGGGCGTGCTGGCCTGCACCTGTAATCCCAGCTACTCGGGATGCTGAGGCAGGAGAATCGCTTGCACCTGGGAGGCAGAGGTTGCAGTGAGCCAAAATCACGATACTGTACTCCATCCTGGGTGATAGAGCAAGACCCTTTCTCAAAAAACAAAAGCAAAGAAAAATCTATCTCTTTCTCAGTTCACAGCTGGGCGTCTTGATGGTGTAGACTGCACTGGTCTCTGCTCCCCATCTCTCATG